>NT_187614.1:1918049-2237724 GCF_000001405.40 Homo sapiens | reverse complement strand
TTAAGAGAATATAAGAGTGGAATTTCTCTAGGGAATGGGTTGGAAAATATGTAGTTATATTTTTCATATCAAGTTATAAATGGATTAAAGTTTGGCCATTGTATTCAAAGTTTGGAGCTAAGGCAGTCTTCGGAGGTAGGGCTCCCTGGGATTCATTTCTAGTAATTTAAGATACATTGGCTTGCAACAGGATTCCTTTGTGGGTTTCAATATGAATTATAATAACATATTTATTAGATGGTTATTTTGTTTATACTTTTATAGGTTGCTGCTAAAACCTTGCCTTTTTATAAGGACTACTTCAATGTTCCTTATCCTCTACCTAAAATTGATCTCATTGCTATTGCAGACTTTGCAGCTGGTAAAGTAAATTTCATTTTATTGCTGAATTGTAATAACTTTTTAAAATTTTGTGACTTTTGATGCAAGAGTATATATATATATATATATATATATATATATATATATATCTCAATAAATGTTTATATTTATTTTGTGAAGGTGCCATGGAGAACTGGGACCTTGTTACTTATAGGTATGTTAATGATGTATTACCCTGCCTTATCTTTTCAAATCACTGATTTCAAAAGGGCTTCCCTCCTAATCACAGTTGAGTAGCTTCTGCTTTACGATATGGTGTAAATTTTTCTACCTTCCCCCACTTCCATGCACATTTCAAGAATGCAGATGGACACCTCTCCCTTTGGTGCTACTGTCTGAGGGTGTAAGATTTTAAAGTGAGCATCTGGCGGTAGTAGCATTTTTAGATATATTCTTGGCTAAGTTTCTCATTGCAGTGCCTTTCTTTCCTGCCAGTAGTTTCACAGCTATTTATCCAGCTTGGAGAACCTTCCCTAATTTCATATCTTCTAGCCAAGTTTTTACATGTCTGTCACCACAACATAAACATGTGAGTTGAATAACTTTTAAAAGCAGAGTCTGTCTGTAAACAAGTTTTTGCCTTCTACTTTCAATTGCCTTCTTAGATGAGCTAAGTGTTGAACGGCCGGCTCAGTGCTGTTTTTGGGACTATGGAATGCATCTTCCTCCACCACTCCCCTCATTTAATGAAAGGACTTTCTTCTCTCTCCATCTAGCACAGTAATCGCTAATCCCTTAGACAATGTTTTCCCAAAATTTCAGGCAGCTATTCTATCAACAAACTGATAATTAAACTTGTGTCACATCTTTGATATTCTGTTGTATTAATTCTGTTGGGGTAGTCTTTAATCTTCGTGAAACTTTTTCTTTCCATATTAGGAAATATTTTCCTAATATCTCTAAAGCCTAACTTGTCCATCTGACTTACTGTCTGAATCTTCCCAACTTATGCATGCCCACTTTTATTGTTTAAATTTGTTTCTTTTTTTTTTTTTTTTAAACATAGGGAGACTGCATTGCTTATTGATCCAAAAAATTCCTGTTCTTCATCCCGCCAGTGGGTTGCTCTGGTTGTGGGACATGAACTTGCCCATCAATGGTTTGGAAATCTTGTTACTATGGTATTTAATATTTTTAAGTGCTCAAATATATTTATCTTCATCCTACTCCACATTATTTTGGCTACATAGTATTTCAAGTTTGGCTGCAACACTGTGCCAAAAAATAATTGAGTGATAGAAAAGTATTATTTTAAAAGGTCCACTTTGAAAGGGCTTATCAGAATCTCTGCATTGAACAAGGGCATATGGACAGTCTTTATTCAACAGACACTTCCTAAACTGTTCTAAAATTTGTCTGCAAATGGGAAAAGTCAAGATACTAATTTGGGTGAGAGGAAAAGATTCCTCTTAGGTGTAGATGAATGAATCATGCAGTGAGATTCCAGGCTAACTGTAGTTTCTTGAATCTTATTTGTTAATCTGACTCACAGCTGAAAAGTAACCTGATGAATAACAGACTGATCTTTAATTAGAGAGAAATGTTTTTAGGAGTCAGTTTTTTCATTGCCTAAAATGTTAAGTTGAAATTTAATGAAATAAAAGTAAACAAACTGCAGAGTGACTGCAGAATAAAGCTGTATTAAAATTCCAGCTGTTCTGTTGAAATCCTTATAATGTTTGCAGTAATGATCTCTGTCCTTCAGTCCTGATTTTTCACTCTTACTCTAAGTAAATACTATTTATGAATGCCAACTGTGTTAGAGCTTGGGAGCACAGGATTTAATAAGTGAACTAGATGTACCTCTGCAATTAAATAACTGGATATTCTGGAGCCAGCTAGATTCCCTGACATTTTAGGCTGCCAAAGAGCAGAACCTGATTTGAATGTAGATTGAGTCCATACGTTATATAAATAAGAATGTAAGACATTTATCAACTGTTACGTGTCTCAGAGAGTTTCTACAGAAAGTCAACCCTTGAAAATAAATCTTTTCCTTTTATTTTGGATGTTTAAAATTTTACAGGTGAAAAAAATTCTTTGAAATATAATTTCAGGCCGGGCACGGTAGCTCACGCCAGTAATCCCAGCACTTTGGGAGGCCGAGGCGGGTGGATCACTTGAGGTCACGTGTTTGAGACCACCCTGACCAATGTTGCGAAACTCCATCTCCACTAAAAAAAAAATAGAAAATTAGCTGGGCGTGGTGGTATGCACCTGTAATCCTAGCTACTCTGGAGGTTGAGGCAGAAGAATCGCTTGAACCTGGGAGGCAGAGGTTGCAGTGAGCCGAGATCACGCCACTGCACTCCAGCCTGGGCAACAAGAGCGAAACTCCATCTCAAAAAAAAAAAAAAAAAGAAATATAATTTCATGTGGAACTATGTGTTGGTGCCTGTATTCAAATATGTGAAGAAATGGCCTTTTCTTCTAATGCAGCGAGTTTGCTACTTTGTACCAAATAATTTTTTTGCTTGGCTTTGAGATAACTTTATGATTTTATTTTGAAACTACAAGCAATAAATTTTAGTAGGGGAAATGTGTACATTCTTATTAAACAACTTTTTACTGGTTTTATGTAACTATTCTAGTTATTAGAACTGAAATTCCAAGGGCTTAGGGATAGGTTGGAAAATAAGTTTCATTTTATGCTAGTTTATTTTAGGAAGCTACTAGGCAAATAGCCACTTATCACTTAATATCAAAATAATTTTTTTTTTAAGACAGAGTCTCACTCTGTCAGTTAAACTGGAGTGCAATGGCACAATCATGGTTCATTACAGTCTTGACCTCTGGGCTCAAGCAATCCTCCTGTCTCTGCCTCCTGAGTAGCTGCAATTACAGGTGTGTGGCACCATGCCCAGCTTATTTTTGCACTTTTTGTAGAGACAAGGTTTCACTGTATTGCCTTTTGTAGAGACAGGGTTTCACTTTGTTGCCTAAACTGGTCTCAAACTCCTGGGCTCAAGCAATCCTCCCACCTCAGCCTCCCAAAGTGCTGGGATTACAGGCATGAGCTACCACACCTGGCCTTTTCTGGGGGGACTGGTTGGGGATGGAGAATAGGATCTCACTTTGTTACCCAAGCCGGAGTGCAGTGGCACAATCATGGGTCAGTGCAGCTTCATCTTCCTGGGCTTATGTAATCCTCTTGCCTCAGCCTCCCAAGTAGCTGGGACCACAGGTGTGTGTCACCATGACCAGCTAATTTTTTTTTACTTTTTAATTTTTTTAGAGATGGAGTCTCACTGTGTTACCCAGGCTTATCTCAAACTCCTGGGCTCAAGTGATCTTCCTGCCTTGACCTCCCAGAGTATTGGCATTACAGGAGCAAGCCATTGTGCCTGGCCTGCTTTCTTTCACTAATAGGCTTAATCAACTTTAATAAAATTTAGATTAAGATCTTTAAAATTTTTTAAAAACTGATTTTATCTGTCACTCATATTCTTTGTCCATTCCATTTACTATGCATTCTTATTTAACAGGTGATAATTTTATATTCCATAAGTGCTTAAACACCATTCATTACTGAACTACATTTTTGTTTAATTTCACATAATTTTTATATAAGCAGTACTCTTTCTCAGTTTCTCTTGAACATTCAACTCATTAGTGAGTGGTTTTCCCCAGTCATTTCCATTTTTCTTTATTTGGCTCTGATAGTTTTCTGTTTTTGTTTTTCAGAGATAATCCTTTACTATACTAAATTCTACGTGATTATATTTTCCACCTCTATTTGCCTATATTTATCTGCTGTCTTTTCCTTTTCCATATATGGGCTTATTTTTTTTTTCCCTCTTCTTCCTTTTCTACCTTTGGTATTTAAAAAGTTGCTTAGGACTGAGTGCACTGGCTTACGTGTGTAATCCCAGCACTTTGGCAGGCTGAGGCGGGAGGATTGCTTGAGCCCCGGTGTTCAAGGCTGCAGTGAGCTACGATGGTGCCCCTGCCACTCCAGCCTGGGCAACAGAATGAGACCCTGTCTGGGTTTGGGGGAGAAGTTATTTACAATGTTTTGAAAATATCCTTTGGCCCAGGCATGGTGGCTCACACCTGTAATCCCAGCACTTTGGGAGGCCGAGGCAGGTGGATCACTTGAGGTCAGAAGTTTGAGACCAGCCTGGCCAACATGGCAAAACCCCATCTCTACTAAAAATACAAAAATTAGCCAGGCATAGTGATACATGCCTGTAATCCCAGCTACTGGTGAACACTCCAGCCTGGTGACAAAACAAGACTTTGTCTCAAAAAAAAAAAAAAAAAAAAAAAAAAGAAAGGAAAAGAAAATGACCCTCAGATATAATTCTAATATCACCAGTTGGCCTTTCTTGACATCTCTTTTAGTCTTCTCTCTTTTTCAGAAATGTGAGTTCTTTGCCAAATGTTTTGAACTGAATTTTAGGTCATTAAATTGTGAGTTTTGGAATATAGTGGAAGGGACATGTGAGTGTTTTAGATTAGTAGAATGACAATCATTTCAATTTCTTTAAGTATTTTCATCTTCTGTTTTTAGGAATGGTGGACTCATCTTTGGTTAAATGAAGGTTTTGCATCCTGGATTGAATATCTGTGTGTAGACCACTGCTTCCCAGAGTATGATATTTGGACTCAGTTTGTTTCTGCTGATTACACCCGTGCCCAGGAGCTTGACGCCTTAGATAACAGCCATCCTATTGAAGTGAGCCATACTTTCTAACCATTAGCCTATGACTGCTCTCGTTTACAATGAAATACGTAATTTGTTACATAGATACTTTGGACTTTGAAAAGAAGAGAAAATAGCATGGGTGATTTTACTGGTTCATATTTCTAGTCTTGAAAAGCTAGTAAGTCTAAGTTCTAATTAAACATTTCTTTTAAAGGTAGGCAGTAAAAAAAAATTGGTCTGGCCAGGCGCAGTGGCTTACGCCTGTAATCCTAGCATTTTGGGAGGCTGAGGCGGGTGGATCACCTGAGGTCGGGAGTTTGAGACCAGCCTGACCAACATGGAGAAACCCCGTCTTTACTAAAAATACAAAATTAGCTGGGCACGGTGGCGCATGCCTGTAATCCCAGCTACTCGGGAGGCTGAGGCAGGAGAATCACTTGAACCTGGGAGGCAGAGGTTGCGGTGAGCCGAGATCGTGCCATTGCACTCCAGCCTGGGCAACAAGAGCAAAAAACTCTGCCAAAAAAAAGAAAAAGAGTAGTATGGGAGAAGTCATACCTATTGGGTAACACTATGGTTCCATTGTTTATGTCAAGGAAAATTCTGGACATATTTTATTGTCAGGGTCTGTTTTGTGAATACTTTAATTCTCTTGACTTAGCCTATCCCTACTTCAGTTTATATATATAAATTTTGTATCTAAAGAACTAGAGTTATAATCCTACTTCAACATATTTAATTAGGCTCCCATATAATTGTAATTCATTACAATTAGTGCAAGAAATCTAATGTTCTTCACCTCCATGTCTTCCTCATCACTCCTCTGCAACTACCCCAAAAATAAACAGAACCATAGTGGCTTCTTTCCCAGCAGAACAAAGCCAGGACTGGAACCCAAGCTCTAAGGGATGACAGGAATCATGTTCTATTCAACTTTATTATTATTAGTTACTACATTTTTTTGAGGACCATCGTTATACATTATGAGTGAGTTAAAGGCAGAAAAATGTAAGTTAGAAGGGTTTTCCTAGAAAGCGTTTTATGTAATTCAGTATTACGGGCTATCTGCTTCCTGTCATAACCCTGAATCACATTGTCTGCCAGGTCAGTGTGGGCCATCCATCTGAGGTTGATGAGATATTTGATGCTATATCATATAGCAAAGGTGCATCTGTCATCCGAATGCTGCATGACTACATTGGGGATAAGGTAAAAAAAAAAACTTTAAGTATTTCATTCTTTCATGGTGAAATCATAAGAGTTTTGCATGAAAAAAAGTCTCACTTTATTTGGATTAAGTTCCCAAATAGTTTCTGGCTTGTCATTTTTTTTAATGACCAAAAAGAATGAGAATTCAATTATTTGAAGTTGACTACTGTGGTCTCTCAGATGAGTGATGTGCAGGTGTGTTTGGGAGTGGAAATGGGAGGCTGTTATAAAACTTAAGAGCAAGAATAGAAGGCATAGAGTACGCATTATTAAATAAAAGGCAGTAGGCATCAGAAGGATATATGTGTTTCAGTGTATCTGATACTTGAGTATTTGAGTAAATTTGTTTTTGATTACTAATATACAAATATACTATAAATTCTGAGATCTGACTTCCCTGGATTTTAAAAATTGTGTTTTCTCAGGACTTTAAGAAAGGAATGAACATGTATTTAACCAAGTTCCAACAAAAGAATGCTGCCGCAGGTAATCTTTAATAGCTTGAGATAGAAATGGAGAGAAAGTATTGTCACTCTATCCAGGCTGGGACATTTTATTTTTGTTCTGAATACTTAACTCAAGGTCAGGATCCATGTAATAAATAAATTAGCCTTATTTGAAGCTGTGTTCAGGTTGAATATCTCTAATCTGAAATTTGAAATGCTCCAGAATCTGAAACTTTTTCTTTTCTTTCTTTCTTTTTTTTTAATTAAAGTTCTAGGGTGCATGTGCACAATGTGCAGGTTTGTTACATCAGTATACATGTGCCATGTTGGTTTGCTGCACCCATTAACTCGTCATTTACATTAGGTATTTCTCCTAATGCTATCCCTCCCCCAGCCCCCTACCCCATGACAGGCCCTGGTGTCTGATGTTCCCCGCCCTGTGTTCAAGTGTTCTCATTGTTCAATTCCCACCCAAAATCTGAAACTTTTTGAGTGCCAACGTGATGCTCAAAGGAAATGCTCATTGGAACATTTTAGATTTTGGATATTGCAATTATAGATGCTCAGCTAGTAAGTATAATGCAAATATTCCAAAATCCAAAAGAAATATGAAATTCAAAACATTTCTGGTCCCAAGCATTTTGGATAAGGGACACTCAACCTGCAGTAAGTCATAGGGTCAACATGAATCAGGACTCATTATCCCTTTGGTCATCCTCCAGCATTCTGCTTTCCATAACTGAATATTTTGCCAACTTAAAGAGTCTGGGCCGGGTGTGGTGGCTCACGCCTGTAATCCTAGCACTTTGGGAGGCCAGGATGTGAGGACTGATTGAGCCCAGGAGTTCAAGACCAGCTTGCAACATAGCGAGACCCCACCTCTACAAAAAATACAAAAATATTAGCCGGGTGTGGTGGTATGTGCCTGTAGTCCCAGCTACTCAGGAGGCTGAAATGGGAAGGGTCACTTGAGCCCAGGAGTTTGAGGTTACAGTGAGCAATCGTGGCACCACTGCACTCCAGCCTGGGCAACAGAACAAGATCCTGTCTCTGAAAAAATAAAAAATCAAGGGAATAGTCATGTGTTGCTTAACAACAGGGATATGTTCTGAGAAATATGTTGTCAGGCAATTTCATCAATATGTGAACATCATAGAATGTACTTACAGAAACCTACACAGTATGTCCTAGGCTATATACACCTAGCCTACACGGTATATACCCTGTTGCTCCTAGGCTACAAAATACCTGTACAGCATGTTACTGTACTGAATACCATAGGCAATTATAACACAATAGTATTTGTATACCTGAACATTTCTCAATATAGAAAAGTTACAGTAAAAATATGATATTAAAGATGCTCCATCAGCTGGCTGATATGCCTATAATCCGAGCACTTTGGGAGGTGGACTGCTTGAGTCCAGGAGTTTGATACCAGCCTGGGCACCATGCCAAAACCTCATCTCTATAAAAAGTACAAAAATTAGCTGGGTGTGGTGGCATGTGCCTGTAGTCCCAGCTACTTGGGAGGCTGAGGTAGGAGGATCATAGTTTCAAAGTGTGGCACTTACTGGTTCTCCACTCACTCCCTCCTGCCATCTTGTGAAGAAGGTGCCTGCTTCCCCTTCCCCTTCTGCCATGATTGTAAGTTTCCGGAACTGCAAGTCAATTAAGCCTGTTTCCTTTATAAATTACCCAATCTCAGGTATTTCTTTACATCAGTGTGAAAACAAATGAATACAGTCCCCTTCCCTGAGGTGCCTTCTCCTTAGGCAACCAGCTGCCCCCATGCTCCTCTTCTGCCCCCCTGGTATTTCCTTTCCCCTCATGAGGCCCAAGTGATCCACATGGCCAGCCACAGCCCCATCCTACTGCAGGCCTGTGTGGCTGCTAGAGAGGCCAGGCTCCTTTCCGCACCCCGAGGCTGCCCGATATGCTTTCTGCATCCTGTAGAAAACTGACCCACTATTCTCATACTGGTGCAACTTCTTCCATTACCTCAAAACTGGACAACGTGAACTTGTTTCTTGTCTCTTCTTGCTAGGGCTGTCACTGGGACAGTCCGAGATGGGGGGGTGGGGGGAGACAATGGATGAATGGATGGATGAATGGACAGTAGTCCAGGGAGATGTCCCTGTGTGTCCTGAACTGGGACCTTCCTCCAATGAGAAGCCTTCCTGAGTGAGTTTATACAGTCATCCCTTGGTATCCATGGATTAGTTCTAGGGTCCCCGGGGATGCCAAAATCCATGGATCCTCAAGTCTCTGACATAACATGGCCTAGTATTTACATATCAGCTATGCACATCCTCCCGTAGACATTAGACCATCTCTGGATTATTCATGATGTGTAATACAATGCAGATGCTACATAAATGGTCGTGATACTGGATTCTTTAGGGAATAATGACAAGAACAAACTCTGCACATGTTCAATAGAAACATAACCGTCCAATTTATTTTCTGAATATTTTCCATCTGCTGTTGCTGAATCTACAGATGCAGAGCTCCTGGATACGAGAGCCAAGTGTGCTTTGAGAGTAGGGTGGGTGAGGTTGCTAATGAGTACAGGGGAGCAGGTGTTGATCAGGAGGACCCTGCACTGGGGCATCTGGACGTCCTGCCTCAGGACTTGAGACTCCAGTTGGATGGCACAGGCAGACTCAGCCCAGGTCAAAGCCGTCCCCTTGAAGTTTCTTTTTATCCCAAGCTCTTTCTGGCCCCTGGAATTTGGCATCCCCTAGGCCCTGTGTGGAAGGACAGATGAACCAGGTTTTAGATAACATGTCTAGAAGAGTGAGCCCCTACTGTGTGCCCGGCACTTTCCCCACAGGATCCTCTAGCTAGAATATCCAAGGGTCATGGAGAGAAATACCCAGTTAAAATATCAGAAATGAAAAAGCGATACCATTAGAGACACTAAAAAGACCATTAGGTAATAGTACTAGCTTTTGTATTCTGAGATCCAACAGCAGCAGTCACTTCCCTCCACCGCTATGTGTATCCCAGGACCACCCTGGGCGGGGAGGGCTGAGGTTAGGGAGCAGCCATGGATGCTCTGATGCTGGCCCTGGGCCTCGGGGGTGACAGTGATGAGGAACTGGGTGCACACATGAGTGGGGCAGCCGGGCCTGGCCAGAGAAGCAGCACACACGTGCACAGATGTGTTTACCCACATACACATGTGCACGCACGTGCACAAACACATTGCAGGCAGGCATGTTGACGCCTCAGGCAGCGGAGGACCCTGACTCTGGGCGCTGCTGACCCGGGCAAGGCCCCACTGTGATTCGTGCCATGACCTCAGAATGTCACTGGTGCTTAGCACCTATCTGCTCTCTGGCCTGCCTCAGTGGTCTACAGCAGTTACACACAGGCAGTGGTATCTGTGAGCAGCTCTGTGGACTCAAAGGTTTTCTCCCTGAGAGGCATGACCCAGGCCAGCTGATTCATCAGAATCAGGTGAGCGTGACCTGCTCTCTTCCCTCCAGGCGGACTTGGGGGCAGTGGCTACGGTGCGGGCGGTGTTGGCCTCTGTGGGGCAGCTACCGAGGAGGGTCATCCCTGAGCACTCACCAGGCGCCCGTTCTACACTGCCCGTGTAGACGATTGGCTCTTTCGTCTCCATGGTGGCTTCGTAGAGTGGGTGCTGTTCCCAAATGTCCCCATTCGACAGATGAGACGTCTGGGGTCAGAGAGGCAGTAACCGGCCTGGGAATCCGGACATGACCCTGAGTTTTGCTCTCAGCCCTGCCGTGTGCTGTGCTGGAATTCAGGCCTGAACCCTGTGACCTCCCTGCCCTAGATCCCAAATCTGCCCAGGTTTCCCATCCCGATGGGGCAGAGCCTGGTCCTGGCAGAGCCACTGGTATAGAGCCACTGGTACAGATCCACTGACGGTCCTCAGAACACCTCTGTGCCCTAAGCTGGGTCCTGATGGTCGCTGTGGGCCCCACTGAACACACATGGTCCCTTGTCCGGGGGAGCCTGCTGCCCTTGGGCAGCTGTGGAAAATGAAGGAGCCCTGGAGGGCTGGCTGAGGGGAGACTATCTTCCCTTGTGTTCAAAGGGGTCCGGGCACTAGGGTTCTCCCCAGGTATTTCTTGCTCTGCGTGGTCCTCTTGAGGCCTCGCCCTCCTTTTGCCTCGAGTATTCCCAGGAGGGACGGTCCATCCAGCTGTTCTCCAGGACCAAGGACCCACTGTTCTTCCTCAGTGACCCAGGAAAATGAAGCCTCCTCCTGTTGGGACGGCTCAGAATGGTGGACTCCACAGTCCCTCCGCGAGAGACGTGGTTTCCATGCGTACAATAGATCTTCCTCATCCCCCAAACCCAACACCCTCCTGCTCAACAGGCGTTATTCCTAAAGTGGCTTCACTGTTCAGACTGAAGAGCCACGGTAGCCAAAGTGATGAGCGGAGTAGAACCGAGCAGTCGGGAGAGATCTTGTTCCCTGTAGGAAACTGGGCATCGCTGAGGCCCTGAGCATCCCAGGAGGCCGATTGCACAGAGACCTCTGGTCGCTGACCCCAGTCTGCCTCCACATCCCTGGAATAGCCCATCATGGGCCCTTCACCCTTGGCAGGTGGAAACCATTCAACCTGCTGGGGCCGGTGTGTCCCCATTTCATGGCATTGGGGGACAACAGGATTCTCTGTCTAGGTCCCACTGTACTCAAGTCCTTGGGAAGATGCCCACCCCTGCTTGGGACTTGAGACTCCAGAGACTGGAGCAGCTGTGGGCCACTGGGTCTGGCCCCTTTTTCCCTGGGGGCGGCGGTGGAATGGGGGTTACGCAGCCAGCCAGCATCTGGGAGCCCGGCGAGAGCGGTTCAGGTGTTCTCCGAAGCCGCCGCGTACAGTGTGACCTTTAGACAATTCTGTCTCACAGGATGGACGTGGTAGAGGTCGCGGGCAGTTGGTGGGCACAAGAGCGAGAGGACATCATTATGAAATACGAAAAGGTACAAGTCGGTCTGCTTCTTGGAGGGAGGCCTCTTCCAGTGTGCCCTGGTCAAAGGGTCCTGGGCTCCCTAGGAGCACAGGGCAGGGACGGGTGGCCAATGCCCCCAGGCCCTTGCACCCTTTACCTTGGACCCCTCACCAAGGCTCCCTCTGGGCTACAGGGACACCGAGCTGGGCTGCCAGAGGACAAGGGGCCTAAGCCTTTTCGAAGCTACAACAACAACGTCGATCATTTGGGGATTGTACAGTGAGTCCTCTGCACTCCCCTCACCCCTAAAGCACCTGTCTCAGCTCAGGGATGGGTTTGCTTTTAGAAAGGCCTTTCTGACGCAGGACATGTCTCACCAGGTCGGGTCAACCTCCTTTCCAGGGACAGAACTCCTCCCTGACT
This sequence comes from Homo sapiens, assembly GCF_000001405.40. NCBI lineage: Eukaryota > Metazoa > Chordata > Mammalia > Primates > Hominidae > Homo > Homo sapiens. Next base: position 2,225,682 of record NT_187614.1, on the reverse strand, counting down.
CCCCTGCAGGTCCAGCCCGAGGTTGTTAGGCCAGAGGTGTGGGGCCCATCTAGGGAACCGGTGGGAATGGAGACTGGGCTAGGTCAGGCCCCTGGGCGCTCAGCAGTTCTGTCGGCAAGTGAGCACAAGAGGAGCGGGGCAGCCTGAGGGTCTGGCCCTGTCTACTTGGAGACAACCCCGGTGAGATGCAAGGGTTATGGCCACAGGGTGAGGGGACGCCTGGCCCAGCCTCAGGGCTGTTGTCCAGCAGGTCTCTGAGGGCCCACCTGCCCCTGTTCTCCCCCATTCCCCTAGAGCTACAGCCCTCACTGTCCCGTGAGGGGAAAAGGCATGGTGACAATGGGGGCTGTAGCCCTAGGAGAACGGGGGAGAAGATGGGCAGGGCCCCGTTCTGGGCATCTCACGGTGAGGCCAGGGAGGCAGCAGGGCTCGCGGCTAAAGACCTGGGTCTGGTGCTGGGAAGGGATCTGGGGCCGGGTAAGAGGAGCCCAGCCAGGAGCCCATCCCTCAGGGATCACAGGATGGAGAGACAGAGGATCCCTGGGGAGGTAGGGCGGGAGGGAGCTGACGAGCCGTGCCACTTCTGAAACGCAGGGTGTGTGGCTCGGGTGCAGGGAGAGGCAGGTGGATGCTGGGAGGTCAGAACCTGCAAGGGCCTTGGGGCTATCAAGTGGGGTGGGCCCCTGGTGCAGCCAGAGTACACCGGGCAGGTCTCAGGGCAGGCTCCCTTGACCCTGGCGGGGGGATGTGGTCACTCCCTGAGGGACTCCTGTCAGGGCCCGGTCGCCCACCCTGGGCGGCCCCCATCCCATCTCAGGGCTAACCTTTCTCAGCTCCAGCAGAAAGCACCACCTCGAGTCCAGGAGGGGCAGCCCCATTGGGCAGCCTGACCGCCCCCCACGCCAGGGGCCCCAGTAACCCCGGCCAGGCTGTCCCTACACTCCTTCTTCTCCCAGGTCCTGCCCCTCCTGGGAGTCAGCCCCACAGGAAGGCCCTTGTCCTCCCTTCCCTGTGCCTTCTCCTGGGCTGAGCCCTGAGCTGGAAAGGGACAGAGCCAGTCCTTTCTGGGGGTCGGCACCCAGGCTGGGGCCGCTCCAGGCCCCGTGCAGTTCCTCAGCTCTGCCTGGGTTGCCTTACAGTGAGACGGAGCTGCCTCCTCTGACTGCGCGGGAGGCGAAGGTAAGAGCCTGATGCGTGGAGGGGCTGGTCCAGGGACGTAGGGACTGGGCGGGTGGTCAGTGAGGCAGAGGAAGCAGCTGGCCTGAGCGGTGGCGGGTGAGGGCAACACGCTGTCACTGGGAGGGGCAGCAGTCCCTGCTGGACCTGACCCCAGGTTGCTGTTCACTTTGGCAGTTTGATAAAATTCCAAAAGGAGAACCACAGTCCTGGCTTGGGGGTGGCTGCGCGCTTGTGTCAGGACCCCACCTAGAGGCTGGGACCTAAGACTGGTGTGTCTGTGGCCTGAGGATGGTACATCCCGGGGTCCCAAAGCCAGCCCACTGGTGCTCATTTGCTCAAAGGCTCTCAGCCCTTGAGGTCTGCCCTTCCCTGGCTCCTTCCAGCTGGCTCCCACCAGGGCTCCAGAGCCCAAGACCCAGCATCCGCGGGCGGCTCTGGGAAGCCTGGCAGCTCCGCTAACTCCAACATGCCTCATTTGACAGCAAATTCGGCGGGAGATCAGCCGAAAGAGCAAGTGGGTGGATATGCTGGGAGACTGGGAGAAATACAAAAGCAGCAGAAAGGTAACGTGTGGAGGGAGGAAGCACTCTCTGCAGAGACAGGGGACAGGCACCCATGGCTGTGGCCTGGCACCATCAGCCTCTCAGAGGGTGGGCGGCACACTGTCCTCGCCCAGAGGACTGCAGGCCTGGTCGCCAGATTTCCTGCCTATTCGTGCAAGCGTCACCTTGCAGGGAGGGAATCTGAATCTAGGGCTGGGACTACCCGGAGCTCAAGGCTAGGGATGCCCTGGTGACCTGAAGGAAGGAAAAGGTTCAGATCAGAGTTTCGACTCTGAGTGTCCATCCACTCTTTCAGTCCTGGGAAGGGAGACCCTGTCCCAGCTTGATCTCACCTCTACTGAGGAATCATGGGGCCAAAACCGACAATTTCCAGAATCCCCGGGCTCTGGTCCTCACTGGGGTCACCCCGTGGCCTGTGACACCAGATCGTTTTCTGCCCACAGCTCATAGATCGAGCGTACAAGGGAATGCCCATGAACATCCGGGGCCCGATGTGGTCAGTCCTCCTGAACATTGAGGAAATGAAGTTGAAAAACCCCGGAAGATACCAGGTACGCTCAGCCAGAGCACAACAAACAGGACAGGCCGTGTCGGGGCCCAGGTCTCCAGCTGGAGGGAACGTCAAGACCACCCTGGGGAGCTGGGGGTGAAGGTCAGATGAACACCCTGGGCACAGATGGTGACACAGTCACCACAGACAAACTCAGCTCTGGTGACCCTCCCTGGCTTCAGTAACAAGCCAAAATGCAGCTTTCTGCAGAAGGAAACCTTCCTTCTGTCCTTCCTTCCCGAAGTGCTGACTGTGGGCTGACTGCCACTGGGGGCAGGGAGTCTTCCATCTGTTCTGAGACTGCTTCCTCCTCTTGGCCCTGCCCTACAGATCATGAAGGAGAAGGGCAAGAGGTCATCTGAGCACATCCAGCGCATCGACCGGGACGTAAGCGGGACATTAAGGAAGCATATATTCTTCAGGGATCGATACGGAACCAAGTAAGCCTACGGGAGCCACAGGGTCCCAGCAGAGATGGGGTGAATGAGAGGGATGGGGGCTTCCCCGGAGCAGAAGCCAGGGTCACCCAGGAGGGATGACACAGCTGCCAAGAGCTCTCCCGGCCCAGGGAGCAGCCGGCACCATGAACCGAGCACCTCCCTGGTTCCAAGCCCTGGGCCAGACTGGAACATGTGGGGCCAGAACCCAGGAGGATCCTGAGGAGATGGAAGGCAGCAAACAAAATCATGCACAATGGTGAAGGGTGCTCTCCCTGACCCATGGGGACCCATGGTAGGACCCACGGGAGGGTGGCAGGATAGAGGGCCCATGAGCCCCCCCCAGGCAACAGTGACAGCACCAAATGCTGGGAGAATTAGGGGTCCTGGAAACTCTCATCCAGGTCCGCTGGGAACATGACATGGCACAGCCACGTTGGCAGCCCGTTGGGCAGTGGCTCACAAAGCTCGATGGACTTGAACCACACATCCCCAAAGTGTCACAGATATTGAACCCACTGATTTGCAAACTGACATCCACATGAAACCAGCATGCCAGGTTCACTGCTTGACTCCTCGTCACTCACACACGGAGCCTTCGGGGACGGCCTTCAACACGGGGATGGGGAGAGCAAGGCTGGTCCTCCCTTCAAACGGAAGACCCAGTGAGAAAAGGGAACGAGCCGGTGATGCCCGCACGAACGTGGGTGGATCCTAGATGCATTTTGCTGAGGGACAGAAGCCAGACCCAATAAGCTACCACCGTAGGATTCCCATTCCTAGGCCATTCTGGAAAAGGCCAAACCACAGGGACTGAGAAGCAGTCTGGGTGGCCAGGGGCTGACGGATCGGGGAGAGGCTGGGTGCATAGGGGCCACCCTGGAGACTTGGAGGATGAAGGAGTCGCCCCAGGAGGGGCTGGAGCGGTGGCCGGGAGACTCTGCACATCGGTTTGGAACCGTGGAGGAACTGTACACCCACAGACTGAACTGGCGTGTGTGCAAACTGAAAAAAAAAAAAAAATCATTCAGAGTGAAAAGGATCAGGCAAGTCACTGTACAACTGGGCTATTTGCATGTCACAGATGTGGATTTTACTGAAACATTTCTTCAAGAGTCTCAGGCCCTGAAGAGCTCACTGCTTATCTGGTGAAACATCTGAACCTGAAATGGGATTTGCTGTTAGGCTTTGTAGACAAAGTGAAATTAACAACATCTGCACAAAACAAACCAAAGCCCCCTTTCTCTGTTTCCTAGGCAGCGGGAACTACTCCACATCCTCCTGGCATATGAGGAGTATAACCCGGTGAGTATTCCCGGCAGTGAGGTTCCCGGGCCATATTTCCATATTGACAGGAGTGGGTGTCTGGTGGGGGTGTCGTTGCTTCTTTTACAGTTAGTATTTGTGACCCACCAGGATATAGGAGGTAGGATGTCAGCTCACCGCTGGCATAAACCTCCAAGGAAGGGGGTGGTCTCAAGGGGTCAAGCTGAGACACAAAGGAGTCAGGGCCTGGACTCCTGGTGTCACCTGGGCCTGACCACCACTTCTCAGAACAAGAAATGACGCCCTCCTCCTGGGGCTGCCCCAAAGCCCAGGAGCTTGGCAGCATCGCACACAGGATGGTGCTATCAGCAGACATTTTGGACAAGGTGCTGAAGTGCCTGATGGACTTGGCTCTTGTCATGAAATGAATGTGCATCCTGAGGAAGCCTCTTTTTCAGAGGAAGCCTCTCCTTCAGAGGAAGCCTCTCCAGTCACCTCTGCCCTCTCCAATGACATGAGTCCTCCCAGGTGACCTCAGCCCTCCCAGGTGATGTCCTTCCATGGTGACTCTGGCTCTTGCAGGAGGTGGGCTACTGCAGGGACCTGAGCCACATCGCCGCCTTGTTCCTCCTCTATCTTCCTGAGGAGGATGCATTCTGGGCACTGGTGCAGCTGCTGGCCAGTGAGAGGCACTCCCTGCAGGGTAAGTGAACAGCTGCCCCGGGGACCTCCTGCAGCCAGACCTGGGGATGGCCACCCTGGCCAGGTGATCACAGCTTTCAGCCAAGGCACCCTCCTTGTGTCGCCAGCTTGTTGGGAGACTTTAGGATGTCTCTGCTGAGGGTCCCACAGGAGTCCACGGCTGACCCCCAAAGCCCAAATCAGACGCCTCTCATCCCCATCAGCAGAGGGCATCTCATCCTCCCCGTGGCCACCCTCTGTGTCCTGGAGCCACGCCCTCCGGCTCTGATTCTGTGCAGCTGACTCTCCCCTCCCTGAGAGTCCTCCTGCCCTCCAGCTGCCCGGGCTCCTGCTGCCATCGGTGCCCACGAACGGGCCGACCAAGCCCAGGTGGCAGCATCTCCCCATCCCCTGTTCCCTGGCCCGACCCCACTACCAGGAGATGACCGGGAAGCCCAGCGCCCACCCAGTTCCGGCCACCCTGTCGTGGCCTGAAAGTCAGGCTTGCCCTTTTTGCACCCTGGCCCAGGAGGCCTCCAGGGGAACCTCCAGCCAGGCTCCAGGGAATGTTCCCGCCCCACCTCCCCAGGGTAAAGGCCGCATGTTGGGGTCACCAGATGGGAGGGTGGGAGGCCTTGGGGTTTGGGGGCCTCTCCAGCTGCCCAGCTCTTGCAGCTGATGGCTCCACATCTTGGGGGAAGGCTCTGATTTCATGATGGGCTGGGGGCTTCTCAGGATTTCACAGCCCAAATGGCGGGACCGTCCAGGGGCTCCAAGACCAACAGGAGCATGTGGTAGCCACGTCACAACCCAAGACCATGGGGCATCAGGTGAGTTTATGGTCCCCTCAGCTCTTCCCAGAGGCCCTGCCTCCCGTGGGGCTGTAGGAGCAGGGGGGCTGGAGCCCCTCGTGGGGCTGGTGACTGGCTGAGTCCCAGCCAGGGCCTGACCTGGGACGTCGGGTTCTCCATGGGCTGGGAGTTGGTTTCCTTTCCTGCCCTGGAGGAGACAGAGGCACAGGGATGGGGGCCCAGCTCCCGCAGAGCAGGGCAAAGGGCAGTGTGTCCACCGGGAGTGTGGGAAGGTGACAGTGTTGTGGGGAGCTCTGGACACCGCCCAGTGTTCTGCACTAGGGGAAGGGTCTTCAGAGGCCCTGGAAGAGGGAGGTTTTTAGGGCAGCCCAGTGGCCTGAGCACCTCTGTTGCTTCCATCAGGACAAGAAAGATCTATGTGGGCAGTGTTCCCCGTTAGGCTGCCTCATCCGGATATTGATTGACGGGGTAAGGAGGCATAGGGAGACCCTGGCTCAGGGACCTTCCTTGCCCTGCAGTGCCCTGCTTCCCCAGCCCGGGGGTCTGGCTCACTCCCAGCCCACAGGAGGCTCAGGCGGGTCCCCAAAGGACACACAAGCAAAACCCTCTGCCCAAGGGGGGTCATCCCAGGGCCATGGCTGGGGCTCAGGCCCAGCCTCATGGGCAGACTGGGCCAGGACCCGACTTGAGAGGGCTCAGGGAAGCCTCAAGCCCTGGGCAAGCCCCTCTCTCCAGGAGCCACATCCCCACTCAAATGAGTGCCCCCCATGAGGAGCTTCAAGACCTTGTCTGACCCAGCGTCCTGGAGGGCTCAGGCGACCCTCATGGGGAAGGTCACTGACTCTGGAGACTGAAGCCCCAGTGTGCGCAGCTCGAGCCACCAGCCCCAGCCTGGAAGGACCAGGTTCTTTCACACCTGCTGTCCCCACAGATCTCTCTCGGGCTCACCCTGCGCCTGTGGGACGTGTATCTGGTAGAAGGCGAACAGGCGTTGATGCCGATAACAAGAATCGCCTTTAAGGTTCAGCAGAGTAAGTCTACGTGTGCCCAGCGGGGCCTGGGGAGCCCTGGGGTCAGACCCCGACTGGCCCGAGGGCAGCTTCCTCACACTGTCCTCATGATCCTCTGTTCTGGCCCAGAGGGAGGTCTGGCCAGGTGGGCTGGGCAGGACACTGTGACACCGAGCCCATCCCCCACATGACCCAGATGAAAGTCGAGAGTGTGGTGAGCACTTCCCTGTCCGGATCGCCCCCCAGCCACAGTCTCCTGTGTGTATCTGGACACCTGGGGTGGCCACAAAAGGATCCGGCACCGCCCAGTAGGAGACTGAAGTGGCCACGGGGTATGAGCTGTGACCATTCCCAGGTAACTCCCCTGGCCTGATATCCACCCTGTCCCTAGAGCGCCTCACGAAGACGTCCAGGTGTGGCCCGTGGGCACGTTTTTGCAACCGGTTCGTTGATACCTGGGCCAGGGATGAGGACACTGTGCTCAAGCATCTTAGGGCCTCTATGAAGAAACTAACAAGAAAGCAGGGGGACCTGCCACCCCCAGGTGGGCTCCAGTGCCATGTCCCCTCCCATGTCACCCTCTGGGGTAGTCAGTAGTAGGGGAGTGCCCGGGACCCGCAACCCTACTACCTGGGCCTTCCTCTTCACCTTTTCTTCCTCCTCTTCCTCCTGGACTCTAAGAAAGTACAGGAGGCCCACCGGTCCTCAGGGCAGGCGCTCAGTGCGTGTATACTGGACATGCTGTGCACGCAGGAGGGGGATGTGGGCAAGACCCTCCAACAAGCCCCCTCCCACTTTCCACGGTGTCTCCCTCTCCCCCTCGCAGGGCCCTCCAAGTTACTAGACGAGCCCAGACCCATTTGTGGGAGACCCCGCCCCTCCCTGCAAGCACCCACAGCCTCAGAGAGCAGCAGAGGCCCCTCACTCCTGCACGCTCCTCCAAGGTTGCCAGGACAAGAAGCCTGGAGCCAGGGAGACAAGGGAATCCGTGTCCCTGACCCACAGAGCATTCAGGGAGAGGGCACAGGCGGGACCCCGGGCCCAGAGCCAGAGCCAAGAGTTCAGCCAGAAGTGGGAACGGTCAGTCCTGGCATGGACTGGGCAGCCCAGGAGGGCAGAGGGTGACCCACGTCCGGGCCCAATCACCCACTGCGGAGACGGGTCCCCACGTGAGGTGACAAGGGGCTGGGTGACATCCAAGGCCCCTCCCACCTGAGTTCTGACTGGGGGCCGTATCCCAGGCCCAACAGCCCTGGGACGAAGGTGTGTGGCAGGAAGCCCCCAGCCAGTCTGAACCCTGGGGGCAGTCCCAGGAGCCACCCGCCATGCCACGACAGCTTCCCCACGCCAGGCAGCACGCACCCCTCCCTCTGGGATCAGCAGACTACAGGCGTGTCCTCGGTGTCAGGCCACGGGGGCCACACAGAGACCCCGAGGACTCCAGAGACGCAGGCAGGTGGGGCCCAGCCCGGAAAGGCCTGCGTGGGCTCACTGGAGATGCTGACCGCGTCTGTTTTCCTTTCAGCCAAACCCGAGCAAGGGTCGTCGGCATCCAGGCCTGTGCCGGCTTCACGTGGCGGGAAGACCCTCTGCAAGGGGGACAGGCAGGCCCCTCCAGGCCCACCAGCCCGGTTCCCGCGGCCCATTTGGTCAGCTTCCCCGCCACGGGCACCTCGTTCTTCCACACCCTGTCCTGGTGGGGCTGTCCGGGAAGACACCTACCCTGTGGGCACTCAGGGTGTGCCCAGCCCGGCCCTGGCTCAGGGAGGACCTCAGGGTTCCTGGAGATTCCTGCAGTGGAACTCCATGCCCCGCCTCCCAACGGACCTGGACGTAGAGGGCCCTTGGTTCCGCCATTATGATTTCAGACAGAGCTGCTGGGTCCGTGCCATATCCCAGGAGGACCAGCTGGCCCCCTGCTGGCAGGCTGAACACCCTGCGGAGCGGGTGAGATCGGCTTTCGCTGCACCCAGCACTGATTCCGACCAGGGCACCCCCTTCAGAGCTAGGGACGAACAGCCGTGTGCTCCCACCTCAGGGCCTTGCCTCTGCGGCCTCCACTTGGAAAGTTCTCAGTTCCCTCCAGGCTTCTAGAAGCATCTGGGCCAGGGCTCATGGCTGGATAATTTCCCTAGGCTTAACAACCCAAGCAAGCTTCGCATCCTCGTTTTATTTTTGGTTAAACTTATGAAAATGTATTAAGAAAGAGTGCAGCTCGAGAGAGATTCAGAGATGGAACACACCAGACCCCAGATCACAAAGCCAACCATGCCCAGCCCCTCCCAGCACCCCCAGCCCCACGACCATCGTTCTGAATTCTGACGACACCGTGAGCCTGCCTTTGTACTTCAAACTCATGGAAGGATAACCACCTTCATGTTTTGAAATAAATGTTTCCTGTTGAAATGATTTTAGATTTTAGACAGAAATATTGAAAAGGCACTATAGTATCCTCCTATACCTTCCATCCAGCTGCCCCTAATAATGATGTTTTGCAGTCCCATGGCACATAAGAAATTTAGGCCGGGTGTGGTGGCTCACACCTGTAATCCCAGCAATTTGAGAGGTCGAGGCGGGAGGTTCAGGTTCACTTGAGTCTAGAAGTCTGAGACCAGCCTGGGAAACCTAGGTGGACCCGGTCTCTAGAGAAAAGTCAAAGAAATTAGCCAGGCATGGTGGCGTGTGCCTATAGTCCCACCTAGTCAGGAGGCTGAGGCAGGAGGATTGCTGGAGCCCACGAGTTCCAGGAAGCAGTGAGCCATGATTGCACCACTGCACTCCAGCCTGGGTGACAGAGTGAGACTTTATCTCTTAAAAAAATTTAAGAAATTTAATGTGGGTACAGTTCTATTAACTAAATAATAATGTGAACTATTATCTAAGGTTATGAAGGCTAGAATTATCCCATTTTTGCCTAACTTCTCGTACCTGTCCCAAGATCCCACCTTGGACTCACCCTCTGCCTTCAGCTCACGTCTCTTCAGCTTCCTCCACATGGTCCAGCAAACACACACCTGGGCTGAATGGTAGAGCTGATCGCTCATACACAAAGGTAGACCGGTGGGCAGGGATTTTCAGACTTACACAGTCAATGAGTTTTCCTTGGTGTTCTGGAGAGCACCGTTTGAGAAACACTTTGACAGTGAATCTAGGCCTCAAGATCCATCAGCTGCTCTAGCTTGAATTTTGCTCAAGCTCAGTGAACACCTGCTCTGCCGGGTGCACGTGAAAGGGGCAAGGATGAGAAAGCTGTAGATAAAGAAGACAGGACGCAGGGGGTCTGTCTAAGCTCTATCCCCTGCCTTCAGCACTGAGGGATGAAATCCAACTCTTAGGGAACGGTGGCCACGTGCTGGGCCAGCCCCAGGCTCTCAGGATCTGACAGTGGGTGACGCAGAGCCAGGCCTTGCCCCTGGGGAGCTCTCCAGCATACACCTCCCTCTCCCCTCCCAGCGTGCCGCAAAGCAGGCGTCAACGCCATTGTTAATGCACGGAGGAGGAACCTGACTGTTAGACCTGGGTTTTCCAGGGTTGCACGGCTTCTGGGAGACGGATGTGACCCTGAGGACAGGGCACAGGCCAGTGTAATGCCAGGATGGAATGAGCTGTGATCTGTGCTGTATAGAGGCCTAGGCCAAGGTGGGACTGACGGATGACCAGGTCAGCCGGGTCACTGAAAACACTCTTGGGTCCTCACCTGCCGGTTCCCAGGAGTCCGGAACTGCCAGGAGAGTGGTGGCAGGTCCCCCATCCTCAGCTGGGTGGGCCTGGATAGAGCAGCAAGGCGAGGGCACATTTCCCTGGCCATTCCCTCCAGGCACAGCTGTGACCTGTTCATTCCAAATTTGTGGAAGTATTTCCACACACACACAACTGCAAATAGCAGTGGACGTGGTGAGAGGCGTTTGCACATGGGATAGGCAGGATTTTGGAGGCAGAGCCTCCAGGGCTTGCCGATGGGTTAGCTGCAGGGCTTGAGAGGGAACGGAGAATCCAGGATGATGTGTTCAAATCGGTCCATTCACCTCTTCCGTTCCACGCCTGTGCTGGGCACTGGGAGAGACAGATGCACACAGGAGCCCCGGCCGAGGGGAGGTGTGGGGGGAAGCCCAGAGTGTCTGGGCAGGGTAGGAAACCCAGAGCGTCTACTGGGAGCTGAAGGCTTAGGTCCACCTGGGTGCCGTCCAGGTTCTCTGCATGTAGAAGTATAGGCTGAGCTTCCCGGAGGAGGAGCAGCTGCTGTTGCTGGTGACCAGCACATTCAGGAACGGAGACTACTCTGTCAACAGACAGGGGGATGACCTGAGGTCTGGATGGTCTAGGGGGTGGTAGGGCCCAGGAGGACCCAGGAAAGGGTCTCGGGGATGCAGAACATCCTATGGAGGGCATTTGGGAGTCAGTGCTCAGGCCACTCCGGGTCACTCAGGTCATTTGCCGGCCCCTGTCATAATTATTGCCATATGAGAGTGCCACCCGTCCTATGACATATTTTATATATTTCTGTGAATGGCCTACTTGTTTGTATTTATGAATTTATGTTTAAAGGATGGGCAGGGGTGCTCGAGAGGTCCCCAGGAGTTTCCCTCTGGGGAGAGAGGGGCCCACCCCTTCCCAGCAGCCCTCTGAGCCCCCCGATCGCTTGGCCACAGCCTCTGCCTGGAGAAAGCATCCCCCTCGGAGATATATGGACATCAGAAGAAACCTTTCTCTGTCACCAGGACAAATCCTGTTCTTATTTGAACCAAGGCCAGTTTTCCTAATGAATGCAGGGAGGACAGCACAGATCAATGAAACCAGCAGATAATCCACAAGACTGTTTCCCAGAGCTGGGAGATTTCCTTCCCTGCCAACACTTTTCCTGAAAGGTCTTAAGAATGAGGCAAACAGTTTAAGTCTCTCTTGCACTGTTCTTTTAGTGAAAGAGTTCAATGAGGAAGGAGAGGAAGTGGAGCATATGCTTAGTTTCCAAGCTGGAAAAGTGGCCCATGGTTAACCAAGACTAGATGTAAAAGCACAGGTGGCCGCGGGTCCAGGTGAGTCGGTCCTACGATGGCACGGCTGCTAATGCCAGCAGATGCTCCTGTCCTCTCCTTTCAAGACTGACTTCTTCTGGTCTTTCATTCGTTAAAATAAAATTGACAGGGCATCATCCAAGAAGCTCTACACTTTCCCTTACTTGGATTTCAGACTCTAGATTCTGCTGAGATTTGAGCTTCATGGTGAACACATTCTTGTTGTGCTTGCTGCTGAGGGGTGTGGAGGACAGAGAGATGGTGAAATGGCAAAGTGGCTCTTGAGCATGGGTGGGGGAAGCCCCCACATATCTGAGTCAGTGCCACCTGGACACTACCCTTGGAGCATCCTGCTGAGGTGGCCATTCAGGTTTTCTTTCCTTTCCTTTTATTCCACTGTTTCTGAATCACAAATAAAGATCCAAGGCAAACAGCACATTCAGATCCCCAAGCTCTCCACCTCCAATGTGACCAGGGACGTGCACCACTTCAGGCTCATGCAGGACCCACAGCCTTTGGACCTCAGCTAAGGGACCTGCTTCTCTTCAGCACACGGGGCTTGTTTGTGTTGGGGTCTGAGCCCTGAGCGCATGGTCAAGGAGACCCCCAGGTCTTTCTGAACAGAGACAGCTGGCCTGGCGGCCTCCCTCTCACTGCATGCAAGAGTCTGTTAGGGCGGCTGTCTTGCTTCTGTGTGTTGGGAAATTCAATTTAGGTACCTAAAAATGAAAAGTCCCAGGACATCTCCATGGCTTGGGATCCACAGGAGAGCATCATTGATGCTGGGGACAATTTAAACATATAGAAACCCACAGGGCTACCTTAGACAGGGCACAGGGCACAGCACCCGGGGATGCAGAGTGGAAAGTTCACCACTACAGCCTGGAATTGCCTCTGTGATGCCTTCTTCATGACACTTGGCTGCCTTCGTGGCTGGAAGGCTGAGGCCCAGATCCCAACATGGCCACAGGCTAGCAGCTTGCTTCACCTTCCTGAACTGCAATTTCTCCATCTGAGCCTCTCTCCTAAGAGGAGTGTGCAGGGTCACTTAGCCCATATGGGCCAGAAACCCCACACGGTGCCAGGCACACAGTAGGGCCTCGGCAGATGCTGCCCCCTTCTGTCTCCACCACCCTCCTGGGGCTCCCTCCTGAAACAGCCTCCCTCAGCGCCTTGAGTCTTGCACCCTAACAGCCTCTTGCACGCAGTGAGAGGGAGGCCCCCAGGCCAGCTGTCTCTGTTCAGAAAGACCTGGGGGTCTCCTTGACCATGGGCTCAGGGCTCAGACCCCAACACAAACAAGCCCCGTGTGCTGAAGAGAAGCAAGTCCTTTAGCTGAGGTCCAAAGGCTGTGAGTCCTGCATGAGCCTGAAGTGGTGCAGGTGCCTGGTCACACTGGAGGTGTAGAGCTTGGGGATCTGAATGTGCTGTTTGCCTCGGACATGAAACATCTCACAGACTGCCTGGAAGAAGGTGGAGCAGACTGGGGTTAATGGTCAGCAGCAGCAGCATCCCCACCACTGGGGCTATCCCTTTTTAGGCCCTTACCATGGGCCAAACACTGAGCCGTGTGCTTCGTGTAACTTCTAAGCACGCTTACCTGATAGAGTGCCAGCAAAGACTCAAAGAGGTGCCTGGGCTTGGCACATAGTAGCTATTGCTACTATTATGAATGTTGTTTTGTCTTTGTTTTTGTTTTGAGACAGGGCCTCACTCTGTTGCCCAGGTTGGAGTACAGCAGTGCCATCATAGCTCACTGAAGCCTCAACCTCCCTGGGTTTGAGCAATCCTCCCACCTCAGCCTCCCAAGTAGCTGAGACTACAGGTGTGCGCCACCAAGCCCAGCCAATTGTTTGTATTTTCAGTAGAGACTGGTTTTGCCAAGTCGCCCAGGCTGGTTTCGAACTCTGGGGTTCAAGCAATCTGCCCACCTCAGCCTCCCAAAGTGCTGGCATTACAGGCGTGTGCCACTGCGCCCAGCCATTATGAATGTCAATATTGACATGATCTTGTATCCTTATGCCCACACTGGGAGAGGTCTGATTGTCCCCATGTTCCTGGTGTGGAACCACATGGAAGAGGCCTATGTTATCCCAACAGTGCAGAAGCACAGCCTGAGTCTCTTCTTTGGCTGAGCCAAGGGCGTGCTGGAGAGGCCTGACAGAAGAAGGAGCGGCCCTTGTGACCAGTGCCCTTTTGGTTCACAAGGAACTTCTCCTCTTGTTGAAGTGACTTGGCTGAGCTTGCTCCTTCTGCTTTGAGAGTCAAATATCAGGATCAAGACTTTAATTATCCCCAATTTACAGATGATGAAACCATATTGGGCAGGAAAGAAAGTCACCCCAGGAGAGCAAGTTGGACCTGAGCACTGGCTGAGGACAAAGGGGAATGATAATTTGGGATGTAACTTGTTAAGGGGTCTCACAAGTGTTCTTGTGATCCAGGTGTCGAGAGGATACAGCAGAAAGGTTGCCAGGGAGATGAGGGTAGGGTACACCACAAGAGTGGGAGAAATTAAAGAGAACACGCAACAAAGCCTTGGGACACTGGGAGGGGGATGGACCACCCAGTTTTGTGCTATGGGAGAAGAGAGCAAGAAAAGGAATCTGTGTTAAATCCCGACAGCCTGCATGAGAAGCAAATGCCCTTCATTTTCTTCATCAGCGGCGAGACTGGCATCCCTGCAGCTTTGGGAAACCATGCTAGTGTAGATGCCAGCTCACGCCAGCGGGCCTGACTGGGAGACCTTGGGCTGGGGTTCTGGTCTGGGGCTCCTAGGCCTGATGGGAGGAGAGTTCAGCCCCAGGTTTCCTGTACTTCAGCTCGTATCCACACAATGGTAATTATTGAAATGAGAGACTCAAAAGAAGATGGAACGTGAACTTTTTTGTTGTCCCATGTGGACACCTGTGTTCGGTTTCCAGTTCTACCTTTGCTGTCTGTGTGTTCTTAAGTAACTCACTTAAACCTTTCTGAGTCTCATTTTCTTCATTTATAAAATAAAAGACGTAACATTTATGTCAGATATTGTCCTGAGGATTAAATGGGAGAATGAACAAGCCTCTTCTGCATTCCCCTGGCATCCAGTGGGTGGAGGCCAGAGAAGCTGCTAAACATCCTGCCAGGTGCAGGACAGCCCCCATCACAAAGAATTGACCGGATCCTGATGTCAGTAAGGCAGAATTGAGGATCCTTGGTGTGGGGGAAAAAGAATAAACTCAGAAGCTTGGCAGATCTCAGTTCAAACCCTGGTTGTATCACCTCTAGCTGAGTGACCTTAGGCAGGTCTGTGAACTCTCTGAGACTCGGCCTCCTCATCGGTAGAATGAGGTAGATAAAAATGCCAAGCTCGGCCGGGCGCGGTGGCTCACGCCTGTAATCCCAGCACTTTGGGAGGCCGAGGCGGGTGGATCATGAGGTCAGGAGATCGAGACCATCCTGGCTAACAAGGTGAAACCCCGTCTCTACTAAAAATACAAAAAATTAGCCGGGCGCGGTGGCGGGCGCCTGTAGTCCCAGCTACTCGGGAGGCTGAGGCAGGAGAATGGCGTGAACCCGGGAAGCGGAGCTTGCAGTGAGCCGAGATTGCGCCACTGCAGTCCGCAGTCCAGCCTGGGCGACAGAGCGAGACTCTGTCTCAAAAAAAAAAAAAAAAAAAAAAAATGCCAAGCTCACCCAGAAATAACCCCGTGCATATATGGTCAACAGATCTTTGACAAGGCCATCAAGGATATACAATGTAGATTCTTTTATTCCTTTACTTTCTTAATAGACTTGCTTTCACTGTACTGTAAAAAAAAAAAAGGCACAATGTAGAAAGGAAACTCTCTTCAATGAATGGTGTTGGGGAAAGTGCATGAAAAAGAATGAAATTGCACACTTGTTTTACATCATATACAGAAAATTAGCTCAAAGTGGATTAAAGATTTAAATGTAATATCTGAAACCATGTAAATCCTGGAAGTAAACATAGGGAAAAATCTCCTCGACATTGGTCATAATTGGCAATATTTTTTTTGATGTAACACCAAAGCACAGGCAACAAAAGTGAAAATAAATAAATGGGACTACATCAATCTTAAAAGGTTTTACACAGCAAAGGAAACCATGACAAAATGAAAAGGCAACCTACGGGATGGAAGAAAATATTTGCGACCCATATATTTGATAAGGGGTTATTTGAAAAAATATAAGGAATTCACACAATTCAATAGCAAAAATTAATAAATACATGAATAACGCAATTAAAAATAGGCAAAGGACCCCAATGGACTTTTTTCCCCAAGGAAGATATACAAATGGCCAGCCAGCATATGAAAAGGTGCTCAACACCACTAATCATCAGAGAAATGCAAATCAAAACCACAGTGAGATATTGCCTCATAGGATAGGATGGCTCTTATAAAAAAACGACAAGAGATAACAAGTGTTGGCGAAAGCATAGAGGAAAGAGAACCCTTGTACACTGTTGGTTGGAATGTAAAGTGGTATAACCTTTACAGAAAACAGTATGGAGGTTCCTCAAAAAATTAGAAGCAGAACTACCATACGATTCAGCAATCAGGTTAGAACCTTGAAGAGAGATCTGCGCCCCATGTTTATTACAACACTATTCACAATACCCAAGATATGGAAACAGCCTAAGTGTCCAGCAACAGATGAATGGATAAATAAAATACATATAAACAATGGACTATTAGCCATTCAAAAGAAGAAACTCCTGTCCTGGATAAACCTGGAGGACATTACGCTAAGTGAAATAAGCCAGACACCGAAAGACAAGTTTTGTATGATCTCACTTATATGTGGGATCTAAGAGAGTCAAACTCATAAAAACAGATAGTAGAATGGTGGTTGCCAAGGGCTGGAGGTGGGGAAAATGGGAAGCTATTAATCAAAGGGTGTAAACTTTCAGTTATAAGATGAACAAATTCTGGAGATTTAATGTACAGCATAGGTGGTAATGGATGTAATAAATTTGATTGTGATAATTAGTACACAATATATACATATATGAAATCATCACATTGTATGCATTAAATATACACAATCCTTGTCAACTCAATATTTTTAAAAAAATGTTTAAAATGCCTAGGTCATAAGAATTCTGAGAATGAAATACAACAACATACATGAATGGACCTGCTACACAGAAGGTGCTAAATAGGTTTGTTTTGTTTTATTTTATTTCAACTCTGGCAGATGTAGACCTATTGGGAAAGAATATAGAATGCACTTGTGCACAAGGATTATCTATACGATGGTTAAATATCCTGCATACATGCCATGTCATTTCTACTCCTCAGTCAATGGATAATAAAAGCAGAACCAGCCTTCTGGTGGTCACAAAACATTTTGACATGAGAAAGGCTGATCATGAGCAATCTGGCAATGTACATCCCAGAGCGTGCATGCCCTTTGACCCACAGCTACCATGATGTCATGTCTAGCAATTAGTCCTAAGGAGATGATCAGAGATGTGTAAAGAGATTTCATTCTAACAGCATCCTCTGTAGTGGTATATGTCAGGGGCTGGTAAGCCATGTCCAGAGGAGCAGGCTGCATCTAGTCCACCACCTGTTTTTGTAAAGTTTATCAGAACACAGTCATGCCCATTCATTTACAAATTGTGTATGGCTTCTTTCCCTGCAACAGCAGAGTTGAGTGTTGCAACAGAAACCTATGGCCTGCAGAGTTTAAAATATCTACCCTTTGGCCTTTTATAAAAAAAGTTTACTGATTCCTGGTGAGTATATTAAAAAGTTAGGAAAACCTAAATCTTCCAGAGTGGAGAATTAGAAAGTAAGACGTGTTGTATATAAGACAGACAGTTTGTGTGTGCGTTTATTTATAAATATATTATTTTGAAATAATGTTGTCGACATATGTTGCAGGTCTTAAAAATTGGTCAATATATAGTGTTAATCAAAAAATGGCAAATTGTAAAATGTAGACAGAATGTGATTGTGTATTTTGTGCATACACCAACAGAAAAGGGTGCTAGGAAACCTGTGGACCAACATACTAAGTGTGGCTCTTTTGATGGTGGTATCATGGATTTTTAAAAATCTTCTTGGTTTTCTGTAGATTCTGACTTTCCTGTAATGAGTATGAATAAGTATGTATTTCTTGAGAAATGTGAAAATAACTTTATCTTCCCAGATTTCTCATAATTGAAAATGTTGGAATAAATGGTCCTGGGACAGATCTTTCCATTGAGAAGGGCGGAAGGGAAACCCTGGGGATTCAGCTGGGTTTCTGTTGCATTTCTGGTAACACACAGTTGTGAAAAGCCAGTGTTGGCCATTCCCCAGGACAGTCTGGGGTAGAGGAGGTCAGGATTTAACTACGTGAGGGTCCGGGGAACAGATGTGGCCACAGTCCTTCCTGACTCACTGTTTTCCCTTCCACAGTCCCCGTCTTCTCTTCACTGATGCACATAGATGCCTGACCAGAGGAGAGATTTAGTTTTCGTCCAAGGATTATCTGTTATGTTGCAGTTCTGAAATTCCCATAACGTTTAGGCTAGAACACAAGTGATTTCATTATCTCCAATGTGTATGGCTTGATAGAAATAGATTCCATTATGTAGCACCTTAAATCCAGATAAAACATAAGGAATTTCTATTCCATGTTTGTATGATCAATGTTAATAATCTAAGAAAATCTAAAAAGAAGCTACTTCCTCTATTACAGTATGAAATAAATATGCTGAATGATTTGTTTTGGGGGGTGGAATGGAAAGGTATAAGACTGAGGAGGGTGCCTGTGGGAACAGTGATAGGAATCCTTTCTTAAGGGTTGGGTTTTACATACGTCTTTTAAAATAGATGATATCATTAATAAATTATCTGTGGGCATCATGAAAAAAGTGTATAACGTACAACTTTATGAGCTTGACAGTTGGTGAAAACTTTTCTGTTTAAAATTTTATTTGGCCCTCCCCAAAAGAAATGTTTATTTATGAGTATTAGGATAGTTCCAGCAGTAATGCCTCAAAAGAACCAGGAGGTATAGTGTTGTCTAAAATGTGGACTCAGGAGCCAGACTGCCTGGCTGTGCAACTAGCCTTGTCACTTCCTAGATATGTGGCAAGTTAATTAACTTCTCAGTGTTCTTATCTGTAGAATGGGGATAATCCTAATATACATCTCAGGGTTATATTACAAATTTAAAAAGTTAATTTTGTAAAGGACTTAGAATGATATCTGGCAAATAAAAGTGTTCATAAAAGTAAACCCTATAAAAGTGTTTACTCATTAAATACAATAATCTGAAACCATTAGTAATTTAAACATTTGTGGCTGACTTGGTAATATTTATGAAAATAAATACTGTATTTATAATCTTTGACCTTATTTGACTCCTAGGAATTTATTGTCCAGCAAACATTTTCACAGGCAGACAAAAATATTACTATAAAATCAGGTTTATTACACCAATCTGTGCAAAAGGAAAAAATAGACAATTAAAATGGCCATCAAAAGGAGTATTGATTAAGTGAATGATAGTAAATCCATTCAATAGTAATCATATTATCCAAAAAGAATGAGGCATAGTCATGTGATGTGGGAAGATCCACGGCTAATGTTAAACGGTAAATGATACAAACTGTTATGCCCAATAAAATACTTTCTGTGAGAGAATGTATGTTAATTTATGCAAGTGGCGCCAATGTGGAGGGTTTATGCTAATTTCATTATACCTCACAGACAGACCTGGGCTCTCCCACTCATTTTCTATGTGGCCTGGGGTAAGTCATTTAACTGCTGGAAGCCTCAGCTTCTTCATCTGTCAGGCAGTGATACCCTGACTACTCTGCAGGGTAACTCTGAGATTTCAACGTGATCATCTCAGAATATGCCTGGCAAACAGTAGGAGCTCAGAACTTGATGTTTTTTTCCTACAGCAACTGCTGTAGGGGATAGCAGCTAATGCAAGAGGTTGGTAAATCCTTATATATATTAAATATTGTAGAAACATAACTACATGCTACTATTTTTTCAAACCCTCCCCTCACCCTTTTTTTTCCCCTGAGACAGAGTCTCACTCTGTTGCCCAGGCTGGAGTGCAGTGGCGCCATCTCGGCTTGGCTCACTGCAACCTCTGACTCCCGGGTTCAAGCGATTCTTGTGCCTCAGTCTCCCAAGTAGCTGGGATTACAGGCATGTGCCACCATGCCCACCTAATTTTTTTGGTATTTTTAATAGAGATGGGGTTTCTCCATGTTGGCCAGGCAGGTCTCCAGCTCCTGGCCTCAAGTGATCTGCCTGTCTCGGCCCCCCAAAATGCCGGGTCAAACCTCTTATATGCAGTAAAACAGCCTCACTGGGTCAATGGATATCATGTGGCTGCCTAACATTTTTACTTTATAAAAGGTCTTCCTGAGGCCATTTGAAAGTATGGATCAAAACACTTTATGAACAGGGCCACAGGTTTGCATGAGGCTTGTCAGTGGACCTCCAGGATGAAGACCAAAGTGACTGTGCAATTTCTAGTGGAATAATTTACACTTAAGATCTTATTATCAAAAGACTGCTGTGAGGTAGGAATTCTTAACCCCCATTTGCAGAAACAGACTTTGCCTGACACCACAGAGCTAGGAAAAAGTGGGCATAAGATCCTCATCAAGTCTGACTTCCAAAAGAAGATTCAAAAAGAAACCTCCTTGCTACCCGCCAAATCTCTGTAGAGCCAGCCATGTTCACACATGAAACAGGACAATGACAATAGCACCAGGAATAGCTACTCCTGGTCAGATGCCCTCATGAGGTCAACTCCGCGGGATGGGGACACCGGGCCCTGCTTAGGGGAAAGGAAGGGGGTTTGTAGAGGAAGCCCAGCCAGCCAAGCAACCAGAGATGGGAAAAACCTATTGGGAAGAACTTGCTTGCTCTAGCTGGGCTTTGCAAAGAACAGGAAAAGATGAGTCTGCACAGACAGAAATGGTCTAGAATGGCTGAATGTTTCATGTAGAAATTTTATTTTATGATTAATACACTCGTGCCATTTCTTGGAACCACTTGCTTGTTTAATTCTAGTCTATCAAGTGATAATTTTGTTGATATTTAGAGGCTCCTCAGTTAATTTCTGTGGGATTTTTGGTTATATTTAATAAGGAAAATAATATGAAATGTCTAAGAAAAAAAGAAACAAAGTCAACTATTCCTGAGAATGTTTAAATTTATTGAAGTACACTTGTTAATTGTTAGTATAGAACCTACATTTCATGATAGAAAACCTTGGACTTGCCAGTTGTAGCTGCTGGAATGAGGTGTTTGTCCAGTACATCCAGAACGTCGCCACAGATTAACTTTAGCTCAGTCTCAACCTGAAAAAATAAAAATAAATTTAAAAAATCAGATCGTTGAAGTCTAGAAATTCTGTAAATTATTACACATTCTATCTACCTCTGGTTTTGAGGAAGAGAGCTTAGTGTTACAGAGAATTCATTTCCCTCTCCAAACTCCCTTCCTCCCTTTTGACACAAAAGCAGAGAAAAGCTGCCTGTCGGTTATCAAAAGTATCTTTTCCTTCCTGCCTGCAATTAAGTGCTACACACACACCACCCCCCACCCCAATACCCCCTCACAGTCCAACTGCAGAATCACCAATGACTGAAACTAAACACTGATGCTACTTGGTAAACGCTGGTCAATTACATGAATCTTTCACAAAGTAGCAACTATTGTGTCCATTTACTGGGGAAAACAGAAGCTAAGACATTTGCTCAAAGGTCATCCCCTTAAAAGAACGTAATAAGCAGAGCTAGGATTTGAAACCAGGCAGGGTGCAAGGGACAGAACAAAATTCAAACCCAGGCAGTTTGCCTTCAGTACTTACATTCCTAACAAGGTTCAACAGGCAATGCCTTTAGTGGAAGAGACCAAAAACTAGTTAAGATACCAAAAATCTGTGGACCAAAGTAACAATTGCCACTCATTTATATTCATTTATAATGCTAAAAATGTGCACCACCTCTAAAGGCACATACCCAGTTTACGTCTTTTTTTTTTTTTTTTTTTTTTTTTTTTTGAGAGGGAGTCTGGCTTTGTCACGCAGGCTGGAGTGCAGTGGCGTAATCTCAGCTCACTGCAACCTCCACCTCCCGGGTTCATGTCATTCTCCTGCCTCAGCCTCCGGAGGAGCTGGGACCACAGGCGCCTGCCACCACGCCCAGCTAATTTTTTGTATTTTTAGTAGAGACAGGGTTTCACCGTGTTAGCCAGGATGGTCTCGATCTCCTGACCTCGTGATCCGCCTGCCTCGGCCTCCCAAAGTGCTGGGATTACAGGCATGAGTCACCACGCCAGGCCTATTTTTTGTTTTTTTAGACAGAGTCTTCCCCTGTCACTCAGGCTGAAGTGCAGTGGCCCTATCTCAGCTCACTGCAGCCTCTGCCTTCCAGGTTCAAGCAGTTCTCATGCCTCAGGCCCCTGAGTAGCTGGGATTACAGGGGTGCGCCACTGTCTCGGGTTAATTTTTGTATTTTTAGTAGAGATGGGGTTTCACCATGTTGGCTAGGCTGGTCTTGAATTCCTGGCCTCAAGAGGTCCACCTACCTCGGCCTCCCAAACTGCTGGATTATAGATGTGGGCCACGCGTGGCCCAACTCTACTATTTCAATGCAGCTCCTGTACCCTAGGTCATCACTGACTTCCCAGTTGCTGAATCCAGTTGTCTTTACTGAGTTGGTCCTTAATTTAACTTTCTTTTGCATTGAAGCTACTGACTGACCACAGCATTTTGAAACTCTGTTCCTCTTATTACTGTGATTCTACTTTCCTTATTTTTCATCTTATCTCTTAAGTCTGTGGCTTCTCAGACTTCCTCACAATTGATTGCTTATTTTAAAAATTCAAAAATTTAAACCTCCCGAGCAGTTCAAAAACAATATACCTTTGAAATTTTTTAAACTTTTCAGAGTTGCAAGAATAGTTCAGTGATCACCAGGTGTTACCATTTTGCCATATTTTCTTTGTCTCTGTGTCCCTCCCTTTCTACCTGCCCCCACATATATGTGTATCTATGAATATTGACATTTTTTAACATTAATAAATTTTCTTTCTGTACAATTTGAGAGTTAACTGCAGATTTCATAGCACTTCAACCCTAATTTCTTCTATACATCTCCTAAGAATAAGGGCATTTTTTTTTTTTTTTTTTGAGAAGGAGTCTCACTCTGTCACCCAGGCTGGGGTGCAGTGGTGCAATCTTGGCTGACTGCAACCTCCACCTCCTGGGTTCAAGCGATTCTCCTGCCTCAGCCCCCCAAGTAGCTGGGATTACAGGTGCCTGCTACCATGCCTGCCTAAGTTTTGTAATTATAGTAGAGATGGGGTTTTGCCATGTTGGCCAGTCTGGTCTCAAACTCCTTACCTAAGGTGATCCGCCCTCCTTGGCCTCCCAAAGTGTTGGGATTACAGACGTGAGACTCCATTCTCAGCCTCTTTTTCCTTTTGTAATTAACAAGTGATCTATGGCATGATAGAAACAGTGTGAATATTCTGTCCCATAATAATCTTTACTTAATGGTTTCATCTGGATTGCTTCTTGCCCAAATCAAATATTACTATAGTGATTAGAAATTGGAGACTTTTCTATTTTTTCTGTATTTTTTCTATATTGTCATTCTTCTGTAAAGATTTTTTTAAACTCTTTTTTTTTTTTTTTTTTTTTGAGACGAAGTCTCGCTTTGTCACCAGGCCGGAGTGCAGTGGTATGGTCTCAGCTCACTGCAACTTCTGCCTCCCAGGTTCAGGCGATCCTCCTGTCTCAGCCTCCAGAGTAGCTGGGACTACAGTCATTTGCCACTGTGTCCAGCTAATTTTTTGTATTTTTAGTAGAGATGGGGTCTCACCATGTTGGCCAGGATGGTCTTGATCTCTTGACCCCGTGATCCAGCCACCTCAGCCTCCCAAAGTGCTGGGATTACAGGCGTGAGCCACCGTGGCTGGCCCTATACTCCCTTTTTAAATTTTTTTTTTTTTTTTTTTGAGATGGAGGTTCACTCTGTTGCCCAGGCTGGAGTGCAATGATGTGGTCTTGGCTCACTGCAACCTCCGCCTCCCAGGTTCGAGCAATTCTTCTGCCTCAACCTCCTGAGTAGCTGGGATTACAGGTACATGCCACCACACTCGGCTGATTTTTGTATTTTTAGTAGGGATGGGGTTTCACTATGTTGGCCAGGCTGGTCTTCAACTCCTGACCTCATGATCTGCCCGCCTCAGCCTCCTAAAATGCTGGGATTGCAGGTGTGAGCCACTGCACCTGGCCCTTTTTTTTTTTTTTTTTTTTTTGAGACAGGGACTTCCTCTGTTGCCCAGACTTGAGTGCAGTGGTATGATCATGGCTCACCACAGCTTGGACACCAGGCTGCCTCAGCTCACTGCAACCTCTGCTTCCCGGGTTCCAGTGATTCTCGTGCCTCAGCCTCTGGAGTAACTGGGAGTACAGGTGCTCACCACCATACCTGGCTAATTCTTGTATTTTTAGTAAAGATGAGGTTTCACCATGTTGGCCAGGCTGGTCTCAAACTCCTGGCCGACATGGTGATCCACCTGCCTTGGCTTCCCAAAGTGCTTCATATTGTTAGCCCTAATTCTAGTCAAATTCCATAGCGTTCTTCCTCTTTATTTTTATTTTTTTATTTTTGAGACAGAGTCTTGATCTGTCCCCCAGGCTGGAGTGCAGTGGTGTGATCTCGGATCACTGCAGCCTCCACCTCCTGGGTTCAAGCAAATCTCTGCCTCTGCCTCCTGAGTAGCTGGGATTACAGACACCTGCCACCATGCCCAGCAAATTTTTGTATTTTTAGTAGACACAGGATTTCATCATCTTGGCCGGGCTGGTCTTGAACTCCTGACCTTGTGATCCACCCACCTCGGCCTCCCAAAGTGTTGGGATTACAGGCGTGAGCCACCGCGCCCGGCCTGTATTAGATATTTTTAAGTCAGTTTCCTAAGACAATTAAATATTTCAGGTAGTTGGGACTTTTCTTTTTTTGGTTTGTTTTATTTTGCTTAATTTAACCATTTTAAAAATGATTCTCTGGGAATTTTTTCTTCAAAATATAGAATATGTGTGCATTAGTTTGCTAGGCTTGCTGCAACGAAGTACCACAAACTGGGTGGCTTAGACAACAGAAATTTATTATCTCATAGATCTGGAGACTAGAAGTTCTAGATCACGTTGTTAGAGTTGGTTTCTTCGACAACTGTGAGAAACCTTATGTTCCATGCCTCTCCCCTGGCTTCTGGTGGTTTGCTGGTCATCTTTGGCATACTTTGGCTTGTAGGTGCATCACCTGGATCTCTGCCTTCATGTTCACATGGTGTTCTACCTGTGTGCATATCTGTGGACAAATTTCCCCTTTTTATAAGGATACCAGGCATATTGGATTAGGGTTCCTCTCTACTCCAGTAGGACCTCATCTTCACTAATTACATCTGCAATAACCCTTTCCAAATAAGGTCACATTCTGAGGAACTAGAGGTTAGAGTTTCAACATACGAAATTTTCTGGGGGGTGGGTAAGGGACACGATTCAATCCATAACAATATGTTTATGAGTAAATGAGTTAGTGTGTTATTGTCTTTCTGCCACCTCAGAATCTGAGAAAACAGTTTCTTTTTCCATTCCTTGGGCTGTAGGTGGAGAAGGAGGAGGATGATGATGGTGATTATTTTTTGGTCATGCCCCATAATGTGACCCACTTTAAAAAACAACAAACAATTGTAAGGAGGAGAACTGTCATACACCTACTGCCCAGCTTAAAAATAATTAGATCATCTTCTTTAAACATAACTGTCATCCCATCATCACACCTAAGAAGTTGACAGTTTCCCCAGTTTTTTTTTTCTCTTTTTTTTTTTTTGAGATAGGGTCTTTCTCTGTTGCCCAGGCTGGAGTGCAGCGGCATGATAGTGGCTCATGGCAGCCTCATCTTCCCAGGCTCAAGGGATCCTCCCATATAGCTGGGACCACAGGGGTGCATCACCACAACCAATTTTTTGAATTTTTCTAGAGATGAGGTCTCCCTGTGTTGCCCCACCTAATTTTTTTTTTGTTGTTGTTCCATTCTTTTTTTTTTTTCTCCTGTTTGTAAGGATTTAATCAAGGTCTGTATGTAGTTTGGTTACTATGTCTCTTAGGTCTCTTTTCGTTTATAGATTCCCCTCGTGATTTACTGAAGAAACGGGGTCATTTGTCCTGTAGAATTCTCAAATTTTGATTTTGCTGATATTATCCCCAGAGTGTCATTGACCATGTTCATCTGTTCCCCAAATTTCCAAAAACTGGTAGTTAAATTTAGGTGGTTGATCTGATTCAGATTACACTCTCAGTATCGCATATGCTTTGATCAGGAGGCATAATGTGTACTTGTGTGTGCGTATGTGTGTTTTTTTAGTGATGTTAGTGGTCACTGCCTGTGTCAGCATTTCACTACCAGGGTAATTTGGCAATGTCTGGAGACACACTGATTGTCACAGCTTGGGAGAGGGAATGCTATAGGTACCTTCAGGGGTAAGAGTCAGCACAGCACAGCACAGCCCCCTAACGCAAAGTATTAATAGGCCTAAAATGTCAGTAGCCCTGAGGTTGAGAAACTCTGGCCTACTTTTGTAGTTTCATCAGGTGTTTGTGAAATGGTTTTATTCTAACTGTTATTTCTTCTTTCTTTGTTAGCTGGAATTCTTTCATAAAGAGAAACTCTTTGATCAGTTAGTTACCCAAGGTACAGTTCATACAGAAAAGGCAGGATGTATGTTTGATTCTTTCCTAGTTTTCAAAATAATGAATTAGTTCCCTAGCATCTTCCAAAATTGACCAATGAACTTTGTGTGTGTTTTTTTCTTTTTTAGTATATTATGAACTTACACGTTTTAACATATTTGTGTTTCCTTTCATCGCAGTTATTTTTATTTTATTTTTATTTATTCATTTATTGTTTTGAGGCAGGGTCTTAACTCTGTCACCCAAGCTGTAGTGCAGTGGTATGATCGCTGCCCACTGCAGGCTTGACGTCCCGACCTCCAGCAATCCTCCCACCTCACCCTCTTGAGTAGCTGGGACCACAGGTACACCATCATGCCCAGCTAATTTTTGTGTTTCTGGTAGAGACGGGGTTTTGCCGTGTTCACCAGGCTGGTCTTCAAATCCTGAGCTCAAAAGCAATCCACCTGCCTCTGCCTCCCAAAGTGTTGGGATGATAGGCGTGAGCCACCGCACCTAGCAGTTATTTTTATTGGTGCTCGTTTTTTCCCTTCGTTGAATGCTGGGTGCAGTGAATGCTGGGTGCATCTTCATGTTGGGTTCTGAGTCCTTTTGACATGAGCACATTGTCTGGTGTTGTACGAGAGAGCAAAATAAGGAAACTGGTGTTCTATGCTTATCTTGTACATTTTCCCCACACTTGGAATCAGCCATTCCTCCAGGGAGTGCAGGTTCACAGTCTGGGCTCTAAGAGAATTATAAGGTCAATGTGGTCATCATCTTTTAGTATTAAGTCAGATATTCTAAATTATTATTTACTTCTTACATTTGGCCCAAGAGTTTAACCAGATATTTTGGGAAAGAGAGAAGGAATTAAATAAATAAATCTCATGGTTAGAACTGAAGTGATAACTATACTTTCACAAGGAAATATAACTTATAACCCATGCGGAATAGAAAATTATTTTTGCTCCTTTAGATTTCTGAAGGAATGAAATGAGCTGTGGGAAGAAACTTTAACTGGAGCATCTTACCAGTATTATTCATGTTTTAACTCTGCTTCAGTAGTTTTTCAGGTTTATTACAAACCTGCAGTAGCCAACTGAATTAATTATCT
Organism: Homo sapiens; assembly: GCF_000001405.40. NCBI lineage: Eukaryota > Metazoa > Chordata > Mammalia > Primates > Hominidae > Homo > Homo sapiens. Next base: position 2,198,340 of record NT_187614.1, on the reverse strand, counting down.
CTAAACAGGGATTTAGCCAGTGGACTAGGCACACTGAAGCTTTGTGAGAGGGGAAATTGATATTCACATTTTTTCCAGCTTGTTTTGAGCTCGATATATTCTTTTTTTTTTTTTTTTTTCATTGAGACAGACTCTCGCACCGTCACCTGGGCTGGTGTGCAGTGGCACGATCTCTGCTTGCGGCAACCTCTGCCTCCCAGGTTCAAGCAATTCTCCTGCCTCAGCCTCCCGAGTAGCTAGGATTACAGGCGCCCGCCACCACGCCCGGCTGATGTTTTGTATTTTTAGTAGAGACGGGGTTTCGCTTTATTGGCCAGGCTGGTCTTGAACTCCTGACCTCATGATCTGCCTGCCTCAGCCTCCCAAAGTGCTGGATTACAGGCCTGAGCCACCATGCCCAGCCAATATATTCACATTTTTAATAGGAATAACAGTATACTAAAATCTTTTTTAGTGCATGTTTAAGATTTGAAGATGTAATTTGACTCAGTACTTTCCACTTGCATTTTTTTCTTCCACTTGCATTTCTCCACTATTAGAATAGTGCCTGCTAAGACTATTCTAATACTTTATTATAGTTAACCCCTGCGAAAAGAGCTCCCAGAGCTTACAGTGCATTTGATTGATGTCATATGGACTATTCATTATTTTCTAAATTATTTTGTTTGTATAGAGCAATCTGAAGAGGATGTAAGTCAGTTTGATTCCAAGTTTACACGTCAGACACCTGTCGACAGCCCAGATGACACAACTCTCAGTGAAAGTGCCAATCAGGTGTTTTTGGTAAGTGAAAGAATTTCCATGTAGTCATGGGAAATTTTAAGTATGAGGATGGGCTCTTCGATAAGAAAATTCAGTTTGCTTGCTTTGCAGCTCATGTAGGTAACCTGGCCCACTTTTTTTTTTAAATAAGCCATGCTCTTATAACTTATTGATACCTACAAAATTGATTTTCATAATCCAACATTTTATTTTAGCAATTAGAGTGGGAATGTACAATTCTTTGGAGAGTATGATTCCCTTTTTTGGTTGGGCCACAGACTTAAAATGATGTTTGGCTTAGCATCTCAACCAAAAATTAAGTCATAGCAGTGGGAGAGAAAAACCTCACTAACTACATGTATTTTATTTCTGAAACAGCTATAGATTTTTGGTACCTTTTTTTTTTTTTTTTTTTTTTGAGACAGGGTCTCACCTTGTAGCCCAGGCTGGGTGTAGGGTGTAGTGGTGTGATCACAGTTCACTACAGCCTTGACCTCCCAGGCTCAAGTGATCCACCCATTTCAGCCTCGTGAGTACCTGGACTACAGGTGTGTGCCCCATCCAGCTAATTTTTTATTTTTTTGTAGAGACAGAGTCTCACTATTTTACTCCTGGACTCAAGCTATCTTCCCACCTCGGCTTCCCAAAGTGCCAAAATTATAGGCATGAGCCATCATTCCTGGCCCTATTTTTGGTACTCTTAACATAAGTAGGGGATTTTTTTTTTTTTTTTTTTGAGACCGAGTCTCACTCTGTCGTCAGGCTGGGGTGCAGTGGCGCGATCTCAGCTCACTGCAACCTCTGCCTCCTGGGTTCAAGTGATTCTCCTGCCTCAGCCTCCTGAGTAGCTGGGACTACAGGCGCCTGCCACCACGCCCAGTTAATTTTTGTATTTTTAGTAGAGACAGGGCTTCACCATGTTGGCCAGGATGGTCTTGATTTCTTGACCTCATGATCCACCCGCCTTGGCCTCCCAAAGTGCTGGGATTACAGGCATGAGCCACTGCGCCCGGCCAAGTAGGGGATTTTTTCAACCTAATTGTGAATATTTGACATCAAATTATATTGGTTCATATGTAATAGTGAATTCTCGTTGTAGAAATATCCGTATAGATTTATAGCTTGTCTCCTCAGAAAAGTAAAGGTTTTAGATGTTGGCCAACAGAAATGATGGATTTATATCAGATGACCATCAATGCATACATACTATTTTGCTTAAATACCATATATGCTTGTTGATTTTATTACTGTACTTATATGTCACATGAACATCTTTCTCATTTTGTATCCTTTTTTTTCTTTTGTCGTTCCTGTATGGAATACCTCTAGGGAGAATAGAATATGGGGAAAACAATTGTTTGGGAGTGTTTTTTTCCCTCTTTTTGAGTTCACTGGATTTGTCACTAACTTAATTCTATGCTTTTCTTCCCCACACTGCTCACTATATAACACAAGTAGTGTTGTATCTTATGGGATGGGAAATAAGCTCTAAAGTTAGCATGGAGCTGGGACATGGTGGCTCAGGCCTATAACCTTGAGGTCAGGAGTTCGAGACCAGCCTGGCCCACATGGTGAAACCCCATCTCTACCAAAAATACAAAAATTAGCCGGGTGTGGTGGCATGTACCTGTGGTACCAACTACTTGGGAGGCTGAGGTAGGAGAATGACTTGAACCCGAGAGGCAGAGGTTGCAGGAGCCAAGATCGTGCCACTGCACTCCAGCCTGGGCAATAGAGTGAGTGAGACTCTGTATAAAAAAAAAATAATTAAAAAAATAAAGTTAGCATGGAATGCAAAAGTTGTGTATAGTACAGTATGGTTTCAAGTAAACAACACTGAATAGTAATAATCCTATAAATTAGTAATATAGAGCACGTAGGCAAAATATAATCTTACAGTATTAATTACATAAGAGATAAAAGATGAGTGAGTGCATGCATGTTTTTAAATTCAAGTTTGATGTGTGCATGATCAAAGTTACGGCATCTCTGTTAGTAAATCTTAGGTTCACTCAGGGAAGTGGGCATGAATCACTTTAATTTTGGCTTTTTTTTTCTCTTTCATGTACTACTGATGTGGAATTTATACCTTTGATTTAACATAGAGACCTTTTCATCAATTGAACATTGCAGAATTTCAACTTATGTGACAGTTTCCCCCCACAAAATAGAAGCATTTTATTTAGCTACCAAGAAATCCTAAGTTGTGGTGGTAAATGTGAGCTATTGACGCTTTCATTGCCAGTTAAAAGTATTGTTGAGCTTTTCATAATTACTTAAATTGGCTATAACTGATGAACAGAGCAACTCATTTGTTAGGTTGTAGCCAGAATTCTGTACATAAAGTGGGTCTCTTGAAACATTAGTAAAAACAAAAATAGGCCAGGTGCAGTGGCTCATGCCTGTAATCCCAGCACTTTGGGAGGCTGAAGTGGGTGGATCACAAGGTCAGGAGTTCTAGAACAGCCTGGCCAATATGGTGAAACCCCATCTCTACTAAAAATACAAATATTAGCCAAGTGCGGTGGCACACGCCTGTAATTCCATCTACTCGGGAGGCTGAGGCAGGAGAATCACTTGAAACCAGGGGGTGGCAGTTGCAGTGAGCCAAGATCGTGCCAGTGCATTCCAGCCTGGGCAACAGAGCAAGGCTCTATCTCAAAAAAAAAAAAAATTCCGCATACATAAGAAGAGAATATGCATTAAAAAAATCAGCAGAGCCTCACATTCCAGGATTTTCTACACAAGAAACCATTCCTAAAATATGTGCTTGGAATTACTAGGGTTTCTCTTGCAAACATTTTAATAACACCTCATTTGTTTTTTTTATTATAATATTTATTTAAGCAAAATTTCTTTTTTTTATTTTATTATTTTATTATTATTACACTTTAAGTTGTAGGGTACATGTGCACAATGTGCAGGTTAGTTACATATGTATACATGTGCCATGCTGGTGTGCTGCACCCATTAACTCGTCATTTAGCATTAGGTATATCTCCTAATGCTATCCCTCCCCCCTCCCCACACCCCGCAACAGTCCCCAGAGTGTGATGTTCCCCTTCCTGTGTCCATGTGTTCTCATTGTTCAATTCCCACCTATGAGTGAGAACATGCAGTAACACCTCATTCTTTAGGGGTGTGGTTATATGTGTCATGTTATTAGATCTTTACAGCAACTCTCCTGGGTAAAGCGGTTATTACTAGGTCATTTTATAGAAGGAAAAATAACCAGTACTTTTTTTTGCTTTACTTCAGTAGCTATTGCCTCCTTCAATTTGACATTTCAATCCTGGCACATAGTGGGGGCTCAACAAATATTTGCTGGAGGAATGCCATTTAAAATACAGTGATTGGATAGGAGAATATTTGAGGGCATTAACAATTTTTAAAAGCCAAAAAAAAATTACAATTGGACTTATGAGATTTTGATTTTTTTGTGTATTTTCTTTTAAAAAATAAGCTTCTCTAAGCTGGGCTTGGTGGCTCATGCCTGTAAATCCCAGCACTTTGGGAGGCTGAGGCAGGTGGATCACCCTGAGGTCAGGAGTTTGAGACCAGCCTGGGCCAACATGGTGAAAACCCGTCTCTACTAAAAATACAAAAATTAGCTGGCCGTGGTGGCACACACCTGTAATCCCAGCTACTAGGGAGGCTGAGGCAGGAGAATCGCTTGAACCCGGGAGGCAGATGTTGCAGTGAGCCAAGATCACACCACTGTACTCCAGCCTGGGTGACAGAGCAAGACTCTGTCTCAAAAATAAATAAATAAAGTATATAAATAAATAAATAAGCTTCTGTTTTGGCTTCCTCCAATGTAGTCTCTTTGAGTAGGAAGAAATTGTTATGATTCAAACTAGTAAATTCTTTTTTTTTTTTTTTTTTTTTGAGATGGAGTCTTGCTCTTATTGCCCAGGCTGGAGTGCAGTGGCGTGATCTTGGCTCACTGCAGCCGGCTCACTTGAACCGGGTTCAAGTGATTCTCCTGCCTCAGCCTCCCAAGTAGGTGGGATTACAGGTGCCTGCCATCACGCCTGGCTAATTTTTGTAGTTTTAGTACAGATGGGGTTTCACCATCTTGGCCAGGCTGGTCTTGAACTCCTGGTCTTGATCTGCTGACCTATATCCGCCCGCCTCGGCCTCCCAAAGTGCTGGGATTACAGGTGTGAGCCATTGCGCCCGGCCGACAGGTAAATTCTTATATCAAAAAACTGAGTTAGACTTGGTCCCTGGAGCTGTTTTCCATCCCTAAAAAGATGATGTCAAGCTATCATGTATAATAAATAACAACTCAATTGACCACATATTTTCCTTTAAGCCTAATGATGAAATAATATTATAATGAAATACTTAGAAGTTTTAAGGGAAAAAATCCTTTAAGTCATTAAATTAAAATTGAAACCAAAACAATAACTTCACTGTTTTAGGATAAAATTGGCATATGAAAGGTTTGATAGTGAACGACAGTAAGATTAACCTACTACAGCATTTGCCTTTAGCTTTTACTGAGTAATACTTGGAGCTATATATTTATAGCATTTGCTATAAATGTGCAAATGAAGACATTATTTATTGTATTACTGCTGAGATTAATATTGTCTTTTTCAGATTTCTAAAACATTACAGCAAATGCGCACATGAGGGCGCTCTAATCAGCTAGATGTGGAGAGGGTAGGCATTTGTTGACTGTTAAGTCAAAACTAGTTCTATACTTTTACAGATGGAAAAATCAAGGTCCACCAAAGAGGTTATGATTCTACACGAGTTATTCTCTAGAGGAAACAAATTGGGTATTAGAATTTTGAAAAGATTAAACAGAAATCCCTGTCAGTGAATTTATGCTGGAGAATTTTGACTTTTATCCTAGCAACTCCTTATTGAAAATCTTTACCCATGCCATGATATAATTTATCTTCAATCTTAAATGGGTTTGGTAATAGTGTTTATAAGATGTAGGAGAGTTAATTAGAATATTTATTTTTATGAACTTTTGCTTTATAAAATTAACAAATGTTAATTGTGCTTCATTTATACTTTTTTTTTTTTTTTTGAGACGGAGTCTTACTCTGTCACCCAGGCTGGAGTGCAGTGGCGTGATCTCAGCTCACTGCAACCTCTGCCTCCCAGGTTCAAGCGATTCTCCTGCCTCAGCCTCCCAAGTAGCTGGGACCACAGGCACGTGCCACCACGCCTGGCTAATTTTGGTACTTTTAGTAGAGACGGGGTTTCACCATGTTGGCCAGGGTGGTCTCGAACTCCTGACCTCAAGTGATCTGCCCGCCTTGGCCTCCCAAAGTGCTAGGATTACAGGTGTGAGCCACCAACACCTGGCCCATTTATACTTAAGGCTGATTCTCAACTGATTTGGGTAAGATCCTTAGTCTTTCCCCATCTCTGACGTAATTCCTAGTTTGTCCTTTGGCTTTCCTGTGTATATAAAGCTACCAGGCTGCTTGCAGATTTTTCGGGGAATAAGTCCCATAAACACTCACAAAGATTTTATTAGGGAGAAGCTATGATGCGAATATAGAATGTAGATTTTTTAAATTTCAAAATCAGTATGGGCCGGGCGCGGTGGCTCACGCCTGTAATCCCAGCACCTTGGGAGGTCGAGGCGGGCGGATCACGAGGTCAGCAGAGCGAGACCATCCTGGTTAACACGGTGAAACCCCGTCTCTACTAAAAATACAAAAAATTAGTGGGCGCAGTGGCAGGCGCCTGTAGTCCCAGCTACTCGGGAGGCTGAGGCAGGAGAATGGCGTGAACGCGGGAGGCGGAGCTTGCAGTGAGCGGAGATCGCGCCACTGCACTCCAGCCTGGGCGACAGAGCGAAGACTCCATCTCAAAAAAAAAAAATCAGTATGTAGAGCTGGGCATGGTGGTGTGTGCCTATTAGCCCAGCCACTGGGGAGGCTGAGGCAGGAGAAGCCCTTGAGCCCAAGAGTTCAAGACTAGCCTGGGCAACACAGCGAGACCCTCATCTCGAAAAATAAATAAATAAATAAATAAAGTATTGCAATATTTATTATATAGGCAAATTTTTTTCAACTTAAGTGCTACCCTCATCAGGGGAAGATTTGTTTGATTAGATCCCCACACAGGCTGGCCGCTTCCTCATTTCTACTTTTTCTTTTCTTTTTGAGATGGAGTTTTGCTCTTGTTGCCCAGGCTGGAGTGCAATGGCGCAATCTTGGCTCACTGCAACCTCCGCCTCCCGGGTTCAAGCGATTCTCCTGCCTCAGCCTCCCGAGTAGCTGGGATTACAGGCACCTGCCACCACACCCGGCTAATGTTTGTATTTTTAGTAGAGATGGGGTTTCACCATGTTGGCCAGATTGGTCTCAAACTCTTCAGTTCAAGCGATCTACCTGCCTCGGCCTCACAAAGTGCTGGAATTACAGGTGTGAGCCACTGCGCCCGGCCTCATTTCTACGTTTTCAAAGAAGTCAATTTTCTTTAAAAAATAAACTCTTTTGGCCACGCGGCGGCTCATTCCTGTAACCCTAGCACTTTGAGACTCAGAGGCAGACGGATCGCTTGAACTCAGGAGTTCAAGACCAGCCTGGCCAACACGGTGAAACCCTGTCTCTACAAAAAATTAGCTGGATGCAGCGGCACGTGCCTGTAGTCCCAGCTACTCAGGAGGCTGAGGCAAGAGAGTCACTTGAGTCCAGGAGGCAGAAGTTGCAGTGAACTGAGATCACGCCATTGCACTCCAGCCTGGCTGATGGGAGTGAAACCTTGTCTCAAATAAATAAATAAATAAACTCTTATTTTTTTAAAAAAAAAAAAGCAAATCATGAAACAAAACAAAACCCAGGGCTCTGAATGAAAAAGATCTCTCCTTTAGGGGGCTAGGTGATGGAAAGGAAAATAGGTCATGAATTTCATGTTCTCATTTGTCTTCGTTAATGACTTGTATGTATATATATTTCCATTGAAGACATAGATATGCATTTGATCACCTACACTTGTTTGTATTTTGAGTCATAAATTAAGGCATTTCCTGTCCAGAAAGCACCTGACAATCTTATGATAAAAAACATGGAATTTTAAAATCACAAATGTAAATAACAAGCCAGGCACAGTGGCTCACGCCTGTAATCTTAGCTCTTTGGGAGACCAAGGTGGGTAGATTGTTTGAGCTCAAGAGTTTGAGACCAGCCTGGGTAACATGGAGAAACCCTGTCTTTACAAAAAATAAAAAATTAGTGGGGCACGGTGGCATGTGCCTGTAGTCCCAGATACTCAGGAGGCTAAGGTGGGAGGAGTGCTTGAGCTCAGGAGGTCGAGGCTGCTGTGAGCTGTGGTGGCAACACTGCACTCCAGCCTGGGTGACAGAGTGAGACCCTATCTCAAAAAAAAAAAGGAGTGCAAATAACAGATGACCTTACAAACATCAAAAGTTATGTCTTTATAATAAGTTTTGTCTACATTTAATGAAATATATTGGACAAGGAAAAAATGTAGCAGTATGCGTATGGCTTTATCTTGGCCCTGCCCACTACTGTGCCCTCATTTCTTTTCCTTCCCACTGAGTCCTTCCACACTACCACACCACAGCAAACCTGACAAGCTTCTGCCTGAAATAGCACCATTGCACTTCTCTTCCCTTTGCCTGAAACATTCTTTTTTTTCTTTTTTCTTTCTTTCTTTTTTTTTTTTTTTTTTATGAGATGGAGCCTCACTCTCTCGCCAGACTGGAGTGCAGTGGCACGATCTCAGCTCACTGCAACCTCCACCTCCCTGGTTCAAGCGATTCTCCTGCCTCAGCCTCCCGAGTAGCTGGGATTACAGGTATGCACCACCATGCCCGGCTAATTTTGTATTTTTAGTAGAGACGGGGTTTCTCCATGTTGGTCAGGCTAGTCTCGAACTCCCGACCTCAGGTGATCCGCCCGCCTCGGCCTCTCAAAGTGCTGGGATTACAGGCGTGAGCCCCTGTGCCTGGCCACCACAATCAATTTTAGAATATTTTCATTTCTCTCAAAAAAAAATACCATACCTATGAGCAGTCACTCCCCATTTTCTCCATCCCTCAGTCCTAGGCAACCACTAATTTACTTTCTTTTAGGATAGGATTTGCCTATTTGGACATTTCATATAAATGGAACCATACAATTTGTGATCTTTTGTGACTGGCTTTTTTCAAGTAACCTAATGTTTTCAAGGTTCATTCATGTTATAGCATGTGTCAGTACTTATTTCCTTTTTTTTTATGGCTCAATAATATTCTGTTGTAGGAATATAACACATTTCATTTATCTGTTTATCACTTTTTTTTTTTTTTTTTTTGAGATGGAGTCTCAGTCTGTCACTCAGGCTGGAGTACGGTGGTGTGATCTTGGCTCACTGCGGCCTCCGCCTCCTGGATTCAAGCCATTCACCTGCCTCAGCCTCCCAAGTAGCTGGGATTACAGGCACGTATACCATGTCCCGCTGATTTTTGTATTTTCAGTAGAGATCGGATTTCACTCTGTTGGCCAGGCTGGTCTCGAACTCCTGACCTCAAGCAATCCTCCCGCCTTGGCCTCCCAAAGTGTTGGGAGCCACCACACCCAGCTGTCTCCACTTTTTGACTATTATGAATAATGCTGCTATGAACATTCATGTGTAAGTTTTTGTGTGGACATATGTTTTCCTTTCCCTTGGGAATATGATGAAGCCTGGCATTGCCAGGTCATATGATAACTCTATGTTTAAGCTTTGGAGGAACTGCCAGACTATTTCCAAAGCAGTTCCAACTTCATTGCAAAGCATTTTACATTCCCTCCAGCAACATATGAGTGTTTCAATTTTTCCACATTTTCTCCAACACTTGTTATTATGTGTCTGTTTATTATAGCCATTCTTGTGAGTGTGAAGTGGTATCTTAACATGGTTTGGATTTGCACTTCCCTGATGGCTAATGATGTTTCTATGGTTTGAATGTTGGAGTCCTCCAAAATTCATGTTATAACCTAAGACCTAATGTGACGATGTTAAGAAGTGAGGCCTTCAAGGTGGTGATTAGGTCATGAGGGCTCTGCCCTCATGAATGAAATTAATGCCCTTATAAAAAGGCTTCACATAACATTTCTTCTTCTTTTTTCCTTTCTTCTCCTGCCATGTGAAGATGCCACTGCGAGAACGGGAACAATGGAACAGGCCCTCACCAAATGCCAAATGTGCTATCACCTTGATTTTGGATTTCCCAGCCTCCGGAACTGTGAGGAATAAATTTTTTTACTTATAAATTACTTAGTCTCAGGTATTTTGTTACAGCAGCACAAACAGACTAAGACAGAAATTGAGTGTATTTTCTTGTGCTTATTGGCCATTTATTTTCTTTCTTTTATTTTTATTTATTTATTTATTTTTAGGTGGGGTTTTGCTCTGTTGCCCAGGCTGGAGTGCAGTGGTGCAATCTTAGCTCATTGCAACCTCTGCCTCCCGGGTTCGAGTGATTCTTGTGCCTCATCTGCCTGAGTACCTGGGACTACAGGCATGCGCCACAACGCCTGGCTGATTTTTATATTTTTAGTAGAGATGGGTTTTCGCCATGTTGGCCAGACTGGTCTTGAACTTCTGGCCTCAAGTGATCCACCTGCCTTGGCCTCCCAAAGTGTTGGGATTATAGGCATAAGCCACCACCTGGCCCTTATTGGCCATTTGTATGTCTTCTTTGGAGAAATATCTGTTCAGATCTTTTGTCCATTTTAAAATTGGGTTATATCCTTTTTATTATCAAGTTGTAAGAGTTCTTTATGTATTCTAGATCCAAGTCCATTGTCAGATACTGTAGTCTCCCGTATGCTCTCTGCAGTTTCAGTTACCTGCGGGCAGCTGCAATCCCAAATATTACAGTATTTTGAGACAGAGAAAACTATTCATGTAACTTATGTTAAAGTATATTCTAGCCAGGCACAGTGGCTCACACCTGTAATCCCAGCACTTTGGGAGGCCGAGGTGGGTGGATCACAAGGTCAGGAATTGGAGACCAGCCTGGCCAATATGGTGAAACCCTGCCTCTACTAAAGATACAAAAATTAGCCGGGCGTGGTGGCAGGTGCCTGTAGGCCCAGCTACTCGGGAGGCTGAGGCAGGAGAATCGCTTGAACCTGGGAGGTGGAAGTTGCAGTGAGCCGAGATGGCGCCATGGCACTCCAGCCTGGGTGACAGAGCAAGACTCCATCTCAAAAACAAAAAGTATATTCTAATTGTTCTCTTTTATTATTAGTTATTGTTGTTATTCTATTACAGTGCCTAATTTATAAATTAAACTTCATCATAGGTATGTATGTATGTATAGGAAAAAAACATAGTACATATAGAGTTTGGTACTATCTGCAGTTTCAGGTATACACTGGAGGTCTTGGAACATATTTTGTTACATATATATCTATATATTTATAAATATATATTTATATATAGCTATATATTTATGTATCTATATATCTATAAATATATGTTTATATATCTATATTAATCTATATCTATATATGAATATATAGGTAGATAGATAAATATATACATATATATATATATATATTTTTTTTTTTTGAGATAAGGTCTCGGTCTATCGCCCAGGCTGGGATACATTAATGTTATCTTGGCTCACTGCAGCCTCAACCTCCTGGGGTCACGTGATTCTCCCACCTCAACCTCCCAAGTAGCTGGGACCACAGGCACATGTCACCACATCTGGGTAATTTTATTTATTTATTGTAGAGATAGGGTATCCCTATGTTGCCCAGGTTAGTCTTGAGCTCCTGGGCTCAAGTGATCCTCCCACCTCAGCTTTCCAAAGTTCTGGGATTACAGGCATGAGCCACTGTGTCTGGCTACATATTTTCCACAAATAAAGTGAGCCTACTTTGTACATAATTTGCAAGTATTTTCTCCCATTCTGTGGGTTGTCTTTCACTTTTTTTTTCTGGAGTCCTCCAAAATTCATGTTATAACCTAAGACCTAATGTGATGATGTTAAGAAGTGAGGCTTTCAAGGTGGTGATTAGGTCATGAGTGCTCTGCCCTCCTGAATGAAATTAATGTGCTTATAAAAAGGCTTCACATAGCATTTCTTCTCCTTTTTTTGCCTCAGCCTCCTGAGTAGCTGGGATTACAGACGTGTACTACCATGCATGGCTAACTTTTGTATTTTTAGTAGAGACAGGGTTTCACCATGTTGGCCAGGCTGGTCTCGAACTCCTAACCTCAGGTGATCGGCCCGCCTCGGTCTCACAAAGTGCGGGGATTGCGGGCGTGAGCCACCATGCCCGGCACATGCATCAGTTTTTATGCTTCCTTGCTTGGACTGATTAACCAGTCAACTACTGGTTCCAATAAAGTTGGATGAGGTGGCTTATACTCTACTTATTTGCCGCCCCCGCTTCTTCCTTTTTTTTGAGACAGGGCCTTTGACGCGCTGGCTGGAGTGCCGTGGTGTCATCTTGGCTCACTGCAGCCTCAACTTCCTGGGCTCAAGCAGTCTTCCCACCTCAGCCTCTAAGTAGCTGGAACTACAGATGTGTGCCCCTATGCCTGGCTAATTTTTGTATTTTTGTCGAGACGGGGTCTCCCCATGTTGCCCAGGCTGGTCTCCAACTCCTGGGCTCAAGAGATCCGCCCACCTTGGCCTCCCAAAGCCCTGGGATTGCAGACATGAGCCACTCTGCCTGGCAACTTGTAACAGTTCTTTGTATGTTCTTGATACAAGTCAGTTGTCAGATACAGCGGTAGTACATAATTAAACATAATTATATAGAACTATATTTTATATAAGCGCAGCATTATATAAAACAGCAAAAATTTGGAAATAACCAAATGTCCAACAATAGGTAGTTAGCTAAGTAAATTGTGAAACATCCATGTAACGAAAGGTATACAACTATAAAAAATGATCTAGACCTATTTATACTGACATTGACAGATGTCTAACATAAATTACATGAAAATAGGAAGTGACAGAGAAGAGAGTATGGTATAATCTCATTTACATTAAAGTAATCAAAAAAACCAGCTTATATAATAGATACAGGCTGGGCAGGATGGCTCACGCCTGTAATCCCAGCACTTTGGGAGGTCAGGGCAGGAGGATCACTTAAGCCTAGGAGTTCAAGATCAGGCTGGGCAACATACCCAGACCCCATATCTACAAAAAGTTTAAAAATTAGCCAAGTGAGCTACGATCACGCCACTGCACTCCAGGCTTGGGGACAGAGCAAGACTGTCTCTAATAAAATAAAACAAAATAAAATAAAATAGGCTGGGCATGGCAGCTCATGCTGTAAAAGTGCTGTAATCCCGGCACTTTGGGAGGCTGGGGCAGGTGGATCACCTGAGGTCAGGAGTTCAAGACCAGCCTGGCCAACATGGTGAAACCTCGTCTGTACTAAAAATACAAAAATTAGCTAGGCATGGTGGTGCACATCTGTAATCCCAGCTACTCGGGAGGCTGAGGCAGAAGAATTGCTTGAACCTGGGAGGTGGAGGTCACAGTGAGCTGAGACTGCACCATTGCACTCCAGCCTGGGTGACAGAGTGAAACTCTGTCTCAAAAATTAAAATAAAATAAAGTAAAATAAAATATAATAGATATAGCTACATATGTGTGAAAAGGACAATAACATTAAATTATGAGTGTTTTCTGTCCTCCCTTGGGGGACCTTTCTAAATAAATAGGAGTATACTCTAAAATAATGATTAAAGGTTTAGTATAGTAAATGACTACATAAAAAAAGCAGAAAGCAAAAACAAGTAAATGGCTACAATGTCACTAGGCAATAGGAATTTTTCAGCTCTACTATTATCTTATGGGATCACAGTTGTGTATGCAGTCCATCGTTAACCAAAACATCATCATGCAGCACAGGACTGTATAGGTATGTATAACATGGACAGAAACAGACATCTCAGAAAAAGCAAGATACAAAATTGTATGTACATTATGATTAAAACAATACTAAACACTAATTTGATAAAAGAGTAACAGCAAATAATTAACTGTGTTTGGTGATGAGATCATTAGTGAAATTTTCTCCCTTTATCTTCCAATCTCTTAGTAATCTTGTATATTGTTTTTTGTAATATTTAAATAAGTTTTACAAGAGTGCTGTTGGTGGCTGGTAGTTGATATTCCTGTTTGTCTTTGTTTATGAAGCTCCCTCCTTCTCTGTGGATACCACGCTTCTTCTTACCCTGTATATCTATAACCAACTGTGAGAGAGTTTTTAATGTTTTGACAAAAATTTTTAAAGGTCCAACAGAACAATCACAATTTTTTCCACTGATTACTATGATCCCTTTGAATAGTCTTAGCTTGCATGGTCATCTTTACAGTCCCATACTACTATGCAAACTGAGAAATGACTACATATAACATAGATTTACTCTCTATCTTAGTAATTTTAATCTTTATCATTGAGTGCTTAAAGGAACGTCTACAAGGCACCATAAACCATACAGCAGAATGTTAGAATTTTCACTATAAAACCAAACACGTCATATATGCACACCCATGAAGTGTACAAACAGTACATACTAAGTTATCTCTTAACACTATTTTTCCTTTTTCTGGTGTTTTGTTGTTGTTTGTTTGTTTTTGAGACAGAGTCTCGCTCTGTCGCCCAGGCTGGAGTGCAGTGGCACGATCTTGGCTCACTGCAACCTCCGCCTCCTGGGTTCAAGTGATTCTCCTGCCTCAGTCTCCCCAAGTAGCTGGGACTACAGGTGCATGCCACCATGCCCAGCTAATTTTTATTGTATTTTTAGTAGAGACGAGGTTTCACCATGTTGGCCAGGGTGGTCTCAAACTCTTGACCTCAGGTGATCTGCCTATCTCAGCCTCCCAAAGTGCTCAGATTACAGGGGTGAGCCACTATGCCCGGCCAAATCTTTAATTTCTAAACTAATTTGGAAAGACAGAAAAATTCGTATCTTCCTATGTATGTAATCAAAAAATAGTAGTCAAAATATTCATTGCATTTTCACTGTCACTCAATCTTTTGCCAATCATAATCTATTTTTTTTTAGTTTTTATTTTTAGAGACGGGGTCTCATTCCTGTCGCCCAGGCTGGAATGCAGTGGCACAATCATGGCTCACTGCAGCCTCAAATTTCTGGACTCAAGAAATCCTCCAGTCTAAGCTTCCCAAGGAGCTGAGATTACAAATGCGAGCCACTGAGCCCAACTATAATCCGATTTTTTATTTGTATATCTAATTATTATATAATTTTATATATAATTGCACAATATATATTTTATGAAAAGTAACGGTTTCTAAGATGAAGAAAATCTAACCCCTTCCATGAGTTCCAGTATCTTATTATAACTACACTAAGCTACAATAATAGCTTAATATTAAACATTAATGTTTCTTCGACCTAAGGAAGCTGATTTTTAAAAATAATAAATATTAATTTTAAACACAGTATTAAAGTATTAATAATCAAACAAAGCCACGCAGTGAAACGACATTTGAATTTTGGGAAATTTTCTTTTTTTTTCCTTTTCTTTTTTTTTTGAGACAGAGTCTCACTCTGTCGCTCAGGCTAGAGTGCAGTGAGGAAATCTTGGCTCATTGCAACCTCCACCTCCCAGATTCAAGCAATTCTCCTGCCTTAGCCTCCCAGGTAGCTGGGATTACAGGTGCCTGCCATCACGCCCAGCTAATTTTTGTATTTTTAGTAGACAGGGTTTCACCATGTTGGCCAGGCTGGTCTCGAACTCCTGACTTCAAGTGATCCGCCCGACTCCACCTCCCAAAGTGCTGGGATTACAGGTTGAGCCACCACACCTGGTAAGAATGTTGGGAAAATTTTTTCATACTAACACATTGGCATATCAGTTATCAGTTGGATAAAAGTTTTCTTCCATATAGGAAGTTATAAAATGCCACTGCCCAGAGACAAAATCTTCTGAAGAGTTATTAGATGAATGGCTGACAACATCGAATAAAAATGCACAAAGAACATTGCCATAATAAACTTTTGATATCCAAAGGGCTACATTTGAGGGGTTATATACCTAAAAGAAACCTCTTTCGGCCAATATTTACATCCCCCTTAAACTCACCTACTACTCTCTCTCTATATATGCCCATTAAGATAGGATATCTTTTGAGAACCTGCCTCCAGAAATAAAGTCTTTAAAAAGTTTGGGCCAGGCACGTGGTTCACGCCTGTAATCCCAGCACTTTGGGAGGCCAAGGCAGGAGGATCTCTTGAGGCCAAGAGTTTGAGAACAGCTTGGGCAACACAGCAAGACCTCATCTCTGCAAAAAATAATAAAAATAATTTTTAAAAGTTTAAAAATATAGCATTTCATTTTAAAAAGTGCCTAGAAAAGCAGAAGATTTTAAAACATATAAATGTCACTTGCATCACTAAATACCCCCTTAACCTTCAAACAGTCTCTACTCCAATAACACACATAACAAATAAACCCTAGGCCCTTACAGCAATTGGGTTAAGAAAGGTTAAATTTCAGAATTCATAAAGATAGGAGGCATTTCTCATTCTTATGGTAGAGACTACATGCTGTCGTCTGTGTACATGCTTACAATAATAAAGGCCAACCTTTTATTAATGTTTGCTAATAAATATCCTCCTGATTTTCCATTCCAGCTAAGATTTGATAATATAATTGACTCTTCTGTGTTTTCATCACAAGCAGCACTGTTACAGATATCATTTCCTCTTAATTTATCCACAGGCTGTGTGAATAATTTAGAAAATTATTTTCGAAGGACTCTATCTAGGGAAGTCTTTTGGGTTTTAGAGTAGGGTTCTTTCTGGTTTTCTGCAGCTGTGGGGTCACTCCATCAGAATTTCATGGTTATATCCTTTGCGCAATCTGTAACATTGTTTAAGTTCAAAGCTACATACATTATTTCATCAAAATTAGAAACTTTTGGGCATTAAAAGATCCTATCAAGACCATGAAAGACAATCTACAGATATTAATATATCTGTAACCCACAGAAGTATTTGGGAGAAAATATTTGTAAATCATATATCTGATGTGAGAATAATATCCAGAATGTATAAAGAACTACAGAACTACAACTCAACAACAAAAAAGCGCACATCTCAATTCAAAAATGGGCAAAGGATTGAACAGACATTTCTCCAAAAAAGACATACAAATGACCAATAGCACATAAAAAAATGCTCATTAGCACTAGCCATTAGGAAGCTAAAAATCAAAATGACAATACTATGTCACACCCATTAGGATGGTTATTAATTGAAAGAAAACAGAAAATAACAAGTATTGGGTAGATATGGAGAAAATGGAAGGAGCACTTGTGCATTGCTGGTAGAAATATAAAATGGTACAGAAGCCGTGGAAACCAGGTTAGCTGTTCCTTAAAAGGTTAAATATAGAATTACCATATGACCCAGCAATTCCATTCCTAGGTTTATATCCAAAAGAAGTGAAAGCAGGACTCAGATAGATATTTGCACACCAGTGTTCACAGCAACATTATTCACAATAGCCAAAAGGTGGAAACAACCCAAATATGTCCCATCAACAGATGGATGTATAAACAAGATGTAGTATATACAAATTATTCAGTCAAAAAAAGAAATTAAATTCTGCTATGTACTACAACATGGATAAACCTTGAAAACATTATCCTAAGTGAAATAAGAAAGGTCAAATATTGTTTGATTCTATTTCCATGAAGTGTCTAGAATAGGCAAATTCATAAAAAGAGAAAGTAGAATAGAGGTTACCAGGGGCTGGGGAAGAAAAGGGATAGAGAATTTCTGTTTGGGATGATGAACAAGTTCTGGAAATGGACAGTGGTGATGGTTATACAATATTGTGAATGTACTTCATGCCACTAATTGTACACTTTTTAAAATAGTTCAAATGGTAAATGGTATGTTTTATATATATATATATATATAACCACAATAAAAATAAAATAAATTGCCAAAGCCAGGAGAAGGTGGGGGAGAGCTATGTACATACCCGAGTTTGTGAAGATCAGACAAAGATTCACATGAACTATTTTGAAAGTCTTTTACAATAATCCTAGTAAGACATAGCTGAAAACATAATACTGATCATGACTAAGCCATAATCCTATTACAGTGGAAATCATAATTTAGTACAATTTTTTGCTTTCTCAAAGATATGAGAAAAGCTGCATACATGTATTTATATACCAGAAAAATATACCTTTTAGTAAGGGTTTTACAGCAATGCAAATGTCAAAGTAGCACTGGCCTAAATTGAGGCAAATAGTTTTTTAACTAGTAGGCGATAACTGTGAAGGACTTAGTAAATGTGAAAACTTTGAAAAGCTGAAAAATCCACCTCTAGTATTTTGACTTCACTGACATAGGGAAATGCACAAACATCTACTACATTCCAGATTTAGGGACTCAGGATACTAAGATAAACAGAAAAAGTCTACCCTTTCAAAAGTTTAGCTTATCTCTGCCAGGATCACAAGAGGCACTAGTGAAGAACAGACATTTTGGGGGCATTTTCAAATTCTCAAACTGACACAAATACATGAGATGCGCAAAAGTCTTCTAAATTACAGTGTAACCTACAATTGTCTATCTTCTAATAAATTCTTCTAACACATAGAGAACTTCTGTGTAGTGCAGTTTTCTGAGACCTGTAATTATAAACTTCAGTTACATTGCTATAAACTTCCAAATTGGGAGTTTGAAATATGAGCCACATGTTACTTAACGTTCAGAAGACGTATAAATGAGAGCAAAAGGTTATGGCTTAACAGAAAACTAAATAAGAAATAACTATTGATTTTTAAATAGCAACATATCACAATCATAGACACACCAATGACTGTAACCATATGGTTCTTCTCTCAATCATCAAGCATATGCTAAATTTGTACTTAAAACGGTCCAATGTGACTTTAAAAAAAGGTTACTCTTCAAGCAGCTTTCAATCTAGTTGGGAGAGTAAATTACTACACATAAAACGTGTTATTTATGTACATATATATGTAAAAATACTCAAATACAAAGGATCCAAATGTAAGAATTCAAAGGAGATAAGTTAGTTCAGGAAAGCTCCAAAGAAGGTAAGATTTAGGCAAAGTCCAGAAGGATAGACAGAATTGAATGGAAATGAACCCTTCATAATCTAACTTCATCTTGCCTTTCCAACACATTGTACAATACAAAATTATTAGAATAGATAAAAGCAGTCTATGGCCATACCAACCTGAACATGCCGATCTCATCTGATCTCAGAATAAAAACAAATTAGAAAAGAAGCTGAGTGCAGTGGCTCACGCCTGTAATCCCAACACTTTGGGAGGTTGCGGTGGGTGGATCTCTTGAGCTCAGGAGTTCAAGACCAGCCGGGGCAACATAGCAAAACCCCGTCTCTACAAAAAAACACAAAAATTAGCAGGGCATAGTGGTGCACACCTGTAGTCCTAGCTGCTAGGGAAGCTGAAATAGGAGGATGGCTTGACCCTGGGGAGTTGAGGCTGCAGTGAGCAGTAAATGTGCCACTGCACTCCAGCCTGGGTGGCATAAAAAAGTCGTTCCAGATAAGAGAAATCACAGAAATATGGAATAAGAAGAGCATACTAATTAGCCCACTTAATGCTTATTGTAGAGAAGTGGTTAAATATTTTACATAGGAATACACATGTCAAATTATATAAATCATATGGGAGAAAAAACGCTCCAAAAATTACATGGAATTTTGACATGACTTTCCAATGTACCCTATTCATACCCACTACTCATTTGCTATTTGAGAGAAATGTCTCAGAACCAGTCAAACCAAGGCTCACCTTCAAAACCAGGTGGGCACCCAAATTATAACAAGAATTAGAAATTTGTGTTTGTCCTTGCATATAAGGCTGTGTTTCATTTTTCCTTCATATTTACTACTGATTGCTTCATGAATTCAGATAATTTCAGAGCCAGGAGGCATTATTTATAACCCAAATTTTAAATGTTTATATTCCTGAAACATTTGAATATTTGCATAAATGTCATGAGACAAACAAAATTTACTCTGTAGAAAGCACAATTTACCAGATTATTACTGCTAGTTTTATTCTGTCAGCTCTCTCCTTTAAGGAGAAAGCACAGCACTAGGTAGTCCCATTTATTACATCAACATTTTAATAAGGCCAGGCACTGTAGCCCATACCTGTAATCCCAGCACTTTGAGAGGTTAAGGCCAGAAGATTGCCTGAGTTCAGGAGTTCAAGACCAGCCTGGGAAACAACAGTGAGATTCCCATTACTACAACAAAATAAAAAAATTAGCCAGGTGTGGTCCGCACATCTGGAGTCCCAGATACTTGGGAGGCTGAGATGGAAGGATTGCATGAGCGCAGGAAGTAGAGGCTGCAGTGAGCCATGATCGCAGAAATGCACTCCAGCTAGGGTGACAGAGGGAGACCCTATCTCAAAAAAAAAAAAAAAAAGAAAAAGAAAGATCTGTATCTGTCCCTTGGACTATTTGCCTCCTACTCCTCCAATTCGTTCTTTATATTTCCCATAGAATAATCTTTGAAATGCACCTCTAGTCATTTTACTCAGGTGCTCTTCTTCAGTGGAAGGTACGTATGCCCTATGGTTTGAAGTCAGTCATTTCAGCATGGCAAGCCCTAGTAGTTTCTATGATTTGGTCCCTGTCTGAACACTGTGTACCCTTGCAACTGTTGCTTTCTAGATCTTGAAATGTTCTGCTTCTCCACAGGTTCCCCCTCTTATCTCTCCTATTACTTACATAAACTGCACAAATCTTACTATATAGCTTGACTGAATTTTTAGGGATGCATCCAAGGAATTATCCTGCAAAATTAAGATACAGAACATTTCCAGCACCCCAGTAGGCTCTCTTCTGTTCTCTCCCAGTCAACACTGACCCTCAGAGGTCACCACTATTCTGTCACCATAAATTAGTTTTGCCTATTTTGGAACCTCATATATACAGTAATGCAGTATTTACTTTTTTCGTGTGTATGTGTGCATGGTGAACTCATTTTTAAGACCAAATTTTATGCATCTTCTCTGTGAAGCAAAACCCTGTCTGTTCCACACAGACTTAGAGTGGCAGAGGAGTACCTTAACCTATCAAAGGCTATTTTGAGCAAAAGCCACTTTGTGTCATTGAAGCTGTAGAACTGAGCCACAAGAGGGAACTGTTAAAGTCCCAGGGTCAAGGACCAGGTACCTACGTTATCCCCACAGCACAGAAGCACAGCCTGAGTCTCTTCTTTGGCTGAGCCAAGGGCGTGCTGGAGAGGCCTGAGAGAAGGAGCGGCCCTTGTGACCAGTGCCCTTTTGGTTCACAAGGAACGTCTCCTCTTGTTGAAGTGACTTGGCTGAGCTTGCTCCTTCTGCTTTCAGAGCCCAATATCAGGATCAAGACTTCAATTATCCCCAATTTACAGATGATGAAACCATATTGGGCAGGAAAGAAAGTCACCCCAGGAGAGCGAGTTGGACCCGGGCACTGGCTGAGGACAAAGGGGAATGATAATTTGGGATGTAGCTTGTTAAGGGGTCTCACAAGTGTTCTTGTGATCCAGGTGGCGAGAGGATAGAGCAGAAAGGTTGCCAGGGAGACGAGGGTAGGGTGCACTGCGAGAGTGGGAGAAATTAAAGAGAACACGCAACAAAGCCTTGGGACACTGGGAGGGGGATGGACCACCCAGTTTTGTGCTATGGGAGAAGAGAGCAAGAAAAGGAATCTGTGTTAAATCCCGACAGCCTGCAGGAGAAGCAAATGCCCTTCATTTTCTTCATCAGCAGCGAGACTGGCATCCCTGTAGCTTTGAGAAACCATGCTAGTGTAGATGCCAGCTCCCTCCAGCGGGCCTGACTGGGAGAACTTGGGCTGGGGTTCTGGTCTGGGGCTCCTAGGCCTGATGGGAAGAGAGTTCAGCCCAGCTTTCCTGTACTTCAGCTCGTATGCAGACGATGGCCATTGTTGAAATGAGAGACTCAAAGGAAGCTGGAACCTGAACTTTTTTGTTGTCTCGTGGACACCTGTGTTCAGTTTCGGGTTCTACCTCTTGCTGTCTGTGTGTTCTTAGGTGACTCACTTAAACCTTTCTGAGTCTCATTGTCTTCATTTATAAAATAAAAGACGTAACATTGATGTCAGATATTGTCCTGAGCATTAAATGGGAGAATAAGCAAGCCTCTTCTGCATTCCCCTGGCTTCCAGTGGGTGGAGGCCAGAGAAGCTGCTAAACATCCTGCCAGGTGCAGGACAGCCCCCATCGCAAAGAATTGTCTGGCCCCTGATGTCAGTAATGCAGTATTGAGGATCCTTGGTGTGGGGGAAACAGAATAAACTCAGAAGCTTGGCAGATCTCAATTCAAACCCCGGTTGTACGGCCTCCAGCAGGCCTTGGTCAGGGAATAGTATCTAGCTAAAGTTCATTGACTTCATTTTGTTTTCATTGAATTTATGTTTTGCTGGCTTTCCATTTATGAGAGTGATACAAATTTCCTTTAAACATGAAGTTGTAAATATAAACAGGTAGGCCATTCACAGGAATGGCTGAATTATGTCACAGGAAAGGTGGCACTCTCATATGGCAATAATTATGACAGAGGCCGGCAAATGACCTGCGTGACCCGGAGTGGCCTGAGCACTGACTCCCAAATGCCCTCCATAGGATGTTCTGCATCCCCGAGACCCTTTCCTGGGTCCTCCTGGGCCCTACCACCCCCTAGACCATCCAGACCTCAGGTCATCCCCCTGTCTGTTGACAGAGTAGTCTCCGTTCCTGAATGTGCTGGTCACCAGCAACAGCAGCTGCTCCTCCTCCGGGAAGCTCAGCCTATACTTCTACATGCAGAGAACCTGGACGGCACCCAGGTGGACCTAAGCCTTCAGCTCCCAGCAGACGCTCTGGGTTTCCTACCCTGCCCAGACACTCTGGGCTTCCCCCCACACCTCCCCTCGGCCGGGGCTCCTGTGTGCATCTGTCTCTCCCAGTGCCCAGCACAGGCGTGGAACGGAAGAGGTGAATGGACCGATTTGAACACATCATCCTGGATTCTCCGTTCCCTCTCAAGCCCTGCAGCTAACCCATCGGCAAGCCCTGGAGGCTCTGCCTCCAAAATCCTGCCTATCCCATGTGCAAACGCCTCTCACCACGTCCACTGCTATTTGCAGTTGTGTGTGTGTGGAAATACTTCCACAAATTTGGAATGAACAGGTCACAGCTGTGCCTGGAGGGAATGGCCAGGGAAATGTGCCCTCGCCTTGCTGCTCTATCCAGGCCCACCCAGCTGAGGATGGGGGACCTGCCACCACTCTCCTGGCAGTTCCGGACTCCTGGGAACCGGCAGGTGAGGACCCAAGAGTGTTTTCAGTGACCCGGCTGACCTGGTCATCCGTCAGTCCCACCTTGGCCTAGGCCTCTATACAGCACAGATCACAGCTCATTCCATCCTGGCATTACACTGGCCTGTGCCCTGTCCTCAGGGTCACATCCGTCTCCCAGAAGCCGTGCAACCCTGGAAAACCCAGGTCTAACAGTCAGGTTCCTCCTCCGTGCATTAACAATGGCGTTGACGCCTGCTTTGCGGCACGCTGGGAGGGGAGAGGGAGGTGTATGCTGGAGAGCTCCCCAGGGGCAAGGCCTGGCTCTGCGTCACCCACTGTCAGATCCTGAGAGCCTGGGGCTGGCCCAGCACGTGGCCACCGTTCCCTAAGAGTTGGATTTCATCCCTCAGTGCTGAAGGCAGGGGATAGAGCTTAGACAGACCCCCTGCGTCCTGTCTTCTTTATCTACAGCTTTCTCATCCTTGCCCCTTTCACGTGCACCCGGCAGAGCAGGTGTTCACTGAGCTTGAGCAAAATTCAAGCTAGAGCAGCTGATGGATCTTGAGGCCTAGATTCACTGTCAAAGTGTTTCTCAAACGGTGCTCTCCAGAACACCAAGGAAAACTCATTGACTGTGTAAGTCTGAAAATCCCTGCCCACCGGTCTACCTTTGTGTATGAGCGATCAGCTCTACCATTCAGCCCAGGTGTGTGTTTGCTGGACCATGTGGAGGAAGCTGAAGAGACGTGAGCTGAAGGCAGAGGGTGAGTCCAAGGTGGGATCTTGGGACAGGTACGAGAAGTTAGGCAAAAATGGGATAATTCTAGCCTTCATAACCTTAGATAATAGTTCACATTATTATTTAGTTAATAGAACTGTACCCACATTAAATTTCTTAAATTTTTTTAAGAGATAAAGTCTCACTCTGTCACCCAGGCTGGAGTGCAGTGGTGCAATCATGGCTCACTGCTTCCTGGAACTCGTGGGCTCCAGCAATCCTCCTGCCTCAGCCTCCTGACTAGGTGGGACTATAGGCACACGCCACCATGCCTGGCTAATTTCTTTGACTTTTCTCTAGAGACCGGGTCCACCTAGGTTTCCCAGGCTGGTCTCAGACTTCTAGACTCAAGTGAACCTGAACCTCCCGCCTCGACCTCTCAAATTGCTGGGATTACAGGTGTGAGCCACCACACCCGGCCTAAATTTCTTATGTGCCATGGGACTGCAAAACATCATTATTAGGGGCAGCTGGATGGAAGGTATAGGAGGATACTATAGTGCCTTTTCAATATTTCTGTCTAAAATCTAAAATCATTTCAACAGGAAACATTTATTTCAAAACATGAAGGTGGTTATCCTTCCATGAGTTTGAAGTACAAAGGCAGGCTCACGGTGTCGTCAGAATTCAGAACGATGGTCGTGGGGCTGGGGGTGCTGGGAGGGGCTGGGCATGGTTGGCTTTGTGATCTGGGGTCTGGTGTGTTCCATCTCTGAATCTCTCTCGAGCTGCACTCTTTCTTAATACATTTTCATAAGTTTAACCAAAAATAAAACGAGGATGCGAAGCTTGCTTGGGTTGTTAAGCCTAGGGAAATTATCCAGCCATGAGCCCTGGCCCAGATGCTTCTAGAAGCCTGGAGGGAACTGAGAACTTTCCAAGTGGAGGCCGCAGAGGCAAGGCCCTGAGGTGGGAGCACACGGCTGTTCGTCCCTAGCTCTGAAGGGGGTGCCCTGGTCGGAATCAGTGCTGGGTGCAGCGAAAGCCGATCTCACCCGCTCCGCAGGGTGTTCAGCCTGCCAGCAGGGGGCCAGCTGGTCCTCCTGGGATATGGCACGGACCCAGCAGCTCTGTCTGAAATCATAATGGCGGAACCAAGGGCCCTCTACGTCCAGGTCCGTTGGGAGGCGGGGCATGGAGTTCCACTGCAGGAATCTCCAGGAACCCTGAGGTCCTCCCTGAGCCAGGGCCGGGCTGGGCACACCCTGAGTGCCCACAGGGTAGGTGTCTTCCCGGACAGCCCCACCAGGACAGGGTGTGGAAGAACGAGGTGCCCGTGGCGGGGAAGCTGACCAAATGGGCCGCGGGAACCGGGCTGGTGGGCCTGGAGGGGCCTGCCTGTCCCCCTTGCAGAGGGTCTTCCCGCCACGTGAAGCCGGCACAGGCCTGGATGCCGACGACCCTTGCTCGGGTTTGGCTGAAAGGAAAACAGACGCGGTCAGCATCTCCAGTGAGCCCACGCAGGCCTTTCCGGGCTGGGCCCCACCTGCCTGCGTCTCTGGAGTCCTCGGGGTCTCTGTGTGGCCCCCGTGGCCTGACACCGAGGACACGCCTGTAGTCTGCTGATCCCAGAGGGAGGGGTGCGTGCTGCCTGGCGTGGGGAAGCTGTCGTGGCATGGCGGGTGGCTCCTGGGACTGCCCCCAGGGTTCAGACTGGCTGGGGGCTTCCTGCCACACACCTTCGTCCCAGGGCTGTTGGGCCTGGGATACGGCCCCCAGTCAGAACTCAGGTGGGAGGGGCCTTGGATGTCACCCAGCCCCTTGTCACCTCACGTGGGGACCCGTCTCCGCAGTGGGTGATTGGGCCCGGACGTGGGTCACCCTCTGCCCTCCTGGGCTGCCCAGTCCATGCCAGGACTGACCGTTCCCACTTCTGGCTGAACTCTTGGCTCTGGCTCTGGGCCCGGGGTCCCGCCTGTGCCCTCTCCCTGAATGCTCTGTGGGTCAGGGACACGGATTCCCTTGTCTCCCTGGCTCCAGGCTTCTTGTCCTGGCAACCTTGGAGGAGCGTGCAGGAGTGAGGGGCCTCTGCTGCTCTCTGAGGCTGTGGGTGCTTGCAGGGAGGGGCGGGGTCTCCCACAAATGGGTCTGGGCTCGTCTAGTAACTTGGAGGGCCCTGCGAGGGGGAGAGGGAGACACCGTGGAAAGTGGGAGGGGGCTTGTTGGAGGGTCTTGCCCACATCCCCCTCCTGCGTGCACAGCATGTCCAGTATACACGCACTGAGCGCCTGCCCTGAGGACCGGTGGGCCTCCTGTACTTTCTTAGAGTCCAGGAGGAAGAGGAGGAAGAAAAGGTGAAGAGGAAGGCCCAGGTAGTAGGGTTGCGGGTCCCGGGCACTCCCCTACTACTGACTACCCCAGAGGGTGACATGGGAGGGGACATGGCACTGGAGCCCACCTGGGGGTGGCAGGTCCCCCTGCTTTCTTGTTAGTTTCTTCATAGAGGCCCTAAGATGCTTGAGCACAGTGTCCTCATCCCTGGCCCAGGTATCAACGAACCGGTTGCAAAAACGTGCCCACGGGCCACACCTGGACGTCTTCGTGAGGCGCTCTAGGGACAGGGTGGATATCAGGCCAGGGGAGTTACCTGGGAATGGTCACAGCTCATACCCCGTGGCCACTTCAGTCTCCTACTGGGCGGTGCCGGATCCTTTTGTGGCCACCCCAGGTGTCCAGATATATACAGGAGACTGTGGCTGGGGGGCGATCCGGACAGGGAAGTGCTCACCACACTCTCGACTTTCATCTGGGTCATGTGGGGGATGGGCTCGGTGTCACAGTGTCCTGCCCAGCCCACCTGGCCAGACCTCCCTCTGGGCCAGAACAGAGGATCATGAGGACAGTGTGAGGAAGCTGCCCTCGGGCCAGTCGGGGTCTGACCCCAGGGCTCCCCAGGCCCCGCTGGGCACACGTAGACTTACTCTGCTGAACCTTAAAGGCGATTCTTGTTATCGGCATCAACGCCTGTTCGCCTTCTACCAGATACACGTCCCACAGGCGCAGGGTGAGCCCGAGAGAGATCTGTGGGGACAGCAGGTGTGAAAGAACCTGGTCCTTCCAGGCTGGGGCTGGTGGCTCGAGCTGCGCACACTGGGGCTTCAGTCTCCAGAGTCAGTGACCTTCCCCATGAGGGTCGCCTGAGCCCTCCAGGACGCTGGGTCAGACAAGGTCTTGAAGCTCCTCATGGGGGGCACTCATTTGAGTGGGGATGTGGCTCCTGGAGAGAGGGGCTTGCCCAGGGCTTGAGGCTTCCCTGAGCCCTCTCAAGTCGGGTCCTGGCCCAGTCTGCCCATGAGGCTGGGCCTGAGCCCCAGCCATGGCCCTGGGATGACCCCCCTTGGGCAGAGGGTTTTGCTTGTGTGTCCTTTGGGGACCCGCCTGAGCCTCCTGTGGGCTGGGAGTGAGCCAGACCCCCGGGCTGGGGAAGCAGGGCACTGCAGGGCAAGGAAGGTCCCTGAGCCAGGGTCTCCCTATGCCTCCTTACCCCGTCAATCAATATCCGGATGAGGCAGCCTAACGGGGAACACTGCCCACATAGATCTTTCTTGTCCTGATGGAAGCAACAGAGGTGCTCAGGCCACTGGGCTGCCCTAAAAACCTCCCTCTTCCAGGGCCTCTGAAGACCCTTCCCCTAGTGCAGAACACTGGGCGGTGTCCAGAGCTCCCCACAACACTGTCACCTTCCCACACTCCCGGTGGACACACTGCCCTTTGCCCTGCTCTGCGGGAGCTGGGCCCCCATCCCTGTGCCTCTGTCTCCTCCAGGGCAGGAAAGGAAACCAACTCCCAGCCCATGGAGAACCCGACGTCCCAGGTCAGGCCCTGGCTGGGACTCAGCCAGTCACCAGCCCCACGAGGGGCTCCAGCCCCCCTGCTCCTACAGCCCCACGGGAGGCAGGGCCTCTGGGAAGAGCTGAGGGGACCATAAACTCACCTGATGCCCCATGGTCTTGGGTTGTGACGTGGCTACCACATGCTCCTGTTGGTCTTGGAGCCCCTGGACGGTCCCGCCATTTGGGCTGTGAAATCCTGAGAAGCCCCCAGCCCATCATGAAATCAGAGCCTTCCCCCAAGATGTGGAGCCATCAGCTGCAAGAGCTGGGCAGCTGGAGAGGCCCCCAAACCCCAAGGCCTCCCACCCTCCCATCTGGTGACCCCAACATGCGGCCTTTACCCTGGGGAGGTGGGGCGGGAACATTCCCTGGAGCCTGGCTGGAGGTTCCCCTGGAGGCCTCCTGGGCCAGGGTGCAAAAAGGGCAAGCCTGACTTTCAGGCCACGACAGGGTGGCCGGAACTGGGTGGGCGCTGGGCTTCCCGGTCATCTCCTGGTAGTGGGGTCGGGCCAGGGAACAGGGGATGGGGAGATGCTGCCACCTGGGCTTGGTCGGCCCGTTCGTGGGCACCGATGGCAGCAGGAGCCCGGGCAGCTGGAGGGCAGGAGGACTCTCAGGGAGGGGAGAGTCAGCTGCACAGAATCAGAGCCGGAGGGCGTGGCTCCAGGACACAGAGGGTGGCCACGGGGAGGATGAGATGCCCTCTGCTGATGGGGATGAGAGGCGTCTGATTTGGGCTTTGGGGGTCAGCCGTGGACTCCTGTGGGACCCTCAGCAGAGACATCCTAAAGTCTCCCAACAAGCTGGCGACACAAGGAGGGTGCCTTGGCTGAAAGCTGTGATCACCTGGCCAGGGTGGCCATCCCCAGGTCTGGCTGCAGGAGGTCCCCGGGGCAGCTGTTCACTTACCCTGCAGGGAGTGCCTCTCACTGGCCAGCAGCTGCACCAGTGCCCAGAATGCATCCTCCTCAGGAAGATAGAGGAGGAACAAGGCGGCGATGTGGCTCAGGTCCCTGCAGTAGCCCACCTCCTGCAAGAGCCAGAGTCACCATGGAAGGACATCACCTGGGAGGGCTGAGGTCACCTGGGAGGACTCATGTCATTGGAGAGGGCAGAGGTGACTGGAGAGGCTTCCTCTGAAGGAGAGGCTTCCTCTGAAAAAGAGGCTTCCTCAGGATGCACATTCATTTCATGACAAGAGCCAAGTCCATCAGGCACTTCAGCACCTTGTCCAAAATGTCTGCTGATAGCACCATCCTGTGTGCGATGCTGCCAAGCTCCTGGGCTTTGGGGCAGCCCCAGGAGGAGGGCGTCATTTCTTGTTCTGAGAAGTGGTGGTCAGGCCCAGGTGACACCAGGAGTCCAGGCCCTGACTCCTTTGTGTCTCAGCTTGACCCCTTGAGACCACCCCCTTCCTTGGAGGTTTATGCCAGCGGTGAGCTGACATCCTACCTCCTATATCCTGGTGGGTCACAAATACTAACTTTAAAAGAAGCAACGACACCCCCACCAGACACCCACTCCTGTCAATATGGAAATATGGCCCGGGAACCTCACTGCCGGGAATACTCACCGGGTTATACTCCTCATATGCCAGGAGGATGTGGAGTAGTTCCCGCTGCCTAGGAAACAGAGAAAGGGGGCTTTGGTTTGTTTTGTGCAGATGTTGTTAATTTCACTTTGTCTACAAAGCCTAACAGCAAATCCCATTTCAGGTTCAGATGTTTCACCAGATAAGCAGTGAGCTCTTCAGGGCCTGAGACTCTTGAAGAAATGTTTCAGTAAAATCCACATCTGTGACATGCAAATAGCCCAGTTGTACAGTGACTTGCCTGATCCTTTTCACTCTGAATGATTTTTTTTTTTTTTTCAGTTTGCACACACGCCAGTTCAGTCTGTGGGTGTACAGTTCCTCCACGGTTCCAAACCGATGTGCAGAGTCTCCCGGCCACCGCTCCAGCCCCTCCTGGGGCGACTCCTTCATCCTCCAAGTCTCCAGGGTGGCCCCTATGCACCCAGCCTCTCCCCGATCCGTCAGCCCCTGGCCACCCAGACTGCTTCTCAGTCCCTGTGGTTTGGCCTTTTCCAGAATGGCCTAGGAATGGGAATCCTACGGTGGTAGCTTATTGGGTCTGGCTTCTGTCCCTCAGCAAAATGCATCTAGGATCCACCCACGTTCGTGCGGGCATCACCGGCTCGTTCCCTTTTCTCACTGGGTCTTCCGTTTGAAGGGAGGACCAGCCTTGCTCTCCCCATCCCCGTGTTGAAGGCCGTCCCCGAAGGCTCCGTGTGTGAGTGACGAGGAGTCAAGCAGTGAACCTGGCATGCTGGTTTCATGTGGATGTCAGTTTGCAAATCAGTGGGTTCAATATCTGTGACACTTTGGGGATGTGTGGTTCAAGTCCATCGAGCTTTGTGAGCCACTGCCCAACGGGCTGCCAACGTGGCTGTGCCATGTCATGTTCCCAGCGGACCTGGATGAGAGTTTCCAGGACCCCTAATTCTCCCAGCATTTGGTGCTGTCACTGTTGCCTGGCGGGGGCTCATGGGCCCTCTATCCTGCCACCCTCCCGTGGGTCCTACCATGGGTCCCCATGGGTCAGGGAGAGCACCCTTCACCATTGTGCATGATTTTGTTTGCTGCCTTCCATCTCCTCAGGATCCTCCTGGGTTCTGGCCCCACATGTTCCAGTCTGGCCCAGGGCTTGGAACCAGGGAGGTGCTCGGTTCATGGTGCCGGCTGCTCCCTGGGCCGGGAGAGCTCTTGGCAGCTGTGTCATCCCTCCTGGGTGACCCTGGCTTCTGCTCCGGGGAAGCCCCCATCCCTCTCATTCACCCCATCTCTGCTGGGACCCTGTGGCTCCCGTAGGCTTACTTGGTTCCGTATCGATCCCTGAAGAATATATGCTTCCTTAATGTCCCGCTTACGTCCCGGTCGATGCGCTGGATGTGCTCAGATGACCTCTTGCCCTTCTCCTTCATGATCTGTAGGGCAGGGCCAAGAGGAGGAAGCAGTCTCAGAACAGATGGAAGACTCCCTGCCCCCAGTGGCAGTCAGCCCACAGTCAGCACTTCGGGAAGGAAGGACAGAAGGAAGGTTTCCTTCTGCAGAAAGCTGCATTTTGGCTTGTTACTGAAGCCAGGGAGGGTCACCAGAGCTGAGTTTGTCTGTGGTGACTGTGTCACCATCTGTGCCCAGGGTGTTCATCTGACCTTCACCCCCAGCTCCCCAGGGTGGTCTTGACGTTCCCTCCAGCTGGAGACCTGGGCCCCGACACGGCCTGTCCTGTTTGTTGTGCTCTGGCTGAGCGTACCTGGTATCTTCCGGGGTTTTTCAACTTCATTTCCTCAGTGTTCAGGAGGACTGACCACATCGGGCCCCGGATGTTCATGGGCATTCCCTTGTACGCTCGATCTATGAGCTGTGGGCAGAAAACGATCTGGTGTCACAGGCCACGGGGTGACCCCAGTGAGGACCAGAGCCCGGGGATTCTGGAAATTGTCGGTTTTGGCCCCATGATTCCTCAGTAGAGGTGAGATCAAGCTGGGACAGGGTCTCCCTTCCCAGGACTGAAAGAGTGGATGGACACTCAGAGTCGAAACTCTGATCTGAACCTTTTCCTTCCTTCAGGTCACCAGGGCATCCCTAGCCTTGAGCTCCGGGTAGTCCCAGCCCTAGATTCAGATTCCCTCCCTGCAAGGTGACGCTTGCACGAATAGGCAGGAAATCTGGTGACCAGGCCTGCAGTCCTCTGGGCGAGGACAGTGTGCCGCCCACCCTCTGAGAGGCTGATGGTGCCAGGCCACAGCCATGGGTGCCTGTCCCCTGTCTCTGCAGAGAGTGCTTCCTCCCTCCACACGTTACCTTTCTGCTGCTTTTGTATTTCTCCCAGTCTCCCAGCATATCCACCCACTTGCTCTTTCGGCTGATCTCCCGCCGAATTTGCTGTCAAATGAGGCATGTTGGAGTTAGCGGAGCTGCCAGGCTTCCCAGAGCCGCCCGCGGATGCTGGGTCTTGGGCTCTGGAGCCCTGGTGGGAGCCAGCTGGAAGGAGCCAGGGAAGGGCAGACCTCAAGGGCTGAGAGCCTTTGAGCAAATGAGCACCAGTGGGCTGGCTTTGGGACCCCGGGATGTACCATCCTCAGGCCACAGACACACCAGTCTTAGGTCCCAGCCTCTAGGTGGGGTCCTGACACAAGCGCGCAGCCACCCCCAAGCCAGGACTGTGGTTCTCCTTTTGGAATTTTATCAAACTGCCAAAGTGAACAGCAACCTGGGGTCAGGTCCAGCAGGGACTGCTGCCCCTCCCAGTGACAGCGTGTTGCCCTCACCCGCCACCGCTCAGGCCAGCTGCTTCCTCTGCCTCACTGACCACCCGCCCAGTCCCTACGTCCCTGGACCAGCCCCTCCACGCATCAGGCTCTTACCTTCGCCTCCCGCGCAGTCAGAGGAGGCAGCTCCGTCTCACTGTAAGGCAACCCAGGCAGAGCTGAGGAACTGCACGGGGCCTGGAGCGGCCCCAGCCTGGGTGCCGACCCCCAGAAAGGACTGGCTCTGTCCCTTTCCAGCTCAGGGCTCAGCCCAGGAGAAGGCACAGGGAAGGGAGGACAAGGGCCTTCCTGTGGGGCTGACTCCCAGGAGGGGCAGGACCTGGGAGAAGAAGGAGTGTAGGGACAGCCTGGCCGGGGTTACTGGGGCCCCTGGCGTGGGGGGCGGTCAGGCTGCCCAATGGGGCTGCCCGTCCTGGACTCGAGGTGGTGCTTTCTGCTGGAGCTGAGAAAGGTTAGCCCTGAGATGGGATGGGGGCCGCCCAGGGTGGGCGACCGGGCCCTGACAGGAGTCCCTCAGGGAGTGACCACATCCCCCCGCCAGGGTCAAGGGAGCCTGCCCTGAGACCTGCCCGGTGTACTCTGGCTGCACCAGGGGCCCACCCCACTTGACAGCCCCAAGGCCCTTGCAGGTTCTGACCTCCCAGCATCCACCTGCCTCTCCCTGCACCCGGGCCACACACCCTGCGTTTCAGAAGTGGCACGGCTCGTCAGCTCCCTCCCGCCCTACCTCCCCAGGGATCCTCTGTCTCTCCATCCTGTGATCCCTGAGGGATGGGCTCCTGGCTGGGCTCCTCTTACCCGGCCCCAGATCCCTTCCCAGCACCAGACCCAGGTCTTTAGCCGCGAGCCCTGCTGCCTCCCTGGCCTCACCGTGAGATGCCCAGAACGGGGCCCTGCCCATCTTCTCCCCCGTTCTCCTAGGGCTACAGCCCCCATTGTCACCATGCCTTTTCCCCTCACGGGACAGTGAGGGCTGTAGCTCTAGGGGAATGGGGGAGAACAGGGGCAGGTGGGCCCTCAGAGACCTGCTGGACAACAGCCCTGAGGCTGGGCCAGGCGTCCCCTCACCCTGTGGCCATAACCCTTGCATCTCACCGGGGTTGTCTCCAAGTAGACAGGGCCAGACCCTCAGGCTGCCCCGCTCCTCTTGTGCTCACTTGCCGACAGAACTGCTGAGCGCCCAGGGGCCTGACCTAGCCCAGTCTC
The DNA here is from genome assembly GCF_000001405.40 of Homo sapiens. NCBI lineage: Eukaryota > Metazoa > Chordata > Mammalia > Primates > Hominidae > Homo > Homo sapiens. The sequence continues at coordinate 2,165,142 of NT_187614.1, read as the reverse complement.
CATTCCCACCGGCTCCCTAGATGGGCCCCACACCTCTGGCCTAACAACCTCGGGCTGGACCTGCAGGGGAGTCAGGGAGGAGTTCTGTCCCTGGAAAGGAGGTTGACCCGACCTGGTGAGACATGTCCTGCGTCAGAAAGGCCTTTCTAAAAGCAAACCCATCCCTGAGCTGAGACAGGTGCTTTAGGGGTGAGGGGAGTGCAGAGGACTCACTGTACAATCCCCAAATGATCGACGTTGTTGTTGTAGCTTCGAAAAGGCTTAGGCCCCTTGTCCTCTGGCAGCCCAGCTCGGTGTCCCTGTAGCCCAGAGGGAGCCTTGGTGAGGGGTCCAAGGTAAAGGGTGCAAGGGCCTGGGGGCATTGGCCACCCGTCCCTGCCCTGTGCTCCTAGGGAGCCCAGGACCCTTTGACCAGGGCACACTGGAAGAGGCCTCCCTCCAAGAAGCAGACCGACTTGTACCTTTTCGTATTTCATAATGATGTCCTCTCGCTCTTGTGCCCACCAACTGCCCGCGACCTCTACCACGTCCATCCTGTGAGACAGAATTGTCTAAAGGTCACACTGTACGCGGCGGCTTCGGAGAACACCTGAACCGCTCTCGCCGGGCTCCCAGATGCTGGCTGGCTGCGTAACCCCCATTCCACCGCCGCCCCCAGGGAAAAAGGGGCCAGACCCAGTGGCCCACAGCTGCTCCAGTCTCTGGAGTCTCAAGTCCCAAGCAGGGGTGGGCATCTTCCCAAGGACTTGAGTACAGTGGGACCTAGACAGAGAATCCTGTTGTCCCCCAATGCCATGAAATGGGGACACACCGGCCCCAGCAGGTTGAATGGTTTCCACCTGCCAAGGGTGAAGGGCCCATGATGGGCTATTCCAGGGATGTGGAGGCAGACTGGGGTCAGCGACCAGAGGTCTCTGTGCAATCGGCCTCCTGGGATGCTCAGGGCCTCAGCGATGCCCAGTTTCCTACAGGGAACAAGATCTCTCCCGACTGCTCGGTTCTACTCCGCTCATCACTTTGGCTACCGTGGCTCTTCAGTCTGAACAGTGAAGCCACTTTAGGAATAACGCCTGTTGAGCAGGAGGGTGTTGGGTTTGGGGGATGAGGAAGATCTATTGTACGCATGGAAACCACGTCTCTCGCGGAGGGACTGTGGAGTCCACCATTCTGAGCCGTCCCAACAGGAGGAGGCTTCATTTTCCTGGGTCACTGAGGAAGAACAGTGGGTCCTTGGTCCTGGAGAACAGCTGGATGGACCGTCCCTCCTGGGAATACTCGAGGCAAAAGGAGGGCGAGGCCTCAAGAGGACCACGCAGAGCAAGAAATACCTGGGGAGAACCCTAGTGCCCGGACCCCTTTGAACACAAGGGAAGATAGTCTCCCCTCAGCCAGCCCTCCAGGGCTCCTTCATTTTCCACAGCTGCCCAAGGGCAGCAGGCTCCCCCGGACAAGGGACCATGTGTGTTCAGTGGGGCCCACAGCGACCATCAGGACCCAGCTTAGGGCACAGAGGTGTTCTGAGGACCGTCAGTGGATCTGTACCAGTGGCTCTATACCAGTGGCTCTGCCAGGACCAGGCTCTGCCCCATCGGGATGGGAAACCTGGGCAGATTTGGGATCTAGGGCAGGGAGGTCACAGGGTTCAGGCCTGAATTCCAGCACAGCACACGGCAGGGCTGAGAGCAAAACTCAGGGTCATGTCCGGATTCCCAGGCCGGTTACTGCCTCTCTGACCCCAGACGTCTCATCTGTCGAATGGGGACATTTGGGAACAGCACCCACTCTACGAAGCCACCATGGAGACGAAAGAGCCAATCGTCTACACGGGCAGTGTAGAACGGGCGCCTGGTGAGTGCTCAGGGATGACCCTCCTCGGTAGCTGCCCCACAGAGGCCAACACCGCCCGCACCGTAGCCACTGTCCCCAAGTCCGCCTGGAGGGAAGAGAGCAGGTCACGCTCACCTGATTCTGATGAATCAGCTGGCCTGGGTCATGCCTCTCAGGGAGAAAACCTTTGAGTCCACAGAGCTGCTCACAGATACCACTGCCTGTGTGTAACTGCTGTAGACCACTGAGGCAGGCCAGAGAGCAGATAGGTGCTAAGCACCAGTGACATTCTGAGGTCATGGCACGAATCACAGTGGGGCCTTGCCCGGGTCAGCAGCGCCCAGAGTCAGGGTCCTCCGCTGCCTGAGGCGTCAACATGCCTGCCTGCAACGTGTTTGTGCACGTGCGTGCACACGTGTATGTGGGTAAACATGTCTGTGCACGTGTGTGTTGCTTCTCTGGCCAGGCCCGGCTGCCCCACTCATGTGTGCACCCAGTTCCTCATCACTGTCACCCCCGAGGCCCAGGGCCAGCATCAGAGCATCCATGGCTGCTCCCTAACCTCAGCCCTCCCCGCCCAGGGTGGTCCTGGGATACACATAGGGGTGGAGGGAAGTGACTGCTGCTGTTGGATCTCAGAATACAAAAGCTAATACTATTACCTAATGGTCTTTTTAGTGTATCTAATGGTATCGCTTTTTCATTTCTGATATTTTAACTGGGTATTTCTCTCCATGACCCTTGGATATTCTAGCTAGAGGATCCTGTGGGGAAAGTGCCGAGCACACAGTAGGGGCTCACTCTTCTAGACATGTTATCTAAAACCTGGTTCATCTGTCCTTCCACGCAGGGCCTAGGGGATGCCAAATTCCAGGGTCCAGAAAGAGCTTGGGATAAAATGAAACTTCAAGGGGACGGCTTTGACCTGGGCTGAGTCTGTCTGTGCCATCCAACTGGAGTCTCAAGTCCTGAGGCAGGACGTCCAGATGCCCCAGTGCAGGGCCCTCCTGATCAACACCTGCTCCCCTGTACTCATTAGCAACCTCACCCACCCTACTCTCAAAGCACACTTGGCTCTCGTATCCAGGAGCTCTGCATCTATAGATTCGGCAACAGCAGATGGAAAATATTCAGAAAATAAATTGGATGGTTATGTTTCTATTGAACATGTGCAGACTTTGTTCTTGTCATCATTCCCTAAAGAATACAGTATCACGACCATTTATGTAGCATCTGCATTGTATTACACATCATAATCTAGTAACGGTCTAACGTATACGGGAGGATGCGCATAGCTTATACGTAAATACTAGGCCATGTTCTATCAGAGACTTGAGCATCCATGGATTTTGGCATTCCCGGGGACCCTAGAACTAATCCTCCATGGATACCAAGGGATGACTGTATATACTCACTCAGGAAGGCTTCTCATTGGAGGAAGGGCCCGGTTCAGGACAGACAGGGACATCATCCCTGGACTACTGTCCATCCATCCATTCATCCATTGGCACCACCCTCTAGGACTGTCCCAATGACAGCCCTAGCAAGTGGAGATAAGAAAAAAGACTGGCTCAAATGGTACAGCTTTGAGGTCTTGGAAGATGTTGCACCAGTATGAGAATAGGGGGTCAGTTTCCTCCAGGATCCAGAAAGCATATCAGGCAGGCTCGGGGAGAGGAAAGGAACACGGCCTCTCCAGCAGCCACACAGGCCTGCAGTAGGATGGGGCTGGGGCTGGGGCTGGGGCTGGGACTGGGGCTGGCCCCGTTTATCACTTGGGCCTCATGAGGGGAAAAGAAAGGACAGGGGGCAGAGGAGGAGCATGGGGGCAGCGGGTTGCCTAAGGAGAAGGCGCCTCAGGGAAGGGGTATTAGTTTGTTTTCACACTGCTATAAAGAAATACTTGAGCCTAGGTAATTTATAAAGGAAAGAGGTTTAATCGACTCCCAGTTCAGGGAACTTACAGTCATGGCAGAAGGCGAAGGGGAAGCAGGCACCTTCTCCACAAGGCGGCAGGAGGGAGTGAGCGGAGAAGCAGGAAGTGCCACACTTTCAAACCATCAGCTCTCCTGAGAACTCCCGCGCTATCAGGGGAGCAGCAGGGGGGAAACTGTCCCCAGATCCCATCCCCTCCCACCAGGTTCCTCCCTTGACACAGGAGGATTATAATTCCAGATGAGATTTCGGTGGGGACACAGAGCCCAACCTGTGAGGGTCTCAATCTATCTTGTAGCTCCCCTGGGGCTGGGGCTGAGTACAGTTCTGCTGGCCCTGCTCTACAGCACGTGGGGACTCTGCCTGTGTGCCCCCATCTGCTCTTCCTGGGGATGGTGGCTGCTTCCTCAAGAGGAGGGTGGATCTGCTCTCCTGCCCACCCCTCTCCAGGGCCTTTTGGAGCCCTGGCCACGTCCTCCCCGGGTAAGGGCAGGAAACCGGGCTCCTTGCCCTTCTTGCTGCTTGGGTGACAATCCTGGGGTCATCCATAGGCCCCATCACTGTTCCCGCTTCTAAATGGAGGGTATTTTGGCACATCTTCCTGGCGGGGTCCGGGGCCTCATCCCTGTTATTTATTCTATCTTGGTAAAGCCAGGTTAAGACATCTGGGCAAGGAGATAGTAGAGTGGCCCCCAGGAAGGGTGGGTGGAGGGCCTGGCCTTTGGGCTTGCCTGGAGCAGGGTGGGAGGGGGCAAGGTTACCAGGAAGCAGGGCTGTCAGGGCCAAAATCAGGAGGCGGTGATAATGCTGGTGGGGGGACAGGGCTGTGTGCTTGGCTTGGGGTGGGGCATGAGAGCCAAGGTTTGTCAGCACGCAGAGGGGTGGCTGACTCATGGACTAGGGGCTATGGAACCCAGAGGCTGCCCTTAGTTCCTGGATCCTGGGAGACTTCTGGAGCCTGGGTGTGGGGCAGCCTAGGGGTGGAGGTGGGGCAGACAGGGGTAGGGGTAGGGGTAGGACTTGCATGGCAGGGTGCAGGGTAGGAAACCAGCCAGGGGCCAGTTTGCATTGGCGGCTCCCATCCCCATCCCCACCCCCAAGCCCACCCCTACCCCCACCCTGCTGCAGAGATGGGCCTGGGCTGCTGTCCTCTGCTTTGGCCTCAGCAGATCACACGATGGAAGCTGGCAGCCCCGTGGGCACCACTCGAGCCAGCTGTGACCTGCAGTTTCTGCTTCCTGGAGTGTGGGGCGCCCACTCAGGAGAGCACGGCACACCCCACACCCCTCATTTTGAGGATGCTGGGAGGTGGGGACCAAGGTCCTGCAGCCCTCTGCTTGCGCTATGAAAGGTAGCCTAGGAGTCCTGTGTCCGCCCATCCACGTGGGGCCCCAGGAGCCTGAACAGTGGCAGGCAGAGAGATGAGGAGGGTGAGAGAAGTGGAAAAGAAGGAGAGAGAAAGAGAGATGGGGAGAAGGGAGTGAGATAGAGAGAGAGAGGATGAGAGATAAGGAGAGAGACAGAGGAGGCTGAGAGGAAAAGGAGCGAGAGAGACAGGCAGAGAGACACAAAAGGCAAAGAGAGAGACAGGGAGAGACGAGCATGAGTAGGAGGTCGGATCACTCTCGATCCCAGTCCCCAGTGAAAACCGTAGGTCGCCATCACCTAACTACGCGTGCAATAAAGTCTTCTGCCTGCTGCTTACAGCCCGAGAACCCTTTTCCGAGAGAATAAAATCTTTGACCGTTGCCCTTTCTCGCCGGAGTTTGCTCGTGTCTTCTGATGAACTGTGATGTCTCACCTATCGCCTTCCTGGGCTCAAGGATCCACGAAAAGCCGACGACTCTTTTGGGGAGGCTCTGCAGTGCCTTCATCTCACTAGGCTCCCCAGGAAGCTTGCGAACTTGGCTTGAGCCCTAAGCAGCCGAGTATGTGCCGGGCCTCTGCTTCTCTCTTTCAGTAAGAGGGAGAACCAAGAAAGAGGCTGAAGCATGGTCTGCAGAGAAGGCACTTGTGCAAACACCAGGAGAATGAGGGGCCTGAGTTGTCTTCATTTCTCCTAAAAACACGCATTTCCTCCCAGGCCACCCTAGTGAGGGCATGAAGCACAGCGTGTGTGTGTGTGTGTGTGTGTGTGTGTGTGTGTGTGTTTGCAGGAATATGCATGTGTATGTGTGTGCATGTGTGTGTGTGCAGGTATATACATGTGAATGTATTTATGTATGTGCATCTGTGTGCATGTGTGTGTGCATGTGTGTGTGCAAGTATATGCATGTGCATGTATGTGCATGTGTGCGTGTGTGTGTGTGCGCCTGTATGTGTGTGTTGCAGGGCTTTACAGCGGACAGGATGTGGGAGGGCAGCTGCAGCTCCAAGCTGCAAGTCTTTCTGATAGAATGGTTAAGATTCCCTGGACCACAGAAAGAATGTTTTCATTTGCACCTATTTTTATTAGCATTTAAAGCTGTATTCTTCGTAGCATGTGAAGCTTAAGTTGCTTAACTATTCTTAGAAACATTTACACCAGCGGTCCCCAAACGTTTTGGCACCAGAGAGCAGTTTTCTTGAAGACAACTCTTCCACGGACCTGGGAGAAGGGGAAGGGATGGTGCAGAGATGATTCGAGCCCACTACATTTATTGTGTGCTTTATTTCTGTGATTATTTCACTGTAATATATAATGAAATAATTACACAACTCACCATAACATAGAATCAGTGGGAGCCCTGAGCTTGTTTTCCTGTAATTACGTGGTCCCACTTGGGGGTGATGGGAGACAGTCAGAGATCATCAGGCATTATGTTCTCATAAGGAGCACGCAATCTAGATCCCTGGCATGCTCAGTTCCCAGTTGGGTTCTATGAGAATGGAACGGCACCACTCATCTGACAGGTGGCAGAGCTCATGCGGTAATGCGAGGGATGGGGAGCGGCTGTTTCTACAGATGAAGCTTTGCTCCCTGGCTGGCTGCTCACCTCCTGCTGTGTTGCCTGGTTCCTAACAGGTGGGGACCCCTGATTTACCCAGTAAGAGAAACACATTTTTATGTCATTTGAAATTATTCACCCTGCACCACCCAAAATTATCTTGCATACCTACACCCATCCAGGGGTCCTGTAGCACACTTTGGGAGCTGTAGACAGTAAGCCTGGAGCTCCACTGAGCATTCCTTCTCTCCACCATCTGTGGGCTAACAGGCTGTGTTAGTTTCCTAGGGCTGTTTTACAGTACCACAGACTGGGCACCTTCAGCAACAGAATGTTACTGTCTCACAGTACTGGAGGCCGTGGGTCCAAGATCAAGGTGTCATCAGGGTGGGTATTTGTTTTCCACTGGACTGTTGATACATTCTTAGAAGGTTTTTGGTTGCTGTTCACGTTAATTTCTCTTCCTTTCTGCAATTGTTCTCTTTCAGTACTCCCTGATATTTTTCTTCTTGAAGAAGTAGCTAGTTAATTTTGTATTTTAAAATTCTTCCCCTCACCCCAAGAACTTCTACCTTCATAATTGGTTCTCTCTTCATATTTATTTTATACAAGTTATGTGGCTGATTACATTGTTTCTGTCTGTACAGATGGAGAGTTAAGGAATAAAGAGGACAGACAGACTAGGTTACCTCAAACACTGAAATGCTATGATTTGTCCGAAGTCATACACGCATTATCTGACCAGACATATGTGCTTTTTCTCTAGAAGCATTTTGTCATTTTGAATCAAACAGGTCTTCTGAATCTACCTTAATGAAGTTGACAACTTTCAGAGGTTTTCAGTGGTGAAGAGAAACTTGGACAAGGAGATAACTTCCACAAACAGAAAAAGCCTCGTCTCTTCTGGATTCCTTTAATGCCAGTGGTCATCACCAGGGGCAGATTAGCCACCTTTTCCCCGGGCTGGGACCTCCACCTTCTCCTCTACAGGTGTATCACCTTAGAAATCTTCTGCATCTCACTGTCACCCAACACATTTTCTCCTTCCAAGCCTCTGCAGTCTCACGAGTTTGTCTGTATTTTTCTTCTTATAACCTGCCTTGCTACCCTAGCCAGCCTGGATCTCATAGGAGATTAATGGAAATACTCCCAACATTGGGCCTTTCCTGTGCCCCTGTCTTCCTGGTGTATCCTGGCAAAATGCCAGCCCAATCCACAGTCTGTTGTTCTACTTCTGTATCTGAAGGCTAAAGAAAAAGCACCTAGTCATACAGATTAACCCTGTTTTAATGTAACTATTCCATAATTTCAACCTCATCTGAGTACTCAGCCTTGCCTGATGCCTTTGCTTGCCCAGCCCTGTTTAGTTCTCTCATTCTCTTCAACATCTTTAGCAAATCTTCTCCTTCCCCGTCTTGACCTTCCTGTCTCTTCACCTGATACAGAGGTTCTTAGCTCCTACTTCGTTGACAATTTTAAGGTTTTGCTCTCTTCTGTAAATTGACCTATAGGAGTATCCTTCTTTACCCCTTTCCTGTGGTTTTCAGGGGATGGAATATTTGTCCTGAGAAGGCCAATACATCCATCGGACACGTGTCTCTATCCCCATTTGCTACGTAAGTATTTGACTTCAGCCATCCGGTACACTGGCTCTGTCTCTGGTTTACACCTGCTGTCTCTGTGTCAGCACTCATTTCCGCTTTAGCCCATTGACTTTTCCCTCACAACGCTACTGAACTTGTCAATAGGCACATCAGTGATCTCCTACATGCCAAGTCTCGTGGACATTTTTCTTCATGTTGTTTGACTGCTGCTCTGCCTGACTGGATATTATAATCTCCTTTCCTTGAAACCCTAGGCTACTGTAGCACTACACTTTACTGGTTCTCCGCTTACCTTCGTTACATCTCTTTTGTTTTTTTTTTTCCCGGATCCCTCCAGATGTGGCCTAGGAATCCTTTTAAACACAGTGCTCCAGGCAGAAGTTAGTTGGAGGTAGTTCACAAGATGCAATTTATTTGCCATCCACCCTTGCATTTCAACTCCATTATTTGTCCTTGCCATGCCTATCTATAAAAACACTTTCTCCTTCCCAGAGATGGCAGCTAACAAGACCTAGCAAAGAGAAATGGGAATTTTCATTCACAATTTCATAGGGAGAGCAATTGGTAAGATTATTTTACTGCCAAGGGTAATAAAATTAATGAGAGAGTTGAAGAAAGAGGCACGAATTCTGAAACTGTCTAGAACCATCTAAGAGGTAAAGCTGAGGAGTTTTATCCGTATTTGTAGGCTGTGATTATTTTCATAGAAGTACTCTCTGATTTATGGGTATGTCACTGATTACCACTAGAATTGCAGATTGGGCACATTAAGCACATCAGCGTAAAAATCCTTGACATTTTGGCCGGGCGCGGTGGCTCACGCCTGTATTCTCAGCACTTGGGAATGCCGAGGTGGGCGGATCACAAGGTCAGGAGTGCGAGACCAGCCTGACCAACATGGTGAAACCCCGTCTCTACTAAAAATACAAAAGTTAGCCGGGTGTGGCGGCACGTGCCTGCCATCCCAGCTACTCGGGAGGCCGAGGCAGGAGAATTGCTTGAACCCGGGAGGTAGAGGTTGCAGTGAGCCAAGATCTCACTGCTGCACTCCAGCCTGGGCAACAGAGGGAGACTCTGTCTCAAAAAAAAAAAAATCAAAAAAATCCTTGACATTTTAAAAATACCTCTGGCAGGGTTTCAGTGTAGTCATGATATTTAAAATATTACCATGATTTGTCAGTTTCTTAAGTATAATTTTGTTTAGTCGCACGTATGATAAGAACATACAGACTTCTTGCTGGGGGCATTGGCTCATGCCTGTAACGCCTATAATCCCCACTACTCAGGAGGCTGAGTCGGGAGGATTGCTTGAGGTCAGGACTTTGAGACTAGCCTGGACAATAGAGCAAGACTCTGTCTCTTACAACAAACATAATCATAAATAGATTTCTTGGTTTGTGGGGTTAACTTTTTAAATTTTCCTCTCATTAATTTGCCACATTTTTAAAAAATTTTTTGAGATGGAGTCTCACTGTGTCACCCAGGCTGGAGTGCAGTGGCACAATCTTGGCTCACTGCAACCTCTGCCTCTCAGCTTCGAGCGATTCTCCTGCCTCAGCCTCCCGAGTAGCTGGGACTACAGGCGTGTGTCACCACGCTCGACTAATTTTTTGTATTTTTTTAGTAGAGGTGGGGTTTCACCGTGTTAGCCAGGATGGTCTCGATCTCCTGACCTCGTGATCTGCCTGCCTCGGCCTCCCAAAGTGCTGGGATTACAGGCGTGAGCCACCACGCCTGGTCTAATTTGCCACTTTTATCTGACTAAGATACCTTAACTTTATTTATTCCTTGGATTGGTAATACAGTGAAATGATTAGGGCAGGGTTTTGAAACCAGAGAGATCTGGGTTCAAATCTTGGTGTGGGCTGTAGATGTTGGGGGCAATGGCCCTAAATCCTCTGACTTTCCAGTGATTTTTCAATGGGTAAAATAACCCTTACTTTGTGGAATGTTGCAAAGATTAGAGAGGATGTATATAAAATGTTTACCTATTACAGTGCTTGATATGTAGAAGATGAATTCTACAATTACACTGACCCATTTTGCTCATTGCGGCTTTAGAATAGAAAAGTATACTCATACACTAGAATTGTGCACCTAGAGCTAAGTGACTCCAGCCCTGTGGAACCCTTCAATGCCAAAATGGCGTGTAGGACTAGATAGATGAATGTCACCTGACTCTGTCTATTAAAACTCATTGTGTTGGGCCGGGAATGGTGGCTCACGTCTGTAATCCCAGCACTTTGGGAGGCCGAGGTGGGCGGATCACGAGGTCAGGAGATCGAGACCATCCTGGCTAACATGGTAAAACTCCGTCTCTACTAAAAATACAAAAAATTAGCCGGGCGTGGTGGCGGGCGCCTGTAGTCCCAGCTACTAGGGAGGCTGAGGCAAGAGAATGGCGTGAACCCGGGAGGCGGAGCTTGCAGTGAGCTGAGACCGCGCCACCACACTCCAGCCTGGGTGACAGAGCGAGACTCGGTCAAAAAAAACACAAAAAAACCCCCCAAAAAACCAACCAAACAAAAAAAAACACCTCACTGTATTTTATTATTATTATTTTCGAGATGGAGTCTTGCTCTGTCGCCCAGGCTGGAGTGCAGTGGGGTGCAATCTCGGCTCACTGCAACCTCTCCCTCCCAGGTTCAAGGGATTCTCCTGCCTTAACCTCCCGAGTAGCTAAGATTACAGGCACCTGCCACCACGCCCAGCTAATTTTTTGTAGTTTTAATAGAGATGGGGTTTTGCCATGTTGGCCAGCCTGGTCTCCAACTCCTGACCTCAGGTGAACCACCCGCCTCGACCTCCCAGAATGCTGGGATTGCAGGCATGAGCTGCCGAGCCTGGCCAAATCTGAAATACGTTTGATGCCAGGGTAGCCTTAGTGGAGTGAAATGCTTATTAACAATGAGAGTATTTGAAAAATATGAGATATACAATCATCAGAATTGAATGACCTTTCTAAGGAATGGTTTTATCCTAATTAAGTAATGATCAGAGTCGGGCGAGGTGGCTCACGCCTGTAATCCCAGCACTTGGGGAGGCTGAGGTGGGCGGATCACTTGAGGTCAGGAGTTCAAAACCAGCCTGGCCAACATAGTGAAACACCGTCTCTACTAAAAATACAAAAAAGTAGCGGGTATGGTGGCGCGTGTCTGTAATTCCAGCTACTCGGGAGGCTGAGGCAGGAGAATTGCTTGAACCCCGGAGGCGGAGGTTGCAGTGAGCCGAGGTCGCGCCACTGCACTATAGTCTGGGTGAGAGCAAGACTCCGTATCAAAAAAAAAAAAAAATCCGATTATAACATCTGTGAATGGAATAATTTGTAGACTCTTGGCATGCAAGAATTTGATGTTAGCTTTCTCAACTGTTTATGAACCGTAAAGGTTCATGATGCGTAAGTTCTGTTGAGATGGAAACTTGAACGCTGTGTGCGGTGGAGGCGAGGTTGAGGACTTCGCTTGGCGGATGAGTAAGCCTCACCCATCTGGACAGCAGCATTTACACTGCAACTTCACTTTTAACTTCGTATTTGCTGCTTGTTGTTATTTACGTGGTAACTAGCATGAATGATTCACATACACACATACGTATTCTTTGTCTCCTTGTGAAATATTACACCAAGGAGAAAACACCATTATGAAGCTAGTGATAGTAAAGTAGTCCCCAGACACAGTGCTCTTCAGTGCAAACGTTTGAAGTTTATGGAAGAAGCTCTGTGGCAGTAATAGCCATAAACTTTGGAATATGCAAAGATCTTGAAGTATATCTCTCACTTATACCAGGGATTTTTGTAGAGTAGAGAATTGAATTTTGAGCTTATGAGAGCTGGTAGCATTGGATTTTTTCGCTTTTTGTCTATCAATCCATTCATGCGGTTTTTTTTTTTTTTTTTTTTTTTTTTTTTTTTTTGAGATGGAGTCTGGCTCTGTTGACCAGGGTGGAGTGCAGTGGCCCGATCTGGCTCACTGCAAGCTCCACCTCCCGGGTTCACGCCATTCTCCTGCCTCAGCCTCAGGAGTAGATGGGACTACAGGCTCCTGCCACCACGCCCCGATAATTTTTTGTACTTTTAGTAGAGACGGGTTTTCACCGTGTTAGCCAGGATGGTCTCGATCTACTGACCCTGTGATCTGCCCGCCTCGGCCTCCCAAAGTGCTGGGATTACAGGTGTGAGCCACCGCGCCCGGCCACCATTTATGGGGTATTTTAAGATTTCATGTCAAAGCTCCATTTGTCTCAGATGGTACAATTGTCTGCCGTGTTGAAATAGGTGGTAACGCAAATTAATATTACCCTGAAACAAGACTTTATTTTATTTTTTATTTTTTAAATTTTTTAAAATTATACTTTAAGTTCTGGGATACATGTGCAGAACGTGCAGGTTTGTTACATGGGTATACATGTGCCATGGTGGTTTGCTGCACCTATCGACTTGTCGTCTAGGTTTTAAGCCCCACATGCATTAAGTATATGTCCTAATGCTATCCCTCCCCTTGCCCGCCATCCCCTGACAGGCCCTGGTGTGTGATGTTCCCCTCCCTGTGCCCATGTGTTCTCATTGTTCAACTCCCACTTTTGAGTGAGAACATGTGGTGTTTGGTTTTCTGTTCCTGTGTTGGTTTGCTGAGATGATGGTTTCCAGCTTCATCCATGTCCCTGAAAATGACATGAACTCATTCTTTTTTATGGCTGCATAGTATTCCATGGTGTATATGTGCCACATTTTCTTTATGCAGTCTATCCTTGATGGGCATTTGGGTTGGTTCCAAGTCTTTGCTATTGTAAATAGTGCTGCAATAAACATACATGTGCATGTGTCTTTATAGTAGAATGATTTACAATCCTTTGCGTATATAGCCAGTAATGGGATTGCTGGGTCAAATGGTATTTCTGGTTCTAAAAGTCTTAAAATATCCTCTAAAGTAGATTTCAAAATACAACATACATGAGCCTGCAGGAGACCTGCTCACAGAAGGCATCTGTAATTTATAGGAAGATGATGCTGACACTAGATTAACCATGCATTTAGCACACCTCAGTTACAGTGAAAATCCAATTTTGTGCAAAAAGTGGGAAATAAATGGAGGCGTGTTTGCTTTACGAGAATTTATTTGATTTTTGTAAATAGAAAATGGTTTTATTACATGTAAAATATAATTTCAATTGGTCACTGTGAGGAATCGCCACAGTCTTTGGTAATGATGGAACTAATTTGCACTCCCACCAACGGTGTAAAAGCATGCCTGTATCTCCACATCCTTTCCAGCATCTGTTGTTTCCTGACTTTTTAATGATCACCATTCTAAATGGCGTGAGATGGTATCTCATTGTGGTTTTGATTTGCATTTCTCTAATGAGCAGTGATGATGAGCTTTTTTTCATATGTTTGTTGGCCGCATAAATATCTTCTTTTGAGAAATGTCTGTTCATATCCTTCACCCTCTTTTTGATGGTTTTTTTTTCTTATAAATCTGTTTAAATTCCTTATAGATTCTGGATATTAGACCTTTCTCAGATGGATAGATTGCAAACATTTTCTCCCATTCTGTAGGTTGCCTGTTCACTCTGATGATTTTTTTTTTTTTTTGCTGTGCAGAAGCTCTTTAAGTATTTATTTTAATATTTGTGTAATAATGTCCAGTTTTACCAAGCAGAATGATCTACATAGGAGCTTTTATGCAGAACTCATTGTTCTTCACCAAGAGCTTGTTAGTCCAGTAGTAAAATCAAATCCATCCTCAGTTGCTATGTGGCTTTGTTAAACAGTTAAACTTGAGTTGGAGATGCTCTGCTATAGGGAGGAATTTTCGCTCCCCAGATGTGTTTGTATATAATATAATGTATTTTTCCCCTCTCCCCTGTGGAAACTTTGTGGAAAGATTATTTCAGTGTTAACCCTGATTGACATTTTAGTAATCGAACAAGTGTTTGTTACTCCTTTACTCATTCATTTATCAAGTGCTTAATGGGTGCCTTCTGGGTGCCAGACACTGCATTAGACTCTGGGGAATCAAAGATGAATCACACTTAGTCTCTACCCCCTGGGAATTTATTCTGGTTAGAGAAATTGTAAACACATAATCATGATCCTATGGGATATTTTTAAAGTATGAAATGAGATAATGTGTGTGAAAAAGCTTTGTAAGCTTCACACATTTAAGATTTTTTCTCCAGTGCATAGCATGATGTCTGACATATTTTAACTGCTCGTTACACTCTTGAATGAACTGGGGAAGAGCCAAGAGTTATGAGAGCATAATACTAGAGTGTAGATGGATTAGTTCTGCCTGGATGGACAGGAGGGACGTGGAGGCTTCCAAGAATATAACTTTTGAACTGGACTTGGAAGTATAAGTTGTTTATGTTAAGAATCGAGAAAGGAGGTTCTGGGGGGACAGCTATCAGTCGTTAAAGTGCCTGGATTTAGATGGACCACAAATCTACAGGCTTATGCAGTTTACAAGATGCTTTTGTTTACAGTATCTCTTTTGAGCCTTATGACAGGTCCATGAAGTGAGTTCATACAACCAAGACAAGCCTTGACCAGAACCTGGGTTCTAGGGTGTAAGAGACAGCATCTGGCCAGTTTATTCTTTACACTTTCACAAATGTTATGATTGCTAATATTATTGTATTTCTATTATTACATTTGTGAAAGCATGGTTTTCTGAGTTACAAGTATATGAAAGACAAATGTGTACATGTAATAAAATACATAGTTTTCTTTTTTTCTTTTTTTTTTTTGAGACAGAGTCTCGCTGGGTCCCAGGCTGGAGTGCAGTGGTGCGATCTCGGCTCACTGCAATCTCTGCCTCCGAGGTTCAAGCTATTTTCCTGCCTTAGCCTCTCAAGGAGCTGGGATTACAGGCGCCTGCCAGCATGCCTGGCTAATTTTTGTATTTTTAGTAGAGCAGGGGTTTCACCATGTTGGCCAGGCTGGCCTCGAACTCCTGACCTCGTGATCCGCCCACCTCGACCTCCCAAAGTGCTGGCATTATAGACGTGAGCCACCGTGCCCAGCCATGGTTTTCTTCTGATTTCTGTAAAGCAGGTTAGCTTGTATTGATACATGAGGAGGTTTTTTTCAGAGGTTTCAGAAACAAGCTAGAAAATGCTTCCATAATATTTCAAAGATTCTTTATGATTCAAGCAGTTTTTCAGGATTTTCAGTCCATTTAAACCATTTATCTAACAAACACTAAGTAGAAACTATGAGCTCTACATTCTCTTGTAAGCTTTCTTTTTCTGTTATAGTTGAGCAAATTTGTTGACATTTTTATTTTTATATTTATTTATTTATTTATTTTTGAGTCAGAGTCTCACTCTGTTGCCCAGGCTGGAGTGCAGTGGCACGATCTCAGCTCACTGCAAGCTCTGCCTCCCCAGTTCACGCCATTCTCCTGCCTCAGCCTCCTGAATAGCTGGGACTGCAGGCGCCTGCCACCATGCCCAGCTAGTTTTTTAGTAGTTTTAGTAGAGACGGGGTTTTACCGTGTTTGCCAGGATGGTCTCGATCTCCTGACCTCGTGATCCACCTGCCTCGACCTCCCAACATGCTGGGATTACAGGTGTGAGTCACCATGCCCGGCCCAGATGTAGCTCTTTTTTTTTTTTTTTTTTTTTTTTTTTTGAGACGGAGTCTCGCTCTGTCGCCCAGGCTGGAGTGCAGTGGCGGGATCTCGGCTCACTGCAAGCTCCGCCTCCCGGGTTCACGCCATTCTCCTGGCTCAGCCTCCCAAGTAGCTGGGACTACAGGCGCCCGCCACTACGCCCGGCTAATTTTTTGTATTTTTAGTAGAGACGGGGTTTCACCGTTTTAGCCGGGATGGTGTCGATCTCCTGACCTCGTGATCCGCCCGCCTCGGCCTCCCAAAGTGCTGGGATTACAGGCGTGAGCCACCGCGCCCGGCCACCAGATGTAGCTCTTATGTTTAGGTCTTTGATCCATTTTGAGTCAATTTTTGTGTGCGGTGTAAGAGAAGTGTCCACCTACATTCTTTTGCATGTAGATAATGCAGTTTTCCCAAAATTATTTGTTGAAAAGAGTCTCTTTCCCACTGAATGATCCTGGCACTTTTGTTGAAAATCACTTCACCATATAAGCGAGAGTTTATTTTTGAACTCTCTATTCTCTTTCAGTGCTCTGTTTTTATGCCAGTACAACACTGTGTTTTGTTTTTGTTTTTGTTTTTTTGAGGTGGAGTTTCACTCTTGTTGCCCAGGCTGGAGTGTAGTGGCCTGATCTCAGCTCACTGCAACCTCTGCCTCCTGGGTTCAAGCGATTCTCCTGCCTCAGCCTCCCGAGTAGCTGGGATTACAGGCATGTGCCACCACACCCGGCTAATTTTTGTATTTTTAGTAGACACGGGGTTTCTTTATGTTGATTAGGCTGGTCTCAAACTCCCGACCTCAGGTGATCCGTCCGCCTCGGCCTCCCAAAGTGCTGGGATTACAGGCATGAGCCACCAAGCCTGGCAACACTGTTTTGATTACTGTAGCTTTGTAGTAAGTTTTGAAATCACGAAGTGTGATGTCTTCAAATTTATTCTTTTTCAAGATTGTTTTGACTATTTGAGGTCCCTTGAGATTCTACATGAGTTTTAGAATGTATTTTTTTTTAATTTCTGCAAAAAACATTCTTGGGATTTTGACAGGGATTTTATTGAATGTGTAGATTGCTTTGGAGTAGTAACATCTTAGCAACATTAAGGTGTTGCAATCCAAGAACATGAAATGTCTTTCCATTTATATATGTTGTCTTCAGTTTACTTCAGTAAAGTTTTATGATTTTTCTGTGTACAAGTCCTGCATTTTCTTCATTGCTGACTTATATATACTTGTTTTTTTTTTTTTTTTTTTCTGAGATGGAGTTTCACTCTTGCTGCCCAGGCTGGAGTGCAATGGCGCGATCTTGGCTCACGGCAACCTCCGCCTCCTGGATTGGAGCAATTCTCCTGCCTCAGCTTCCTGAGTAGCTGGGATTACAGGCATGCACCACCACGCCCGACTAATTTTGTATTTTTAGTAGAGACGGGGTTTGTCCATGTTGGCCAGGCTGGTCTTGAACTCCCGACCTCAGGTTCCTGGTGCTTCCTATTGCACCATCTTCCCAGAATCCTCTCCCTTCCTGTTGTGCTTTTATAGCCACACCTGCTTTCCTCCTGCCGCCAGACTTAGTCGTAACTGCTAATGTATTCCTCATTTTGGTAATTTTGTTATCTCAAGGATGTTATATAAATGGGATGATAGAACTTGTAATTTTCTGAAGGCCAGGTGCCTGGCTCACGCCTGTAATCCCAGCACCTTGGGAGGCTGAGGTGGGTGGGTTACTTGAGGTCAGGAGTTGGAAACCAGCCTGGCCAACATGGTGAAACCCTGTCTCTACTGAAAATACAAAAATTACAGGGATTAACCTGTAATCCCAGCTGCTTGGGAGGCTGAGACATGAGAATTGCTTGAACCCAGGAGGTGGAGGTTGCAGTGAGCCGAGATTGCACCACTGCACTCCACCCTGGGTGACAGAATGAGATTCTGGTCTAAAAACAAAACAAAACAAAACAACATGTAATTTTCTGGGATTGAGTTTTTTACACTAAGTTTAATTCCTTGGAGATTCCTCCGGGTTGTTGCTTAGTGTTTGTTACGGTTATACTGCACTTTGTTTACTTATTTGCTGAAAGATAATCTCAGTTATTTCCACTTGTAGGTTATTATGAATAAAACTGTTAGAAACATCACACAGGTTTTCATGTGAACGTAAGTCTTCATTTAGTAATGTTGATAGGTGGGTAGTGATATCTCATTGTGTGTATTATTATTATTATTATTATTATTATTTTTGAGACAGGGTCTTGCTCTGTTACCTAGGCTTTGAAGGGCAGTGTCATGATCATGTCTCATTGCCACCTTAACCCTCTGAGTAGCTGGGACTATGGGTGTGTGCTACACTACACCCAGCCAATGTTTTTAGAAATATGTTTTTGAAGAGATAAGGTCTTGCTATGTTGCTCAGGCTGGTTTTGAACTTCTGAGCTCAAGTCATGCTCCAGACTGGTCTCCTAAAGTGCTGGGATTACAGACCACTACACACACCTCATTGTGTTTTTAATACGTATTTACTTAGTGGCTAATGATGTTGACCATCTTTTCGGGTGCTTATTTGGTATCTTTTTTTAAAAATATGGAACACTTTAAGAATTTGCATGTCATCACTGTGCAGGGAGCATGCTAATCTTCTCTGTATTGATTCAATTTTGGTATATGTGCTGCTGAGACAAGCAGTAGTACCTTTATATATCCCCTGTTCATCACTTTTGGCTATTTTCTTTTTTTGAGACGGAGTCTCCCTATCTCTACTCAAAAACAATACAAAAATTAGCCAGGCATGGTGGCACATGCCTGTAGTCCCAGCTACTTGGGAGGCTGAGGCAGGAGAATTGCTTGAACCCAGGAAGCGGAGGTTGCAGCGAGCTGAGATTGCACCACTGTACTCCAGCCTGAGCGACAGAGTGAGACTCTGTCAAAAAAAAAAAAAAAGTATTCCACTCTTGCTGGGTGGAATGTCCTGTAAATGTCCATGGATCCAGTTAGTTCATGGGGTTGAAGTAAATACTCTTGCTGTGATCATATGTATAGTTTTAACAGTTGTTACAGAGAAATACTGAAGTCTCTATAGTGGATTTGTGTATTTCTTCATTCTGTTCCATCAGGTTTTCTTTCACAGATTTCGTAGTCTGGTTTTTTGCTGCATACACATTTAGGAATGTTATGTCCTCTTGGTGGATTGACCCCTCTCTCAATAAATAATTTCCTTCTTAGTCTCTAGTACTTTTTCTTTGCTCTGAAGTATACTGTTTCTGATATTAATATAGTCATCCACTTTTCCTTAGTGAATGGTTGCATCATATACCTTTTGAATTTTTTTTTTTTTTTTGCTTTCAATGTGCTTAGATTGTTATATTCGAAGTAAATGTCTTGTACACAAAACAGTGTTAGGTTATGTTTTCTTTCTTTCTTTTTTTTTTTTTTCTTGAGATGGAATCTTGCACTGTCACCTGGGCTGGAGTGCAATGGCGTCATCTTGGTTCACTGCAACCACCACCTCCCGGGTTGAACCAATTCTCCTGCCTCAGCCTCCCGAGTAGCTGGGATTACAGGTGCCCGCCACCATGCCTGGTTAATTTTTTATATTTTTAGTAGAAACTGGGTTTCACTATGTTGACCAAGCTGGTCTCGAACACTTGACCTCTTGATCTGCCTTCCTTGGCCTCCCAAAGTGCTGGGATTACAGGTGTGAGTCACTGTGCCTGGCCTTTTTTTTTTTTTTTTTTTTGAGACACGGTCTTGCTCTGTCACCCAGGCTGGACTGCAGTGGCACAATCATGGTTTACTGCAGCCTGGACCTCCTGGGCTCAAACAATTCCCCCACCTCAGCCTCCCAAGTAACTGGGACCACACATGTGCACCATCACACCCGGCTAATTTTTTTATTATTTGTAGGGACGAGGTCTTGTTATGTTGCCCAGCCTGGTCTCGAACTCATGGGCTCAAGAGACCCTTCTGTCATGGCCTCCCAAAGTGCTGGCATTACAGGCGTGAGCCACCATGCTTGGCTGTAGGTTATGTTTTTTAAATCTAGTTTGTCAATCTTTGTCTTTTTCTTTTTTTTTTTTTTTTTGAGACGGAGTTCATCACTCTGTCACCCAGGGTGGAGTGCAGTGGTATGATCTCGGCTCACTGCAACCTCTGCCTAGTGGGTTCAAACAATTCTCCTGCCTCAGCCTCCAGAGTAGCTATTACAGGTGCCCACCACCATGACTGCCTAAATTTTTTTTTTTGTATTTTTAGTAGAGACAGGGTTTCACCATGTTGGCCAGGATGGTCTCGAACACCGAACCTCAAGTGATCTGCTCTCCTCAGCCTCCCAAAGTGCTTGGATTATGGTTGTGAGCCATTGCACCTGGCCAGTTTTTGTCTTTTATTTGCTGTTTTTAGGTATTTGGGCCATTTACATACTTACAGATGTTGTCAGAATCCTTTTTTTTTTTTTTTTTTTTTTTTTTGAGACAAAGTTTTACTCTTGCCCAGGCTGGAGTGCAGTGGCTCAATCTTGGCCTACTGCAACCTCTGCCTCCCGGGTTCAAGCAGTTCTTGTGCCTCAGTCTCCCAAGTAGCTGGGATTACAGGCATGTGCTACCACGCCCAGCTAATTTTTATATTTTTAGTGGAGTTGGGGTTTCACCATGTTGGCCAGGCTGGTCTTGAACTCCCGGCCTTAGGTGATTCACCCACCTTGGCCTCCCAAAGTGCTAGAATAACAGGTCTGAGCCACCACGCCTCGTTTTAGTTTTAGTTTTTTGATTGTTCTTTTTCCTGCTTTCTTTTGAGTTACTTGAACATTTTTGGAATCCCATTTTTCTTGTCGTATTTTTTTTCTACCCCAATTCACTACGCCAAAACCATTTTTCTTTATTGTATTTTATATCTGCTTATTTTAGTTCATTGATATGGTTTGGATATTTGTTCCGCTGAATTTTTTTTTCTTCTTTTTTGAGACAAACTTTCGTTCTTGTTGCCCAGGCTGAAGTGCAATGGCGTGATCTCAGCTCACTGCAACCTCCGCCTCCCAGGTTCAAGTGATTCTCCTGCCTCAGCCTCCTAAGTAGCTGGGATTACAGGCATGTGCCACCATGCCCGGCTAAGTTTGTATTTTTAGTAGAGACGGAGTTTGTCCATGTTGGTCAGGCTGTTGTTCTCCAACTCCAGACCTGAGGTGATCCACCCACCTCGGCCTCCCAAAGTGATGAGATTACAGGCGTGAGCCACCATGCCCGGCCTAAAAATTGTTTTTGGGAGGCCAAGGTGGGTTAGTCACCTGGGGTCCGGGGTTCAAAACCAGCCTGGCCAACGTGGCGAAAACCCGTCTCTACTAAAAATACAAAAATTAGCCAGGAGCGATGGCGGCACCTGTAATCCCAGCTGCTCAGGAGGCTGAGGCAGGAGAATCGCTTGAACTTGGGAGGCAGAGCTTGCCGTGAGCTGAGATCATGCCAGTGCACTCCAGCTTGGGCAACAGAGCGAGACTCCGTCTCAAGAAACAAACAAACAAAAAGCAACAACAAACAAACAAAAAATTTTTTCAGTTAATTCTGATGTATCTGTGAGATATTAGAATTAAGATATCTTGATGTTTGCATTTGTTTATTGCCTTTTTCCATTCAATTTGAAATCTTCTGGAT
Source organism: Homo sapiens (assembly GCF_000001405.40). Taxonomy (NCBI): domain Eukaryota; kingdom Metazoa; phylum Chordata; class Mammalia; order Primates; family Hominidae; genus Homo; species Homo sapiens. Next base: position 2,143,608 of record NT_187614.1, on the reverse strand, counting down.
TCTTCATATCTTTTTGGTATCACAAATAACTTTTGATTGAAACCTGGGCATTTTTGTGTTGTCATGAGACTATGCATCTTACTTAAACAACTGTTTTAGTTTTTTTGTTTGTTTTTTTTTTTTGGAGACCATCTTTATCACCCAGTCTGGAGTGCAGTGGCGCCATCTCTGCTCACTGCAACCTCCGCCTCCCAAGTTCAAGCGATTTTCGTGCCTCAGCTTCCGGAGTAGCTGGGACTATAGGCACCGGCCAACACGCCCAGCTAATTTTTATTTTTAGTAGAGGCGGGGTTTTGCCATGTTGGCCAGGCTGGTCTCCAACTCCTGACTTCTGGTGATCCACCCGCCTCGGCCTTCCAAAGTGCTGCGATTATAGGCGTGAGCCATCGCGCCGGGCCCTGTTGGGGATTCTTTTTTTTTGGTCTGTGTTCATCGGTGTCCTGATGTACTCACTTCTTCCATTCCAGGAGTAGGATACATTAGGCAAAAAGAAGAATACCCAGGGAATTTACTGCTATATTGTGCCTTGTGTCCTGTGATCCTGAGCTAATTTGCCTTCTCTCCACCTTTCAGAGAATATTCGTTTTATTTACAATGTTCACATTTTAAATTTGTACTTAGTGGGAGGAATAGGGAAAAGTATGTCCATTCCATCGTCCCAGAAGTGTAAGTCTAACCTTTGATTTCACTGAGTGTGCCCTATTTTTCTGTTTTCTATTTCATTGACTTCTGCTCGATCTTTCTTTTGCTCTTCTAGTTTCTTAAGGAACAAGGTGAAGTCACTGATTTGTTTCTTTTCTAATATAGTCATGTAATTGTATAAATTTCTCTTTCAATCACTGCTTTAACTGTCTTAAAATACTTGATATATTTGTCCTTTTTTTACCCCTTGGTGTTATGGGTTATGTTATGTTATGTTATGTTATTTATTTTATATTTTGAGACAGATTCTCGCTCTGTCGCCCAGGCTGGAGTGCAGCAGCGTGATCTTGGCTTGCTGCAACTTCCGCCTCCCGGGTTCAAGCAATTCTCTGCCTCAGCCTCCTGAGTAGCTGCGGTTACAGGCGCCGGCTACCATGCCCGGGTAATTTTTGTATTTTTAGAAGAGACGGGGTTTCACCATCTTGGCCAGACCGGTCTTGAACTCCTGACCTTGTGATCCACCTGCCTCGACCTCCCAAAGTGCTGGAATTAGAGGCGTGAGCCACAGCTCCTGGCCCCCATTGGTTATTTTAAAAGTATGTTTTGATTTCAAATATGGGGATTGCCTATTGATTTTTTTTTCTGTCACTGATTTCTAAATATCATAGTGGTAAGAAAAAAATCATGATAAGACTTCAAACCTTTTAAATGTACCAAGAGTTGTTTTTTTTGGCCCGAATATGGTATATCTTGGTGAATGTTCCAAATGCACTTGAACAGAATGTGTATTCTGGTAGGTTGTGTAGAGTGTTCTAAAGTTAGTTAGGTCAGTTTGGTGTTATTCAAGCTTCTGTATCCTTACTGATTTTCTGTCTGCTGGTCTGGAATCTCTCTCTGTCGCCCAGGCTGGAGTGCAGTGGCATGATCTCGGCTCACTGCAACCTCCATCTCCTGGGTTGAAGCGATTCTCCTATCTAAGCTTCCCGAGTAGCTAGGATTACTGTTGTGTGCCACCACGCCCGGCTAATTTTTGAATTTTTAGTAGAGACAGGGTTTCACCATGTTGGCTGGGCTGGACTTGAATTGCTGACCTTAGGTGATCCGCCTGCCTCTGGCTCCCAAAGTGCTGGGATTACAGGTGTGAGCCACCACGCCTGGCCCACCCAGTTAATTTTTAAAACTCTTCTTGTAGAGACAGGGTCTCCCTGTGTTGCTCAGGTTGGTCTTGAACTCCTGTGATCAAGCAATCCTGTCTCGGCCTTCCAAAGTTCAGGGATAACAAGTGTCATTCACCATGCCTGGCCCTGGTTCTATTACACAGAGAGGTTTGCTGAAATTTTAAAATATAATTGTGGATTCTTTCATTTCTTCTTACAGTTCTCTCATTTTTGCTTTATTTATTTTGAAGCCCTGTTATTAATAGGTAAATAAATGTTTAGGATTTTTGTGTGTTCTTGACGAATTAAACCCTTAATGTATATAAAATGATGCTCTTTTTTCCTGATAAAATTTTTATTTTTGTCCACTTTACATGATAGTATTATAACGATTTCAACTTTCTTTGTAGTGTGTAATAAGATCTTTTTCTTGGCTGCACTGGAATTTTAATTTCTGATTGTAGTCATTTTGGTCATGGTTTACCCTGTTTTTTGGAGATGGGCTTTTACTCTGTCACCTGGGCTGGAGTGCAGTGGCATAGTCATGGCTCACTATGGCCTTGACCTCCTTCTGCCTTAGCCTTCCTGAGTAGCTGGAAGGACCACAGGTGTGTGCCACTACCCGTGGCTAATTTTTTTTTTTTTTTTTGAGACGGAGTTTTGCTCTTGTTGCCCAGGCTGGAGTCAATGGCACGATCTTGGCTCACCCCGATCTCCACCTCCCGGGTTCAAGCAATTCTCCTGCCTCAGTCTCCCGAGTAGCTGTGATTACAGGCATGAGTCACCATGCCCAGCTAATTTTGTATTGTTGGTAGAGATGGGGTTTTTCCATGTTGGTCAGGCTGGTCTCGAACTCCCGACCTCAGGTGACCTGCCCACCTCGGCCTCCCAAAGTGCTGGGATTACAGGCGTGAGCCACCATGCCAGGCCATTTTTCATGTGTGTGGTGTGTGTGTGTGTGTGTGTGTGGGGGGGGTATGTATGTTTTTAGAGATGGGTTCTGCAGCGTTGCCCACACTGGTCTCGAACTCCTGGCCTGAAGCGATTTTCCCACTTTGGCTGCCCAAAGTGCTGGGATTACAGGCATGAGCCACTGCGCTCAGCCACTTTTCTTCATGTTTCTAGCGAATGATAATTCATTAAAAGAGTGCCTTGTTATATATGCTTATAATTTCCCTCAAATATGTGAAAAGTTGTTGGCCATGATTTCTAAAAATTTTTTTTCAATATTATCTCCTGTTTTGTGGCTCTAGTTACAAATATGTTTGGCCTCTTGAAGTTATTTCAATTATCACGTATTACATTTTTTAGTGTTTTTTTCTGTGTTTCATTTAGGTTAGTAATTTTGATTTCATGTGTTGCAAATTTCAAAGTGTGTTTTTCATCTTAGACTTTGTAATTTTCATCTTTAGAAGTTCAAATTTTAAAAATAATTCATATTTTTACTTAATATGTTGTTTCTTCTAGCCTTCTCATCATATGAAATATCATCATAATTGTTTTAAAGGACTTGTCTACCAATTCTATTTTCTGTTTCATTTCAAAATTGGTTTGTTTTTTGTTTCATTATGGGGTATAATTTCCTGCTTCTATGTAAGTCTTATAAATTTGGATTGACTTTTGAGCCAGTGTGAATTTTACCTTGTTTTCTAGTTTCTCTAGTTTTGTTTGCCTTTTAAAAATATTTGTGGACTTTGTTCTGTGGCATTATTAAGTTGCTTGAAAACAGTTTCTTTCTGTTGGGTCTTTTATGTTTTCCTTGATTGGACCAGGGTTGTGTTTAGGGTTAAATTTTTCCTCCTTCTGAAGCCTTTTCTTTCTTAGTATTCCAATGTCACATCTCCAATGTGATATAAATTATATCACGTCATTTCCTTTTGGACTTTTGGGTGTGGGTTATACTATACACATCCTTAAGTCAGTCCTGGATGCTATTACGTCTAATTGTTTTGGTGATTTCTCACCTTGCCCTTGGACAGCTCCTTTACATTGCAAGTGCTGATTTGTCATTCAACCAAAAGTTCTAGGGTGAGCCCTTGTAGATCTCTTCATTTCTCTCTCTCTCTCCAGCTCTCTACTCAGTGCTGGTCTCCCTTGTGAGCTCTAGGCACCTTGGCCTCCTTGGACTTCCAGCTCCATTTCCTCAACTTGGGGAGACGACAGGCTCTGCCTGGGTTCCTCCTCCCTGTTCCACGACCTGGAAACTCTCTCAAGGCAGTAAGCTGGGCACACGTGTGGCCCGTTTGTTTTTTGTCTTCCAGGGATCACTGTCTTTTGTTACTTGTCCAATATCTTCAGTGCTGTTGTTTCATTCATTTTATTAGGTTTTTATTATTTCACGCAAGGAGGCTAAATCTGGTCCCCTTTATTCACTCCATCTTGACCAGAAGTGGTATCACTGTGGTTTGAATTTACATTTTCATGATAACTGGTGATATTGAGCACGTTTTAGCTTGTGTGTTGGCCATTTGTGTGTTCTCTTTTGTGATGAGTTTGTTCATTTTGCCTTTACTGTTCTTTGTTTTCGTTTTTCATCTATTTGAGTTGCAGAAGGTGTTTATATGTCCTAAATACTCATCCTTTGTTAGACAAATGTTTTGTAAATACTTTCCCCAAGTCTATGTGGTTTACCCATTTATTTATTTATTTATTTATTTATTTATTTATTTATTTATTTTTGAGGCGGAGTCTCGCTCTGTCACCCAGGCTGGAGTGCAGTGGCGCGATCTCGGCTCACTGCAAGCTCCACCTCCCGGGTTCACGCCATTCTCCTGCCTCAGCCTCCCGAGTAGCTGGGACTACAGGCGCCCGCCACTACGCCCGGCTAACTTTTTGTGTTTTTAGTAGAGACGGGGTTTCACCGTGGTCTCGACCTCCTGACCTCGTGATCCGTCCGCCTCGGCCTCCCAAAGTGCTGGGATTATAGGCGTGAGCCACCGCGCCCGGCCTATTTATTTTAACTGTACCTTTTGATGAGCAGAAATATGTATATCTGCTAGGTTTAATTTATCAGTGTTTTCTTTTGTAGTTATTGCTTACTGTGAGCTAAGACACTTTTGCCTAACCTCAAAGTCTTGAAGGTAATTTCCTTTGTTTCCTGTAAAAGGGCTTGCTTTTGCTAATTTATATTTAGGTCTGTGATGCGTCTGAAGTTATTTTTGTAGGTCTGAGTTTTTTGCATGTGGCTATCCAGTTGTTTGTCACCATTTGTTGAAAAGAGTCTCCTTTTCTCACCGGGTTGCTTTGGGAACATCGCGTGGCTGCCTAAGTGGGATCTCTTTCAGAAATCTTTATTCTGCTTCAAAAATCTGTTTGTCTAGCCCTGTTAGAGTATTCGGATTCTTTGGTAACTTTATATTGTCTTGAAGTCAGAATTGCAAGTCCTAAAACCTTTTTCTTCTTTTTCGAAGTTCTGCATACTCTACGTCCTTCACATTTCCGTATAAATTTTAATCATCTCTTTTCTGTCTTCTCCAAAAAAGGCTGATGGGATCATGATTGTAATTGTCTTGAATCTGTTGATCAGTTTGAGGAGAACTGACATCTTAACAACCACTGAGTCTTAGTCATTAGTATAGTATATCTCTCCATTTATTTAGGTCTTTTTTGTTTTGTCTGAGCAGTCGTTTGTTGCTTTTAGCCTTTGGTCTCGCATGTCTTCTGTTTTTAAAATTACTTATTTTTTTTCCTTTTTGTTGAGACAGAGTCTCACTCTGTCGCCTAGCTGGAGTGCAGTGGCCCAGTCTTGGCTCACTCCATCTCCTGGGTTCAAACAATTCTCCTGCCTCAGCCTCCCAAGCAGCTGGGATTACTGGCATGTACCCTAAGCCCAACTAATTTTTATATTTTTAGTAGAGATGGGGTTTCACCCCGTTGGCCAGGCTGGTCAACTCCTGATCTCAAATGATCTGCCTGCTTCGGCCTCCCAGACTGCTGGGATTACAGGCATGAGCCACCACGCCTGGCCTAAAATTATTTTTATTTTTAAGTATTTTGTCTTTTTTTGATGCTATTTGTATTTTAAAATATTAAATACTTTTTCAGCAATTATGAAGTATTATAAAAATTTCTAATTTTTTGTTGGAAATAGAATTTTTGTATATTGACCCGTTTCTTACAACCTTAAGTCATATTAATTCTACGAGTTTTTTTAGGTACATTTCTTAGATTTTTCTAATAGATGATTGTCATAAAACACAGTTTTATCTCTTTTTTTCCCTAGTTGTAATGCCTTTTATTCTCTTCCCTCACAGAATTGACTTAATCTTGTTTTCATTCTTTGAATACAGCATTCAGTGTTACACCACTAATTATAAGTCAGCTGTAGGGGTTTTATTGATGAACTTTATCAGATTGTTTTCAAATATAGGTTTTATTACTATTTAGATATGACAAGGACAACAGAACCCAACATAACTGCCATTGAAAAGATAGTTATAGTCACAGACCCTAAGAGGAATAATCATGCCATGCCATGGAGAATACACAGTTGAGTAAGGTCTAGCCCTAGCTTCCTGAGGGTTTATGTCCTGAATGGATATTGAGTTTTCTCAGAAGCTTTTTCTGTATCTATTGAGATAATGCTATATATTTAAATATATTAATGTAAATTTCATTGTTTTATTTTCAAATGTTATACTAAATGCCATTTGGTGTCATGGTGTATTATTATTATTATTATTATTTTGGAGATGGGTACAGTGGCACAATCTCTGCTCACTATAACCTCCGCCTCCTGGGTTCAAGTGATTCTCCTGCCTCAGCCTCCGGAGTAGCTGGGATTACAGGCACGTGCCACCATGAGCAGCTAATTTTTTTCGTGGAGACAAGGTTTCACCATGTTGGCCAGGCAGGTCTCCTGACCTCAAGTGATCCTCCCGCCTTGGCCTCCAAAAGTGCCAGGATTACTTTCGTAATCTGTGTGAGCCATCGCAACTGGCCTATTCCTCTTAATATATTGTTGGATTTAAATTGCTAATAGTAAATATTTGCGCATCTTTGTATGTGAGGGATTTTGGTGTAACCTTGCTGCTTTTTGTCAGGTGCTGGTATTTTTGGCATATGCATTGGTATTCTTCATGCTCAACTTAGAAAATGATTTGGGAAGCATTGTCTTCTCTGTTTTCTGGAAATGTTTGTGTGAGATTGATGCTATTTTTTCTTTAGTGTTTGAAGGAACTTATCAGTGAAAAAATCTGAGTCTAGAGTTTTCTTTTTGGAAAGGATTTTGATAATTCAACTTAAAATGCTTCTCAGATATTCTGTTTTATCAGTTTTGATAAGTTTTGTTTTCAAAGAATTTCTTCTTTTCATCTCAGCTGTTGAATTAGTTAGCATGAAGTCATTAATAATAATCTTTGGCCCTCAATACCTTTGGGATCGTAGAGCTAATTCCCCTTTTATTCTTGGTAATTTGTATTCTTCCTATTTAAAAATAAATTAATTTCGCTTGCAGACTGTCAACTTTGTAGGTCTTTCCAACGTGTTACCAGAAGGGGTCCCAATCCAGACCCCAAGGAGAGGTTCTTGGATGTCATGCAAGAAAGAATTTGGGGCGGATTCATCAAGTGAAAGCAAGTTTATTAAGAAAGTAAAAGAATAAAAGAATGGCTAGTCCATAGGCAGAGCAGTGCCATGGGCCACTGGTTTCCCATTTTTATGAGTATTTCTTGATTGTATGCTAAACAAGGGGTGGATTCTTCATGAGTTTTCTGGGAAAGGGGTGGGCTATTCCCAGAACTAGTGGTTCCTCCCCTTTTTAGACTATATAGGGTAACTTGCTGGCATTGCTATGGCATTTGTAAACTCATGGCGCTTGTGGGAGTGTCTCTTAGCATGTTAATGTATTATAATTAGTGTATAATGAGCAGTGAGGATGACCAGAGGTCAGTTTTATCACCATCTTGGCTTTGGTGGGTTTTGGCCCCCTTCTTTATTACAACCTGTTTTATCAGCAAGGTTTTTCTGTCTTGTATCTTGTGCCAGCCTCCTATCTCATTCTGTGACTTAGAATGCATGACTTACTGGGAATGCAGCCCAGCAGGACTCAGCCTTATTTGACCCAGCACCTGTTCAAGATAGAAGCACTCTGGTTCAGAGGTCTCTGACAAAAGGACCAGCTTTGACTTCAAATTTTCTGTTACTTTTCTGTTTCATTTCTTCTGCTCTTATTTTTACTATTTCTTTTTTTTTTTTTCTACTTACTTTGGGTTTACTTTACCCTTTTATATATAGGCTCTTTAGGTAGAACCCTACATATTTTATTTTATTTTATTTTATTTTATTTTATTTTATTTTATTTTATTTTATTTTATTTTGAGACAGAGTTTTGCGCTGCCACCCAGGCTAAAGTGCAGTAATGCAATCTTGGCTTACTGCAACCTCCGCATCCCAGGTTCAAGCGATTCTCCTGCCTCAGCTCAGCCTCCTGAGTAGCTCGGATTGCAGCCATCCGCTACCACGCCCAGCTAATTTTTGTATTTTTAATAGAGAAGGGGTTTCACCATGTTAGCCAGGCTGGTCTTGAGCTCGCGACCTCAGGTGATCCGCCTGCCTTGGCCTTCCAAAATGCTGGGATTACAGCCGTGAGCCACCGCACCCGGCTGCTAGGTCATTAATTTCATATCTTTTTTTCTAATGTGGTTAGGGAACATAATCTGTATGATTCCCATTATTTTCATTCTATTGTGTCCAGCTTTGTGGCTCAGTATGTGGTCTTTCATGGGGAATGCACCAAGTTTACCTGAAAAGAATGTTTATAGTGGTTTTAACATTGCTAGATGATGATGATGACTATTATTATTTGGTCTGGTTTTGTCAATCACAAAGAGGGATGCTAAAATATCTTACCATGTTTGGGGCACTGAGTATTCTGACTGTTTATGCCTTATGCCAAATTTTCCTTCATGTATTTTGAAGCCTTGTTTTTAGGTGCATACATTTATAATTATTATGACTTCTTCATTGTCTGACTTACTGTGAAATGTCCCTCCCTCTCTTTACTATGTAGCCACTCACCATCTTTTTGTTGTTGTTGTTTGTTTGTTTGTTTGTTTTGAGATGGAGTTTTAATCTATCACCCAGGCTGGAGTGCAGTGGTGTGATCTCGGCTCACTGCAGCATTTGCCTCCCAGGTTCAAGCAGTTCGCCTGTTTCAGCCATCCTAGTAGCTGGGATTATAGGTGTGTGGCACCATGCCTGGCTAATTTTTGCATTTTTAGTAGAGACAGGGCTTTGCCATGTTGGCCAGGCTGGTCTCAAACCCCTGGCCTCAAGTGATCAAGTGCCCGCCTCGGCCTCCCAAAGTGCTAGGATTACAGGCATGAGCCACCGCGCACCCAGCCTATCCATTTACTTTGGACCTGTTTGTGTCTTCCCTTAAAGTGTGTTTCTTACAGACACCTTGTGATTGAGTTTTACTTTTCTATGTGTGCTAATACACTATTTTTTTTTGAGAGTCTCTACGTCACTACAATCAATTTTAGAACACTTGGATCCCCTCAAAAAGAAGCCCTTTGGCCCATTAACAGTCACTCTCCATTACCCTACTTGCCCAGCTCCTGGCAATCACTAATCTTCATTCTGTCTCCATCCCTATTTGTCACATTTCATATAAATGGAATCATTTGGTGTATTGTGAGTGGCTTCTTTCTCCTAGCATCATGTACAAGCATTTGTTTTGTAGCATTTATTAGAACTTCATTCCTTTTTGTTGTCAAATAATATTCTATTGCATGGCTATACTACATTTTCTTTACTCATTCATTAATTGATAAACATTTAGGTTGTATATACTTTTGCAATATTATGAATAATGTTATTATTATGAACATTTGTCTGCAAATCCAGACATTTGTTTTCAATTCTCTTGGGCCTAGGATTTTTGTTTCATGCTGCAACTCTGTTTAACCTTTTGAAAAACTGACAAAGAGGCTGTAACATTTTAAATTACCAGCAACAATATATGAAGGTTTTAATTTCTCCATCTCTTTGCCAACATTTTTTATTGTTTGGCTTTTGATTTTAGCTATCCTACAGGGCATGAGGTAGTATCTCATTGTGGTGTTGATTTTTACTTATCTTTTTTCATTATATTCTTTTGTAGACAGAGTCTCACTCTGTTGTTCAGGCTGGAGTGCAGTGGTGTGATATCTTGGCTCACTGCAACCTCTGCCTCCCGGGTTCAAGCGCTTCTCCTGCCTCAGCCTCCTGAGTACCTGGGATTACAGGTGCCCGCCACCACGCCTGGCCAATTTTTGTATTTTTAGCAGAGACGGAGTTTCACCATGATGGCCAGGCTAGTCTCAAACTCCTGACCTCAGGTGATCCCCCTGCCTAGGCCTCCCAAAGTGCTGGGATTACAGGTGTGAGCCACCGTGCCCGGCCCCTTTGTTCAATTTTTAACTGGGCTGTATAGCTTTTTATTTCTGAGTGGAAGAGCTCTGTATTCTGGATACAAACTACTTATCAGACATATGACTTGTAAATATTTCTTCCATCCTTTTACTTTCCTGATGATTTTGTTTGTAGCAAAAAAGTCTGTAGGTTTGGTAAATTCTAGTTATTTTTTCTTTTGTTGCCTCTACTTTTATCTAGTGTTATGTCTAAAAACTGTTGTTCAACCAAGTCCTAAAGACTTACCTCCTATGTTTTTTTCTAAAGTTTTATTGTTTTAGCTCTTACATTTAGGTCTGCGATTCACTTTTGAATTAATTTTTTAATATCAGGAAGGGTTTCAACTTAATTCTTTGGCACATTTCTCTAGCAATTTAAATATATTTCTTTACTCTTTTCAGTCTGTTTTTATAGTATTACCACTTCTGACTAATATTGTACAAGTTGTAAAGTATACAAAGCTTGTAAGTTGTTCTTTTATATCACCTCTGTTTGTTGTCAGTTATGCTATTGTCATGTGTGTTGGAACTATGTACATTATAAGCCCCAGAAAACAACAATGTAATTTTGGCTTTCAATAATCATGTAATGTTAAGAACTTAAGAGCTAAAAGTCATCTAAGTTTACCCAGATATTTACCATTTGTGGTAGTCTTCTTTGTCTTCTGAAGATTTGCATTTTCTAGCATCATTTCTCTTAATCCTGAAGAATTTCTTTAGCCTTTCTTGCAGGGCGTATCTTTTGGTGATAAATTGTGCTTGCTTTCTTTTACCTGAAAGTATCTATTTCACCTCTATTTTTGAAGGGCATTGTGGTTGGATATAGAATTCTGTGTTGACAGTGCCTTATCTTTTAGCAAGGGGTATTTTAGTTTATTTTCTTTTGGCTTCCATATTTTATGATGAGAAATCTGCCGTTTATCCAGTCATGGTTCCCTCTGTGTAATGTGACATTTTCTTTTGGTGCTTCAAGAGTTTTCCCTCTGTGTTTGCTTTTTAGCAAGGCATTTGACTATTCGAGGTTTGCTGAGATTCCTGAATCTGTGGATTTGTCTTTTTTCAAATTGAAGAAAATTTCAGCCATCATTTCTTCAAAAGTTCCTTTCCTGCCTCATATTCTTTCTGTCTTCTTTTTTAGGCCTTTGGTTATGTATGTAAGACCTTTTGGTACTGTGCTGTAGGTCCCTGAAGCCCTGTTTTTTGTTTGTTTGTTTAACCTCTATTTTCTCTTTCAGATTAGATTCTTTTTTTTTTTTTTTTTTTGAGACAGAGTTTCACTCTTCTTGCCCAGGCTGAAGTGCAATGGTGGGATCTCAGCTCACCCCAACCTCTACCTCCTGGTTCAAGCGATTCTCCTGCCTCAGCCTGCTGAGTAGCTGGGACTACAGGTGTGTGCCACCACACCTGGCTGATTTTGTATTTTTTAGTAGAGATGGGATTTCTCCATGTTGGTCAGGCTGGTCTCAAACTCCTGACCTCAGGTGATCCACCCATCTCGGCCTCCCAAAGTGCTGGGATTACAGGTGTGAGCCACCGCGCCTGGCCTCACATTAGATTCTATCTATCGATGTAGCTTCAAGTTCACTGACTCTTCTGTCATCTCAGATTTGTTGTTGTGAAGCTTGCCGAGTGAAATTTTCACTTCACATGTTGTATTTTTAGTATTTAAAAAATTCTATCTTTTTTTTTTTTTAATTTGAGACCGAGTCTTGCTCTTTTGCCCAGGCTGGAGTGCAGTGGTGCGATTATATTACTGCAGCCTCAAACTCCCAGGCACAAGTGATTCTCCTGCCTCACCCTTCTGAGTATTTGGGACTGCAGATTGGTGCTACCATGCTTGGCTTATGGTTTCTTTTTTTTTTTTTTTTTTGTTGTTGTTGTTGCTGAGACACCCTGTTTTATTATAGGTTTATCTTTGGTGGGCAGACTTGATTAGCATTTAGCGACATTTTTCTATAAAATTTCACATTATAGACCAGGCGCGGTGTCTCACGCCTGTAATCCCAGCACTTTGGGAGGCTGAGGCGGGCAGATCACGAGGTCAGGAGTTCGAGACTAGCCTGACTAACACAGTGAAACCCCATCTCTACTAAAACTGCAAAAATCAGTCGGGCGCGGTGGTGTGCACCTGTAACCCCAGCTACTCAGGAGGCTGAGGCAGGAGAGTCGCTTGAACCCGGGAAGTGTATGTTGCAGTGAGCCGAGATTGAGCCACTGCACTCCAGCCTAGGTGACAGAGTGAGACTCCATCTCAAAACAAAACAAAACAAAAAAACACTTCACATTATAAAGGAAATGGTATAGTTTGCAATAGAGGAAAGAAATCACTCATAATCTTACCATCCTTACCACAGTCCTATTAATATATTTTGTGGTTTTTTTTTTTTTTTTTTTTGAGACGGAGTCTTGCAGTGTGGCCTGGGCTGGAATGCAATGACGCCATCTTGGCTCACTGAAACCTCCGCCTCCTGGCTTCACGCGATTATGCTGCCTCAGCCTCCCCAGTAGCTGGGATTACAGGCGCACACCAAGCCTGGCTTATTTTTTTTTGTATTTTTAGTAGAGATGGGGTTTCACTATGTTGGTGAGGCTGGTCTCGAATTCCCGACCTCATGATCTGCCTGCCTTGGCTTCCCAAAGTGCTAGAATTACAAGCGTGAGCCACTGTGCCCAGCGTATTTTGTGTATTTTCTTTTAATGTTCAGTGAATTTTTATTTTATTATTATTTTTTTTTTGAGACGGAGTCTCCCGCTGTCACCCAGGCTGGAGTGCAGTGGTGCGATCTCGGCTCACTGCAACCTCCGCCTCCCGGGTTCACGCCATCCTCCTGCCTCAGCCTCCCGAGTAGCTGGGACTATAGGCTTGTGCCACCACATCCGGCTACTTTTTTGTATTTTTAGTAGAGATGGGGTTTCACCATGTTGGTCAGGATGGTGTCGATCTCCTGACCTTGTGTTCTGCCTGCCTTGGCCTCCCAAAGTGCTGGGATTACAGGCGTGAGCCACTACTCCCGGCCAGATCTTTTTTTTTTTTTTTTTTTTGAGATGAGATCTTACTCTGTCACCCAGGCTGGAGTTCTGTGGTGTGACCTCAGCTCACTGTAGCCTCGACCCCCTGGGCTGAAGTGATCCTCCGACCTCAGCCTCCCTAATAGCTGGACTATAGTCTCACGCCACCATGTCCAGCTAATTTTTTGTATTTTTAAGTAGAGATGGGTTTCACCATGTTGCCTAGGCTGGTCTTGAACACCTAACCTCAAGTGATCCACCTGCCTCGGCCTCCCAAAGTGCTGGGATTACAAGTGAGAGCCACTGCAGCCGGCCAGACTTTTATAAAAGTTGTATGGTTATAAATGGTTATATAAAATATCTTTGTGCATACATTTTCATGTCTTGAAGATAAAGTATATAAATGATATAAAAGACACAAAGGTAATTTATACATGCTATATCTTATATTATTTGCTTTGGCTCTCTAAAAGTGAAGCAATTAAATCAGATTTTTTTTCTTGATTCTTATTGCTTAACTGCTGTCCAAAAGAATAGGATTATGGTGTCATCGAAATTATATAAAAATGAATTTTGAGTTTTTTTTTTTTTTGACAGAGTCTCTCTCTGTCGCCCAGACTGGAGTGCAGTGGCGTGATCTCGGCTCACTGCAACCTCCGCCTCCCGGATTCAAGTGATTCTCGTGGCTCAGCCTCCTGAGTAGCTAGGATTACAGGTGCCTGCCACCACTCCTGGCTAAATTTTTTTTTTTGAGATGGAGTCTTGCTCTGTCGTCAGGCTAGAGTGCAGTGTTGGGATCTCAGCTCACTGCAACCTCCACCTCCCAAGTTCAAGTGATTCTTCTGCCTCAGCCTCCCGAGTAGCTGGGACTACAGCCATGTGCCACCACACCCAGCTAATTTTTGTATTTTTTTTTAGAGATGGGGTTTCACCATGTTGGCCAGGATGGTCTCGATCTCTTGACCTTGTGATCCATCTGCCTTGGCTTCCCAAAGTGCTGGGATTACAGGTATGAGCCACAGTGCCAGGCCTAATTTTTGTATTTTTAGTAGTGACAGGGTTTCGCCACGTTCGCCAGGCTGGTTTTGAACTTCTGACCTCATGTCATCCGCCTGACTTGGCCTCCCAGAGTGCTGGAATTACAGGCATGAGCCATCACGCCTGGCCTATTTTTTAAAATTAAGACCTTTTTTTTTTTTTTTTTTTTTGAGACGGAGTCTCGCTCTGTCGCCCAGGCCGGACTGCGGACTGCAGTGGCGCAATCTCGGCTCACTGCAAGCTCCGCTTCCCGGGTTCACGCCATTCTCCTGCCTCAGCCTCCCGAGTAGCTGGGACTACAGGCGCCCGCCACCGCGCCCGGCTAATTTTTTGTATTTTTAGTAGAGACGGGGTTTCACCTTGTTAGCCAGGATGGTCTCGATCTCCTGACTTCATGATCCACCCGCCTCGGCCTCCCAAAGTGCTGGGATTACAGGCGTGAGCCACCGTGCCCGGCCAAAATTAAGACCTTTTTAAAATTTCTTTCTTTCTTTCTTTTTTTTTGGTTATAACAGCAATGGGATGTTTGTGATTTTGTTCCTTTTATTCCTTCATCATGTAGTTTTTGAGTTATTGTGCCTAGATAATGTGCCTGATGTTAGGGGTAGCTACAGCCATGAAATGGAGCTTCTAATCTAGCAGAGGAGTTAACTTAATTACATAAATAGCTAATTGCAATTGTAATATATCCCAAGAAGGAAAGCATAGGTAAATCATCATATGGCACCTAACCTCATCTGGAGATTCAGAGACATTGTCTTTGATGAAGTGGCTTTAAGCAAGGACCTGCCGGATACATAGAAATTACCCAGCTGCAAAAGAGGGTACAGTGAATGACAATATTCCATTTAGAGTCAAACTAACCCGTTAAAAGTCTTTGAAGTGAGAATGAGCTCTGGCAAATTTATAGAATTGAAAGAAGAAAAAGCCAGTGTTGCCCATGAAGTGAAATGTTGGAAGGAGAGAAGGTGGTGGAGATAAGAAAAGGCTATATGATATAGGGAAACTATTGAAGTGTTTTTGTTTTGTTTTGTTTTGTTTTTTTGTTTTTGAGATGGAGTCTCGCTCTGTTGCCACGCTGGAGTGCAGTGGTGCGATCTCGACTCGCTGCAACTTCCACCTCCTGGGTTCAAGCGATTCTCCTGCCTCAGTCTCCCGAGTAGCTGGGACTATGGGTGCGCACCACCACACCCAGATGATTTTTGCATTTTTAGTAGAGATGTGGTTTCACCATGTTGGCCAGGATGGTCTTGATCTCTTGACCTCATGATCCGCCCCCCCTCAGACTCCCAAAGTGCTGGGACTACAGGCTTGAGCCACTGCACCCGGCCTATTGAAGTGTTTTCAAGTGGGCAGTGGTATATTTGGATTGCATTTCTGAAGTTCGTTGTGTTGTGAAAAGTTCATTCTGCAGATTGGTGATAGTTGGTTGAGAGTGAATATTTGGAGACTACAGCCATTTTCCATTATCTGCGGTTTTTCTTTCCTTGGTTTTAGTTACCCATGGTCAACCCCTCTGAAAATAGGTGAGTACAGTGAGGTAGAATCATGTGTTGTGTAATGCAGGAGGGAGGTATGTTCTTAGAAATACCTCATTAGGTGATTTCGTCATTGCACAATCATCTTAGAATGTTCTTAAACAAAGCTATATTGTATAGCCTACTACATACCTAGGCTACATGGTATAGCCTATTGCTCCTAGGCTGCAAACTTGTACATTTCATTACTGAATCCTGTAAGCAACTTAACATAATGGTAAGTATTTGTATTTTTAAACATAGAAAAGGTACACCTAAAATAATGATATGAAAGATAAAAAAAAATTGCACTTGTATAGGGCTTTACCATGAATGAAGCTTGCAGGACTAGAAGTTGTTCTGGGTGAGTCAGTTAGTAAGTGGTGAGTGAATGTGAAAGCCTGGGACATTATTGTACATTACTGATAGCGTTTGGCTGTGTATCCCCACCCAAATCTCATCTCGAATTATAATCCCTATGTGTTGAAGGAGGGAGGTGACTGGATAATGGGGGCAGTTTCCCCCATCCTGTTCTTGTGATAGTGAGTGAATTCTCTGGAGATCTGATGGTTTTGAAAGTGGTGGTTTTTTTCCTATGTACACATTCTCTTTCTCTTGCTTGCTGCCATGTAAGACGTACTTGCTTCCCTTCTCACTGTGACTGACAGTTTCTTGAGGCCTTCTCAGCCATGTGGAACATGAGTCAATTAAACCTCTTTTCTTTATAAATTGCCCAGTCTCAGGTAGTTTTATAGCAGTGAGAGAATGGACTGCTACAACTACCATAGACTTTATAAACATTGTGCACTTAATGTACACTAAATTTATTTTAAAATTTGCTCTGTCATGTTACTATGGCTATTACATCATTATGTCACTAGGCAATAGGAATTTTTCAGTTCCATTTAATCTCATGGGGCCACCATCGTATATGTGGTTGTTTTTATGCAGACTGTATTTTGAGAGAGACCACATTCACATAACTTTTTTATAGTAGATTGTTATAATTTTTTTTAAATTTTTGAAATTGTTTTTGAGTTGGAGCCTCTCTCTGTCACCCAGGCTGGAGTGCAGTGGCACGATCTTGGCTCACTGCAACCTCCCGGGTTGAGTTGCTTTTTGTGCCTTAGCCTCCTGCTTAGCTGGGACTGCGGGTGTGCGCCACCACATTCGCTAATTTTTTTGTATTTTTAGTAGAGATGGGGTTTCACCATGTTGGCCAGGCTAGTCTCAAACTCCTGACCTCAGGTGATCTGCCCAACTCAGCCTCCTAAAGTCCTGGGATTATAGGCTTGAGCCACTACATCTGGCCTGTTGTATTTTATTATTATTGTTAATCTGTTACTGTGCCTAATTTATAAATTCAACTTTTTTATAGGTATGTATGTATAGCAAAAAACAGAATCAAGTGCTCAGTACCATTTGTCATTTCAGACGTCCACTGGGGTTCTTAGAATGTTTCTCCCATGGATAACTGGGGTCTACTGCATTTAAGAGGTGACTGAAGTGGTCCCGATGAAAGGCGATGCTGGCTTTAAGTAGGGTGATAGTGGAGATGGAGAGAGATAGGCAGCTCTCACTAGTATTTCAGAAGAGGAAGGGCACAATACAGTTATGGATTAAAAGTGAGGTTAGGGAGTAAGGTATGAAGTGGTCAAAGATTATATATACTTGGTGTCTCGCATGAGCAATGTGTCATTGAAAATATCATTACCAATATATGGAAAGAGCAGGAAGAGCAGGTTTTGTCATAAATTGTGGAGCGTTTCAAGTGTCTATGTAGGCTGGGTGGTGCGGTGGCTCACGCCTGTAATCCTAGCACTTTAGGAGGCTGAGGTGGGTAGATCACTTGAGGCCAGGAGTTTGAGACCAACCTGGGCAACATGACGTAACCCCATCTCTACTGAAAATAGAAAAAGTTAGATGGAAGTGGTGGCACACACCTGTAATCCCAGCTCCTTGGGAGGCTGAGGCAGGAGAATTGCTTGAACCCTGGTGTTGGAGGTTGCAGTGAGCTGAGATCAAGCCACTGCACTCCAGCCTGGGCAACAGACTCCATCTCAAAATAAAATAAAATAAAGTGTTTATGTAGCATATAGAGTTTATACCTGACCCTGAGGACAGACACAAATAGATAAAATTTGGGAGTCACTGTTATATTTTTATAATTTAGTTGGTAATGGAAATTTGGACAGTGAATAAGATTACCTAGTGTTTCACGTGAAATAAGATGACATCTTGGTCGGGCGCGGTGACTCACGCCTGTAATCCCAGCACTTTGGGACCCCGAGGCGGGCGGATCACAAGGTCAGGAAATCGAGACCATCCCGGCTAACACAGTGAAACCCCGTCTCAACTAAAAACACAATAAATTAGCTGGGCATGGTGGTGGGTGCCTGTAGGCCCAGCTACTCAGAGGCTGAGGCAGGAGAATGTCCTGAACCCAGGAGGTGGAGCTTGCAGTGAGCCGAGATCACACCACTGCACTCAAACCTGGGCGACAGAATAAGACTCTGTCTCAAAAAAAAAAAAAAGAGAGATGACATCTTAGGCCAGAACCCTGAGGAACTTCACCATTTAAAGGTTTGATAGGGTGATCAGAAAGGTGCCACCAAAGAGGGAAAATCAGGAGAGTGAAATACTGAAAGGCAAGAAATACAGCAGTATTAGTCTGTTTTGTGTTGCTATAAAGGAATACCTGAAACTGGGTAGATTATTAATATAAAGAAAAGAGGTTTATTTGGTTCACAGTTCTGTAGGCAGTACAAGCATACTACCACCATCTTTGGGCTGAGGAAGCTTTTACTTATGGGGGAGTGGGCATAGGGACCAGGAGTGTCACATGGTGAGGGGAGGGAGCTAGATGGCAGGCTCTTTTTACCAATCAGATCTCACGTGAACTAACAACAGCAAGAAACTCACTCATTACCACAAGGAAAACACCAAGACATTCATGAGGGTTCTGCCCCCATTACCCAAACACCTTTTGCTGGGCTCCACCTTCAACATCGGGATTATACTTTTACATGAGATTTGGAGGCACAAATATCCAAACTTTATCAATAGCCTCTGTAATTTTTTTTTTTTTTTTTTTGAGACACAGTTTCGCTCTTGTTGCCCAGGCTGGAGTGCAGTGGCGTGATCTCGACTCACTGCAACCTCTGCCTTCCGGTTTCAAGTGATTCTCCTGCCTCAGCCTCCCAAGTAGCTGGGACTACAGGCACGTGCCACCATGCCCAGCTAATTTTTTGTATTTTTAATAGAGATGGGGTTTCACCATGTTGGCCAGGGTGGTCTCGATCTCTTGACCTCGTGATCCGCCCACCTCGGCTTCCCAAAGTGCTGGGATTACAGGCGTGAGCCACCGCACCTGGCAAATAGGCTCTATTTTTTTTTTTAATTATTTTTGTAGAGATGAGGTCTCACTTTGTTGCTTAGGCTGGTCTCGAACTCCTCACCTCAAGTGGTCCTTCCATTTTGGCCTCCCAAAGTGCTGCGATTATATGTGTGAGGCACTGCACCCAGCCTCAGTAGGCTTTTATGGCTTATGCCTTCTGTACTTTTAAAACTATTTCAACTTAATTTTCTACTCTAATTTTTGTTGTAATTTATATATGTATGTAAGTGTATATATATTTATATGTAGGGTGTGTATATATGGTGTGTGTATATATAGTGTGTGTGTATATATAAAATGTGTGTGTGTATATATACATATATAATCAACACACACACACACACATATATGTATACACACACATTTTTTTGTTTGTTTGTTTTTGTTTTTTCGAGGTAGGGTCCACTCTGTCACCCAGGCTGGAATGCAGTGGTGCAATCATGGCTCACTGCAGCCTTGACCTTCTGGGCTCAATTGATCAGCCCGCCTCAGCCTGCCGAGTAGCTGGGACTACAGGTGCACCACCACCACACCCAACTATTTTTTTTTTTTTTTTTTTTTGTAGAGGTGGAATTTTGCCATGTTGCCCGGGCTGCCCTGGAACCCCTGGGCTCAAGCGATCTGCCTACCTCAGCCTCCCAAAGTGCTGGGATTACAGGTGTGATCCACTGTGCCCGGCCTATATTACGATACTGTATGCTGGAAAACTTCTTTTGGAAACAAAGTGGGATATAAATAATACTCAAGTGCGACTTTCAGGAACATATTCTTCATAGTAAGACAATGCCATTGAAACTTACTGTGTTTCATAAGAAGTAGTAGTACTGGCTCTACATTTATTTCTGCTTTTAAATTCTGAGGATGGGAGGGAGAGGAATCCACAATAAATTTTGAGTACCACTGTGTTTGAATAATAATAGCTGATTAGCCTAATTCCTTTCAGAAGGGAAATCAGCATGCATGAGATCATTTCTTGCCACTTAAATTCAAATTCTAAATTCTTGAGTTTGGCTCTTTAAGAGAAACCAGACCTACTTGACTGCGGTCATCCTAGCTGACCATAAAACAGGAAGTAAACAGGTAACAGGCAGATGTTAAAAACCTTGCCCCATTCCTGTGTTGAGAGGACTTTTTTGTTTTTTTCTCCCGCTCCCCAGGTAAATAATCCCAGCATCTTTGTGTTTTTATTAATGTAAGATTTAAAAACTTGTGGCAGGATTTGTTTTGTTTTGTTTCTTTTAGATGGAGTTTCACTCTTGTTGTCCAGACTGGAGTGCAACGGCGCGATCTTGGCTCACCGCAACCTCTGCCTCCCGGGTTCAATCAATTCTCCTGCCTCAGCCTCCCCAGTAGCTGGGATTACAGGCATGCGCCGCCACGCCTGGCTAATTTTTTATTTTTAGTAGAGACGGGGTTTCTCCATGTTAGTCAGGCTGGTCTCGAACTCCCGACCTCAGGTAATCTGCCTGCCTCGGCCTCCCAAAGTCCTGGGATTACAGGCATGAGCCACCGTGCCTGGCCCGTGGCAGGAGTTTAAAAGTTAAAATGTACTTTAAAAAAATTACTTGTTCGCTGAAGAAGATCACATGTCGTCAAGAACAACTGTTTGTGAAGAATGTTCCTAAATATTCTTGGGGGGCAACTAGTACAAATGCTGCTCTCACATTTTCAGTAGTTTTGAAGTTGCAGGGAAGATATTACATTTTTGATAATCTGAAATATATCTTCATTACGTGTTTCTTTTCTTGTTTATAGAGATGGGAACTTTGTCCCCATAAGGATGGAGCTTTAAAAAGAACAGATAATGGGGGTAAGTGCAGAGATTTCTTGAAAAAATTTTTATTGAAAACTGGGGCGGTGGAGTATTTTCAAATATCTGGTAGTTTATTTTATTTCATCAAATTAAACAGTGTTTTCTACTCATTTTTAACAGTAGTGGCTATAATTTATGAATCATTATTATGTATTGACCCACAATTTTTCTACTTTGTGGACAAACTTAAGCATTGGCTACTTTATGCAGAATGATTTATTAAATACATACTTCTAATTAAAATTCTTATTTTTTTGGCTGGGCGAGGTAGCTCACACCTGTAATCCCAGCACTTTGGGAGGCCGAGGGTGGTGGATCACCTGAGGTCAGGAGTTCGAGAGCAGCCTGGCCAACATAGTGAAACCTGGTTTCTACTAAAAATAGAAAAATTAGCTGGGTGTGGTGATGCATGCCTGTAGTCCCAGCTACTTGGGAGGCCAAGGCAGGAGAAAAACTTGAACTTGGGGGGCAGAGGTTCCAGTGAGCTGAGATTGCACCATTGACCATTAGCCTCCATGACAGAAGGAGACTGTCTCAAAAAAAAGAAAGTGTATTTTGTTAAATGGATATAGTTTCTTGTGTTAGGAATTTTTTTTGAAAAATGAGCCACATTTTGTTGTTGTTGTTGTTAGACCTAAAATCTGTTGTTTTAGATTCTTTTTTTCTGTTTTGTATATCTCTAGACAGATGATGTTTCTAGTGAATGTTAATTTCATTTAACTCTGAGGATCTTTGTGGCTGGAATATAAAGAAATGTTGACTTTTAGGCTGGGTGCGCTGCCTGACACCTGTAATCCCAGCTCTTTGAGAGGCCAAGGTAGGAGGCTCACTGGAGCGTAGGAGCCTGAGACCAGCCTGGGCAACATAGGGAGACCTTGGTCTCTGCAAAAGTAAATATAAAAAATAAAAATAAAAAGACTTAGTTCCACATGGTGGCACGTGCCTGTAGTTCCAGCTACTTGGGAAGCTGAGCAGGAGGATGGCTTGAGCGTGGGAGGTGGAGGCTGCATTGAGCCATGGTCACACCACTGTACTTCAGTCCCTGAGATGGGTGAGAGTGAGACCCTGTCTCAAAAAAAAAAAAAAGAAAAGAAAAAAAGAAATGCTGACTTCTGTATCACATTTTGGTATGCTTTCCTATGGACCCTTGTGCATTACTCATTTTCTTCTCTACTTTTAGTTATCTTTGTTAGAGAACTCGTATTTTTGTACATGTAGCTCAGTACTGTTCTGAAATGTGTAGACGTGAGTTTATTAAGCCATGGCATACATGATGCGGCAGCTAAAAAAAGTAGATACTATACTCTTCTCCATTTTGGGTAGCCACCTCTAAAGTAGTTTTGGCATAGACTAGAGTAATGGTGTGAATAAATGGGAAAAATACAATCATTTTGGCTAGCTATATATATTATACAGTTTAATCTTCAGACTATGTTATACAGTCAGATTGTACAAAATTTAAAAATATATTGAAAACCCTTCCTGTTACTCCTCTTCCCCATCTGCCCAGTTTATCAATAGCTTTCCTGCTACCTTATAATTATTTACTTTCTTGCATATCTTTCTAGGTTTCTTTTGCATGTTCAGATGTGAATGGACAAATACTTCTTTACTCCCTCCATCTTTATACAAATGGGTTAATATTATATACTCTTCTGCGTCTTAATTTATTTCACTGAACAATTTATCTTTTTTCTTTTTTTTGAGACTTTTCTTTTCTTTTTTCTTCAATTTTCTTTTTTTTTGAAGCTTCGCTCATTCACCCAGGCTGGAGTGCAGTGGTGCAGTCTCCGCTCACTGTAACCTCCACCTTCCCGGCTCAAGCCATTCTCCTGCTGCAGCCTCCCAAGTTGCTGGGATTACAGGTATGCGCCACCACGCCCAGCTAATTTTTATATTTTTAGTAGAGATGGGGTTTCACAATATTGGTCAGGCTGGTGTTGAACTCTTGACCCCAAATGATCCTACTGCCTCGGCCTTCCAATGTGCTGAGATTACAGGCGTGAGCCACCGCACCCGGCATGAACAATTTATCCTGTTATCAGTATAGAGCCTTTTTTTTCCTTTTTAACCATGTTATCTAATCAATCAGTTGTTGATGCACTTTCTGATCTACTTTGATGACTAACTCTTTTATATATGTCATTTTGCTGGTATACAAGTATATCTATAGGATTATTAATTTCCGTAGGTGGAAACATTGGGTCAAAGGAGTTTTGCAATTAATTTTGATGGATAGTCCCAAGTTATTCTCCCTGTAGTTTTACCAATATATGTTCCCAGTTTTACCAATATATGAATAAAAAAGCTGTTCCTTATACCTTTGCTTACCTAACAGGTGAAAGTTTGTATATCCAAGCAGTCGTTTTGCATTTCTCTTAATATTAGTGAAGTTGACATCTTTTAACAGTTTGAAGAGCAATTTGTTTTTTTCTCTTCTGTGGTCTGCTTTTTGACTTGGTTGTTGATCTTTTTTTTTTTTTTTTTTTTTTTGAGATGGTCTCTGTCTGTCATGTAGGCTGGAGTACAGTGGCTTGATCTTGGCTCACTGCAGCTTCTGCCTCCCCCGTTCAAAGGACTCTCCTGCCTCACTCACCTGAATAGCTGGGATTATAGGCACACGCCACCAGGCCCAGCTGACTTTTTAATTTTTAGTAGAGATGGGATCCACTCACCTCAGCCTCCCAAAGTGGTGGGACTACAGGCGTGAGCCACCATGCCCAGCCACAGTTGTTGATCTTTTTAGTTTGATTTATTGGAGCATCCATAAGGAGCCCCTTATATGTTATTATGCTGTTTTGATATGAGTTGGACTAATTTTTGCCCATCTGGTTAGTCTTTATTTATATTGTGCTTTTTAAAAAATTTGTTTACCATGCATGGGTTTTTGATTTTAATTTTGTACAATTTATTAGTCTTTCATGATGTCAGTATTTTGAGTTATTAGTTAGAAAGGCCTTCACTATTCCAAAGTTTTGTTTTTTTTTTTAAGTGACAGGTTTTCATTCTGTTGTTCAGGCTGGAGTGCAAGTAGCAGGATCCTAGCTCACTGCAGCTTTGTAGTCCCGGGCTCAAGTGATCTTCCTGCCTCAGCTTTGAGAGTGTTGGGATTACAGGAATGAGCCACTGCACCTGGTGTAAGCCTCCCATCTTATTAAATGTTTTGTATTTGTCTTTCCTATTCTGGTTTGTTCCACTCGTTCCATTCTACCCTCTCTATTAGCTTTTTAAAAAGTTAATGTTACTATGTGCTTCTTTCCTCTTTCTGAATCCTCTGAAACTCTTAGGATACTGTAAATTCACTTGTCCATCTCCTGACGTATGTTTTATTTTTGTCATGTACTTTCATTCTCTGTTTCCTTAAGAATTATAATGGTTTTGGGCCGGGCGCGGTGGCTCACGCCTGTAATCCCAGCACTTTGGGAGGCTGAGGCGGGCAGATCACAAGGTCAGGAGATCGAGACCATCCTGGCTAACACGGTGAAACCCCGTCTCTACTAAAAAATACAAAAAATTAGCCAGGTGTGGTGGCAGGCGCCTATAGTCCCAGCTATTTGGGAGGCTGAGGCAGGAGAATGGCGTGAATCCGGGAGGCGGAGCTTGCAGTGAGCCGAGATCCAGCTACTGCACCAGCCTGGGCGACAGAGCGAGACTCCGTCTCAAAAAAAAAAAAAAAAGAATTATAGTGGTTTTGTCAGGTGTTTGTTGAGGATTATGCTAGTCACTTAAAATGAAACAGTTTGTGTAAATTTCGTGTTATTTTTCTTTGAATTCTATATAGAACTTCGTGAGCAACTGAAACTCTTCTGGGAAAATTTTTGATAAATTCGTTTTTTGGCAAAATTATAGGGACATTCCTTTTTCCCTCCTTTCTCTTTTTCTTTTCTTCTCTTTTCTGTCCTCCCTCCCTGTCTCCCTCCCTCTCTCTCTCTCTTTCTTCCTTTTTTTTTTTTTTTAACAGTGTATCACTTTGTTGCCCAGGCTAGAGTGCAGTGATGTAGTCATAGCTCACTGCAGCTTCAAACTCCTGAGTTCAAATGATCCTCCTCCCCCAGCCTCCTGAATAGATGGGACCACAGGCACACCATGCCTGGCTAATATTTTTTTCTTTTTGTATTTTTTGTAGAGACAAGCGGTTTCGCTTTGTTGCCGAGGCTGGTCTCGAACATCTGGGCTCAAACTATGCCCCTGCCTCATCCTCCCAAAATGTTGGGATTACAGGCATGAGCCCTTGGGCCTGGCCTATTTGTATAAACTTGTCAATTTTGGTGCGCTCTATTTTTTCAAGAAATTTGACTACTTTGTATAAGTTGCTGAAATTGTTGGACTAACATTGCCAATAGTATTTATTTATTTATTTATTGAGATGGAGTCTTGCTCTGTCACCCAAGCTGGAGTGCAGTGGCATGAGCTCAGCTCACTGCGGACTCCACCTCCCAGGTTCAAGTGATTCTCTGCTTCAGCCTCCCGAGTAGCTGGGATTACAGGCGGGCACCACCACACCCAGCTAATATTTTTTATTTTTAGTAGAGAGAGAATCTTGCCATGTTGGCCAGTCTGGCCTTGAACTCCTGACCTCAGGTGATCCACCCGCCTTGGCCTCCCAGAGTGCTGGGATTACAGGCACAAGCCACCGCACCCGGCTGTCAATAGTATTTTAGTATTATTTTGTTAATTTTGCTAGCATTGGTGGTTATTACCCCATTGTTATTCCTGATGTTGGTAATTTTTTTGTTTTTTTTTTTTGATACTGAGCCTTGCTCTTGTTACCCAGGCTGGGTAACTGTGCAGTGGGTACACCACTGGGTACAGTGCAGTGGTGGGATCTCGGCTCACTGCAACCTCCGCCTCCCTGGTTCAAGCAATTCTCCTGCCTCAGCCTCCTGAGTAGCTGGGATTACAGGCGCCCGCCATCACGCCTAGCTAATTTTCTGTATTTTTTTTTGTGAGACGGAGTCCCGCTCTTTAGCCCAGGCCGGATTGCAGTGGCACAATCTCGGCTCACTGCAAGCTCCGCCTCCCAGGTTCACGCCATTCTCCTGCCTCAGCCTCCCGAGTAGCTGGGACTGCAGGCGCCCGCCACCGCGCCCGGCTAAGTTTTTGTATTTTTAGTTGAGACCGGGTTTCACCGTGTTAGCCAAGATGGTCTCGATCTCCTGACCTCGTGATCCACCCGCCTCGGCCTCCCAAAGTGCTGGGATTACAGGCGTGAGCCACCGCGCCCAGCCAATTTTCTGTATTTTTAGTAGAGATGGGGTTTCACCATGTTGGCCCGGCTGGTCGTGAACTCTTGACCTCAGGTGATCCACCCACCTCGGCCTCCCAAAGTGCTGGGATTACAGGCGTGAGCCACCACACCCGGCCAGATGTTGGTGATTTGTATTCTGGTTTTTCTTTGTTTTTATTTTTATTTTTTTGACCAGTCCAAATAGAATCATTCAGTTGTGTTGACCTTTTTAAAGAAGTTTTGGGCTTCGTTAATTTTTTATGCCATCTCCCTGTTTTCTATTGTGTTAAACTTCTGCTCTTTATTATTTCCTTCCTACTACTTACTATGTGTTATATTTTCCTCTTCTTTTCTAACTTATAAAGGTGGAACCTTAGGTCTTTTATTTTAGATATTCTTTTCTAATGAAAATATATATGCTGCAAGTTCCTCTCTATTGCTTTTATTGAATCCCACAAGTTGTGTTTTTTTGTTTTTGTTTTTGCCATTGTTGTTGTTTTGAGACAGGGTCTCAATTTGTCACCCAGGCTGGAGGGCAGGGGTGTGATCTCGGCTCACTGAAGCCTCGACCTCCTGGGTCCAAGCGATCCTCCTACCTCAGCCCCTCAAGCAGCTGGGACTACGGGTGCACGCCACTTTATCTGGCTAATGTTTTTGTATTTGTTGTAGAGACAGGGTTTCACCATGTTGCCCAGGCTGGTCTCAAACTCCTGAGGTCAAGCAATTAACAGGCGTGAGCCACTGTCCCCAGCCTGCGTCTCAAATTGTGATAAATTACATGTTTGTTGCCATTCCGTTCAAGACATTTTCCAGTTTCCCTTGTGACTTTCTCTTGACTGCCTTAGTCTACCTTGGACAGAAGTAGAAGTCTTCTGCTGTTTGCTCTTAACATTGATTTTTCCCACTTATTTCTTATTTCTCTTCTGTTCTTTTTGTGATTATTTTTTAGTGCTGTATTTTAATCAGTTTAACAATGCAACTAGATAGTATTGCATTTAAACTTAATTAATTATATTAAATTGCCTTAAATTGCCTTTTTGGCCATATCTCTTCCTATTTATATAAGTATTTATATTTATCTATATAGTGGTTGCTGTAGGGATTATAATTTTCTTATCAGTAAATTCAGTCTACTGAGTGTACCACTTTTTTTTTTCTTTTTGAGACGGTGTCTTGCTGTGTCGCCCAGGCTGGACTGCAGTGGCACTATCTTGGCTCACTGCAACCTCCACCTCCCGGGTTCAAGCAGTCCTCCTGCCTCAGCCTCCTGAGTGGCTGGGACTACAGGCACACACCACTACACTCAGCTAATTTTTGTATTTTTAGTAGAGACATGGTTTCGCTATATTGGCCAGGCTGGTCTGAAACTCATGACCTCAAGTGATCTGCCCGCCTTGGGTATCCAAAGTATTGGGATTACAGGCGTGAGCCACCGCACCTGGCCTGTGTGTACCACTTAACACGAAATGTAGAATGAAACCATATAGACTTCTTTTACCTGTTCCTTTTCCAGTCTTTGCTGTAGTTTTATAGGAAAGCTACATACATCCACAGACCGTACCAGTGTTTTAATATTTAGTGTAAGTGGTCATTTGTATTGTAAATGAGTGTGAAGGCATTATTGTTTTATATGTGCATTATATATTAAATGTACCTACATGTTTATCGTTCTTTATATTTTTCTTCAGTTCTGAGCTTCCTTCTGGAATCATTTTCCTATTGCCCAAGGAAAATTGTTTGGTGTTCCCTTTCATGGAAATCTTTTACATAATGTTTTCTGGCTTTATTTAGTTATCTAGTTTTTCGTTTGATAACTTGCCTTTTGTTTTTAAGATTTTCATTTCTTTCCCTTAGTTTTCTGTAGTTTTATTAATGTTCCTTCGTGTATTTATTTACTCTGATTTATAGTGGTTCTTCAGTCAGTGGCTTTGGGTCTTCTGTTCTGGAAAATTTTTAGGCATTATCAATTCAGATACTGCTTTCATGCCATTTTCTCTCTCATATTTCTCCGAGACTCTGATTACATGTGTGTTAGACCTGCCTGCCTATTACATTTTTCATGTGTCTTATTCCATTTTTTGTATTTCTTACTTTTGTGTTTTGTGCTAACATTCTGGATTTCTTCTTCTGACCTGTTGTGTTCCTACTAATTCTCTTTTCATCCATGTCTAAACTGCTGTTAATCCCACCCACTGATTTTTTTTTTCTTGAGATAGGGTCTCTATCACCCAGGCTGGATTGCAGTGGCACAATAATCATTCACAACAACCTCCAACTCCTGGGCTCAAGCAATCCTCCCACCTCAACCTCCTGAATAGCTGGGACTATAGGTGCATGCCGCTGCACCTGGCTCATTACTTTTTTTTTGTAGAGATGGGGTCTCACTTTGTTACCTAGGGTGGTCTTGAACTCCTGGTCTCAAGCGATCTGCCTCAGCCTTCCAAAGTACTGGGCTTACAGGCATGAGCCACTGTGCCTGACTGATTTCTAAATTTCCGCTTTACTTCTGGAATTTTAATTTATTATTATAGTTTTCGGTTCTTTGCATCAATTTAGAATTTTGTCTTGTGTGTACTTGATCATAGTAAGCATACTTATTTTAAAATCTTTATCTGATAACTCCAAAATACTGATCTGTTTTGATGTTCGTGTTCTCCTTATTCTCATTCATATTGTCTTGTCTGTCATGTGTTTGGTACTTATTATTGTGCTGGAAATTATATGTAATTAAGAAATTTTAGGCTGGGTGTGGTGGCTCATGTCTGTATTCCCGCCACTTTGGGAGGCTGAGACTGGTGGATCACTTGAGGTCAGGAGTTCGAGACCAGCCTGGTCAACACAGTGAAACCTCATATCTACTAAAAATACAAAAATTAGCCAGGTGTGGTGGTGGGCACCTGTAATCCCAGCTACTTGGGAGGCTGAGGCAGGAGAATTGCTTGAACTGGAAGGAGGAAGTTGCAGTGAGCTGAGATCACGCCAGTGCAGTTCAGCCTGGGCCATAGACCAAGGCTTTGTCTCAAAAAAAAAAAAAAAAAAAAAAGGTAGAAATTATTTGTAGCCAAAATGATACTATTTTCTTTTAGAGAGGATGTATGTTTACATCTGCTTCGTGCCTTGGGAGTTGTAATTTCGGATTACCTTCATCAAATTTCAGAGTTTGAGATGGTCAGAGCCCTGGTGTCGTCTCTTTGAGGGTCTATGTACTTTTAGTGTATTCTCATCCCCAGTTTGCCGTTCAGTGTTGCATCTGAAAGGAGGAGAGGGGTTTACTTGTACTCTTTTTCTCTTGGTTGTTTGTGAATGTACATCCCTGTACTGTTGGGCCTCTGAGTTTGTCAAAAGTACCCTTCAGGCCGGGCGCGGTGGCTCACGCCTGTAATCCCAGCACTTTGCGAGGCTGAGGTGGGCGAATCACCTGAGGTCAGGAGTTCGAGACCAGCCTGACCAACATGGAGAAACCCCACCCCTACTAAAAATACAAAATTAGCCGGGTGTGGTGGTGCATGCCTGTAATCCCAGCTACTGGGGAGGCTGAGGCAGGAGAATTGCTTGAACCCAGAAGGTGGAGTTTGCAGTGAGCCAAGATCGCGCCATTGCACTCCAGCCTGGGCAACAAGAGCGAGACTCTGTCTAAAAAAAAAAAAAAAAAAAAAAAGAATTGTACCCTTCATCCTCACCACCGCTTTCTCTGAAATAGGCAAATGTTCCCTGGGCAAAAGTGGCCAAAAACTGTGCCTAGGACTTACATTCTTTTCCAGTTTTAGCCCAGAAATTCCTCACTATCACATCAGCTCCTTAATACCTTCAGTCAGGAGACTGAGGCAGGAGAATTGCTTGAACCCAGGAGGCGGAGGTTGCGGTGAGCCGAGATTGCGCCATTGCACTCCAGCCTGGGCAACAAGAGGGAAACTCCATCTCATAAAATATATATATTTAATACCAAATTTAAAACTTTTCCAATTAAAATAGTGAAATGATTGTTATTACTAATATTAAAAATATTGACACCGAGATAAAAATAATTTCATGTTGACATTTAAAATGATTAAGATTATTAAATTTTATCATAAGTATTAAACTTTTAAAAACTCCTTTTATAGTGGTTCTCATTAGTAGTGTTGATCTGAATATTTAGTCTGCCTGTATAAGAAGTGTTAGTGCCAACATCTGAATTTATAAATGTTTCCCTTTGTTTATGTTCCTGTACATCATAACTGGGGAAATGATTAAGAATGCTTTTTCTAGTAGTGGTTTGAGTATCCTCAAGCAATGGAAGTAAGACAGCAATGAGAATTTGTTAATGTCCTTGTTATGCATTTGTTTCAATAGACATTGTAGGGATCTGTTAAGGAAATTAATGATGTTAATTTGCTTTTGATAAAACTGAAAAGATGACATTTATTTATTTATTTTTAGGCTGGGCCCATGAGGTGTGTGCTCTGTATATTCCGGAGGTACAATTTGCCAATGATTCCACAATGGAACCAATTGTTTTACAGTCTGTTCCACATGATCATTGTAATAAGGTACAGTGGATATTATTTTATTACTGTTTGAATATCACTGCTGGGAAATAGAAAGGAAGTCTTTGTGTTTTTAAAATGATAGTTCTCCCCAACCTGGCTAATACGGTGAAACCCCGTCTCTACTAAAAATACAAAAATTAGCTGGGCGTGGTGGCGGGCGCCTGTAGTCCCAGCTATTCGGGAGGCTGAGGCAGGAGAATGGCGTGAACCTAGGAGGCAGAGCTTGCAGTGAGCCGAGAGCGCACCACTGCACTCCAGCCTGGGCAACAGAGCGAGACTCTGTCTCAAAAAAAAAAAAAAAAATTGTAGGTCTCCATCAAGTTCAGGGAGATGTGGGAAAAAAATTACTACACCAAACTACAGTTATTAAAATGTTATTAATATGTTACTAAGGTCACAGGAGTACAAAGCAAGCAAAACTGTGTTACCTTTCATAGTAACCTAGGTATGTAGTATTCTACGATTTACAGGATATTTTAATCCTTACAGATTGGCCCTTTATGAATTACTGACCTCTTTTGCTCTTTCAGGTATCAAGAGTCTGTTAAATTTGAATTAATTATTATTTTGCATAATATTCATTACAATGTATCATATTCTTTTTTGAAAAACAGTCCTACATTAGAATGTTACTTGTCCCCCCCCTCAAGTTATTTGTACCCCAAGATACGGTTTTTATTGTTGGCCTTAAAAAAAAAACTTAATGTTTGCTTTTTTCCTGTATATTTTTCTTCATTTAGTATGTTATTGTTTTATTCTCCTCTGCATTTTAGGTTTCACCATTACCCAATGTGCCTTTAAATACAGTTTTACCACTTAATTGAAGGTTCACATTCCAACCGTGGAAGAAATTGCAGCCAGCTTTAAGATTTTAAATGTTTTTGTGCAAAAAAACTTTTTATTCTGTAATTAATATTTATTTTATTTTATTTTATTTTATTTTACTTTTTATTTATTTATTTTTTTTTGAGACAGAGTCTCACTCTGTCACCCAGGCTGGAATGCAGTGGCACGATCTCGGCTCACAGCAACCTCTGCCTCCCGGGTTCAAGCAATTCTCCTGCCTTAGCCTCCTGAGTAGCTGGGATTACAGGTGCCCACTATCACGCCCGACTAATTTTTCTATTTTTTAGTAGAGACGGGGTTTTTTCTGTGTATTTTTGCTTATAATATATACTTATGAAAAAGTTGAATTGTTTTGCTTATATTTTTTGTTTACTTTTGAAAATTACACAGCATCTTTTGTATGTCAATAAATTGTGTTTCTGCTGTATTTTAATAGATATTTAGTCTGTAATACAGAATATCATGAGATTCAACAAACTGTAAATTTAATTAAGCAACCCTTTGTGGTTGAAGGGCCTAGTTTGGTGTCTGGCATTTAGTATACACTGCTAGCATCTCTGTAAAAGTGTGTGAACATTTTGGAAGCTTCAAGAAATACACTGTGTGAAATTGTCCTCTAGAACTTACACTGTATTAGCTGTATGTGAGATTGCTCATAACCCTCTATTATGTTAGGTACACTGTGTTACTCTTAAAAAAACTTTGCTATTCTTTCTAGTAAAAAAAATATTAAAATGTTTGAATGAGTTTCTTTGAGTACTGGTAAGGTTGGTTATTTTAAAGTTTTTTTTTGAAGATTATTCATGTATGTTAATTGACCTTCCATATCTGTTTATTTTAATATTATAATTTTTTTACAAAGTGTTTTATATTAGAGATCATATTCTTTTGTCTTGTATATTTGCTGTGTGTGTTTTTTCCCATAGTTTAACGTTTGGTGTTTAATTTTATTATGTCTTCATAGTTTTTGTTATTGGGATTCTAGCAGGTTAACTTTTTCTAATGCAGAAGTTTACATTTTTGAGGTAATTTACGCAAATGCTCTTTATTGTTTCTGCCTTTGCTGTGCAAAGAAAATCTTCATATTAATGCACTTTTTTTTAGTGCTTTGGAAGTTCATTTTTAAAAACCTTGTTTTTCTTTTTAATTTTAAAAGCATTAAAACTTACAAACAGGTTGCAGGAATAGTACAAAAGAACTCTTCCTTCCCTAAACCATTTGAGAGTAACTTACCAATATAATATGCTGTCACCCCTGAATACTTCAGAATTTCCCATAAAGAAGGATATTCTCCTGGGCATATACAATATACCATCAAAATAAGGAAATTAACAGCGATGCATTATTCCTGTCTGATCTTTGGAACCCATTCGTGTTTTTGTAGACATATTCTTTATAGCAAAAGGATCACAAACTGCATTTTGACTCTTTGGTCTTTTTATTTCTTTTTCTTTTTATTTTTGTACAGAGTCTCTCTCTGTCACCCAGGCTGGAGTGCATTGGCGCAATCTTGGCTCACTGCAGCCTCCACCTCCTGGGTTCTAGTGATTCTCGTGCCTCAGCCTCCCGAGTAACTGGGATTACAGGTGTGCACCACCACGTCCAGCTGATTTTTTTCTGCTTTTAGTAAAGACAGGCTCTTGCCATGTTGGCCCAGCTGGTCTCGAACTCCTGGCCTCAAGTGATCTGCCTGCCTCAGCCTCCCAAACTGTTGGCATTACAGGTCTGAGCCACCACGCCCAGTCCTCTTTGGTCTTTTTAAATCTCAAATAGTAACTCAGTCTTTCCCTGAGTTTCATAACTTTGATACTTCTGAATATTACAGGTCAGTTATTTTGTAGAATGACCTCCTATTTGGATTTGCCTGATGTTTCATCATGATTAAATGCAGTTATGTTTTTAGCAGGAGTATCACATATGTGATTCTGTGTTTTTTGTTTGCATCCTATCAGGTGGTACATGATTTCAGTTTTTCCTTGACCACTTGGTTAAGGTGTGTCTATCAGGTTTCTCCACTGTGAGGTTAATCTTTTTTCTCTTTATAGTCAGTATGGATTTTGTGGGGGAAGTACTTCTCATATAAACATCTTGTTCCTTGCACCTTTTCCTCACTAATTTTAGTATTCATTGATGTTTCTTGACCTAATTTATGACTAGGATTGATGGCAAGTAGTGATTTTCTAATTTCACCTTTTCTTTCACATTCATCAGTTGATGTTCCACTGTAAGGTGAAGCTTTCTTTACTCCCTGATTATTTGTATTAGTATGGACTTACGCTATTTTATTTTAATGGGTCATATTCCACTAATATCATTTATTTTGATGTACATACTGTCTCAGGTTTGCCTGGTGGGACCTCTTTAAGCCGGCTTCTGTGTATTTTGACCTATCATTTCAGAGAAGCATTTCTCTACTTCTGACACAACAGTATAATCTAGGCTCATCTTGTATTATTCCTGCTGTAGTTCTGAAATCACCATTTCTCTGAAGAGCCTTGATTCCGTTTAGGTGAGAATAATATTTAGAAGCCAAAGCGGGTGCTAGGTGTGGGTTATTGCTACTCTCAGTCAGCATGGCTAGGAAATTTGTGTGTGTGTGTGTGTGTGTGTATGTGTGTGTGTGTGTGTGTGTGTATTCCTACAGAGATACATATTTCTATAAATTCACATCGTATATTGTTTTTATATCTATGTAGAAAACTGTGGGCCAGGCGCGATGGCTCACACCTGTAATCCTAGCACTTTGGGAGGCCGAGGCCAGTGGGATGACTTGAGGTCCGGAGTTCGAAACCAGCCTGGCTAATGAAACCCCGTCTCTACTAAAAATACAAAAATTAGCCTGGCATGGTGGGGCACGCCTATAATCCCAGCTGCTTGGGAGGCTGAGGCATGATGAGAATCACTTGAGCCCTGGAGGCAGAGAGAGTGCAGTGAGCCAATATCACACCACTTCACTCCAGCCTGAATGACGGAGTGAGATTCTGTCTCAAAAGGAAAAAAAATGGGCTGGGCCCAGTGGCTCACGCCTCTAGTCCCAGAACGTTGGGAGGCTAAGGCAGGTGGATCATGAGGTCAGGAGTTCAAGACCAGCCTGGCCAAGATGGCGAAACCCCGTCTTTACTAAAAAATACAAAAATTAGTCAGGTGTGGTAGCAGGCACCTGTAATCCCAGCTATTCAGGAGGCTGAGGCAGGAGAATTGCTTGAACCCGGGAGGCGGAGGTTGCTGTGAGCCAAGATTGTGCCACTGCACCTCAGCCTGGGCGACAGAGCAAGACTCCATCTCAAAAAAAAAAAAAAAAATTAGCTAGGCATGGTGGTGGACGCCTGTAATCCCAGCTACTCAGGAAGCTGAGACAGGAGAATTGCTTGAACCTGGGAGTCGGAGGTTGCAGTGAACCGAGATTGTGCCACTGCACTCCAGCCTGGGTGACAGAATGAGACGCTGTCTCAAAAAAAAAGAGAACAAACTGTGAGGTCACAATACTTTTGATTCATTATGTGAATATACATACACACTCACATCTCTATTACTGTATCCATCTCTATATATTGAACTCCATATGCTCATATTAACTTTGCCAAATCCAACCCAACAAAACAGGGTTTCATTTTAATTTTTTCCCACGTATTTATGATGCTCAGACAGAAACCTGACTCTCACTATTTTTAATAGTTTACTTATTTGATCAATTTCTCCTGTTTTGACATACCTTCTGTTGCTGCTCCACCTAAGGCAGATGCTGTTCTAACCCAGTTCAGGGTTGCTGCTACTTTCCTGCATGCCAGTCCTTTTCACCCCTCTTGGGATTTGATATTCAGCCTCAGTTCACTGCTTCCACTTTTGTTGATCTTTTCACCTTGCTCTGAGATTGTCCTCACCCCTATCCCCAACCCCTTAGGGAAGCCAGCCTTACTCAGGCTCTTATACTAGTATTGGACTGCCCCCTCCAATATCCATGACCCCCTCATGGATAATTA
This sequence comes from Homo sapiens, assembly GCF_000001405.40. NCBI lineage: Eukaryota > Metazoa > Chordata > Mammalia > Primates > Hominidae > Homo > Homo sapiens. The sequence goes on along the minus strand of NT_187614.1, from coordinate 2,108,060 downwards.
CTATGCTTGAACTCACCTCATGGCTTTTGGGTCTCATTTTGTCACCCAGGCTGGAGTGCAGTGGTGCAGTTTTGGCTCACTACAGCTTCGACCTCTGGCTCAAGCAGTCCTTCCACTTTAGCCCTCTAAGTAGATGGGACTACAAGGCGCACCCATCCCACCCAGCTAAGTTTTCCGTATTATCTGTAGAGTTGAGATTTCATCATGTTGCCCAGGCTGGTCTTGAACTCCTGAGCTCAAGTGAACTGCCTGCTCTGGCCTCCCAAAATGCTAGGATTACAGGCATGAGCCACCACGCCTATGCTAGGATTACAGGCATGAGCCACCACGCCTATGCTAGGATTACGGGCGTGAGCCACCATGCCTAGCCCCATCTCATGGCTTTAAGACTAAAGTGTTGAAGCAGAAAAGGAGCGAGGGTAGACCAAAGAAGGAATTATTTAGATATAAATATTTTATTAGCCTAGAATTAATTTTAGAATATGGTAAGATACGTGCCCAACTTTCCCCTCCCACCTGGTTAGTCAACTTTTTCAACACTATTGCTGAATAATCTATGCTTTCCATTGTGATTTGAAATATTGTTTGAATCATTACTAAATTCTTGAATACTTGAGTGTGTTTCTGGACTTTTTATGTGTTCCACTGGTGTGTCTGTTTTTATCCTGGTGCCACACTATTTTAAATTATTATAGCTTTATATACATTTTAGTATATGGTAAGACAAATATTGTCATCTATTTTTCTAGATGAACATTAGGACTAATAAGAGCACAATTTAGACTACATTAGAGTTACAGTGAAATACTGTTTTAGGGATGAATATATTTTTACAGTATTGAATCCTTCCTTCCAGAAGCATGGTGTATCTGTTTATCAAGTTTATTTTTTTCTTCTTTCTATTTCTTTCCTTTTTATAGCTTTTCTTATATGCGATTGCTTTATGTTTGTTGGATTTTTGTTGTTGATGATTTGTTTTGTTCTACTTAGTGTTAGAATAGGCTCAGTGGCTCATGCCTATAGTCCTAGCACTTTGGGACGCCCAGGCAGGAGTATCGCTTGAGCCCAGAAGTTTGAGTCCAGCCTGGACAACAAGCGAGACCCTGTCTCTACAAAAAAGAATAAATTTAGCCAGGTGTGGGGAGGCACACGTGTCTGTAGTCCCAACTACTCAAGAGGCTGCGGTGGGAGGGTCCCTTGAGCCCAGAGGTTGAGGCTGCAGTGAACCGTGACTGTGCCCTGCACCCCCACCTGGGCAACAGAGCAAGACCCTGTCTCAAAAAAGAACAGCAAGCAAAGAAACACAAAACAAAAAAGAAAGTAAGTTAATGGACCGGGTGTGGTGGCTCACACCTATAATTTCAGTACTTTGGGAGGTTGAAGTGAGAGGATTGCTTGAGCCCAGGAGTACCAGACCAGCCTGGGCAACATTCTGAGACCCCACCTCTGCAAAAAGGAAAAACAATTAGCCGGGCATGGTGGTGCTCGCCTGTAGTCCCTCCCAACTACTCGAGAGGCTGAGGTGGGAGGATCTCTTGAGCCTGGGAGGTCAAGGCTGCAGTGAGCTATGATTGTGTGACTGTACTCCAGCCTAGGTAACAGAGTGAGACCCTGTTTCAAAAAAATAAAAAAAGTTAATAAGGTTTTGTTCATATAAATTCTTTATGCCTAATAATGGGGCATGCAATTCTGAAATGACAGGAATGATTGGAAAATGGGCTTGAAGACATCAGTCCTTAATGGATGGTAGGTAATAAAGGATAAGTTTGGGAACATTTATTTACTGGGCATTTACTATGGACCTACTTTGTATCAAGCATTCTGTTAGATACCAGGAATTCAAGGATAAATAAAATAGGGGGTTTCCTCCTCAAGTAGGAAGACAAGTCAATAAATGTATGAAAATTAAAATATATATTACATAATAATAAGGCTGAATGGAGTATTATGGGTAAATAATGAGAAATTATTCTTGTCTCAGGAATTGAGTAAGGCATACAAAGAGCTTCTAGGGCTTTGCAGAATAATTAGGCATTTGACCTTTGCAGAAAATGATCAACTAAAAATTCCAGACAGAGAAAGTGACGTAACCTAGGGTAGCAGGTGCAAAGGGAAGAGGTGGCAGGTAGGCATGTTCAGAGAATAAGAAATACTCCTATGTGGCTAGAACATTGTGGAATTTAGAAAAAAATGAAATTTTGTGAGTACTGGGAAAAAATTTACTAGAATATCTTTATTGTATATCTAAATAGCAGAGAATTCACTGTATTGACCTGTTAAATTTTCTACATGTCGTTAAATATATAATGGCCAGTTTTAAAAATATTTATTTCTTTATTTCAGTAGGCTTTTGGGGAACAGGTGGTGTTTGGTTACATGACTAAGTTCTTTAGTGGTGATTGCTGAGATTTCGGTGTACCCATCACCCAAGCAGCGTACACTGTGCCCAGTGTGTAGTCTTCTATCTCTCACCGCATTCCCATCCTTTCCCCCAAGTCCCCAAAGTTCATTGTGTATCATTCTGATCCCTTTGTGTTCTCATAGCTTAACTTCCTTTTATTTATTTCTTTGTTTGTTTGGTTTTTTTTTTTTTTTTTTTTGAGACAGAGTCTTGCTCTGTCACCCAAGCTGTAGTGCAGTGGTTCACTCTTGGCTCACTGCAACTTCTACCTCCTGGGTTTAAGCAATTCTCATGCCTCGGCCTCCCAAGCCCAAGTAGCTGGGATTACAGGCATGCATCACCACTCCCGAATAGTTTTTTGTATTTTTAGTAGAGACAGGTTTTCGCCACGTTGATCAGGCTGGGCTTGAACTCCTGGCCTCAAGTGATCTGCCCACCTCGGCTGCCTCCCAAAGTTCTGGGATTACAGGTGTGAGCCAGTGCACCTGGTCTATTTATGTTTTATAGAAACAGGATCTCCCTATGTTGCCCAGGGTGGTCTCTAACTCTTGGTCTCAAGGAATCCTCCTATCTCAGCCTCTCAAAGTGCAGTCGTGAGCCAGCATCCCTGGCCAGTGGCCAGTTTTTGTAAAATTTAAATCATTGTATCCTATTTTTATATTTTTGACTGCTAATATTTTCTTCTGTAACATGCGTTAACTCATCATTTCACTGACATGTTTTGTTAAAATTACCTTTTAATAAGTTTTCAGAAATGTGAAGATTGTGGCAGCAAAGGGATTTGTGAACTTTTTTGGGGTAGAAGCTTGTATTCTTCAGAGTCAAGGAAGCATTCATTTTAGAAAGCTACAGTTTGCATAGAGAGTAGTTAGCAGATGATGACTATATCATATGTATATGTGTGTGTGTGTGTGTGTGTGTGTATATATATATATATGCTTTTTTAATAGTCCTTCTTTATTGGATAGCCCTGAAGTAAAGATTGTTTATAAGCATAGGAAGGATGATCATAGGCCAGAGAAACAAACAAAAACATCAAAAAACATGATGTCATCTAATTGTAAGATTAAACCTAATGGAAGGCTTAGAAATTGCTAACCTGTCTCCCCCTTATTTTTTTCCAAAAGTAATAGTAGTGGATAGCAATTAAGTTTTTATCAGTATATTTAGCGTCTGTGTAAAATATTTTTTTTTTTTTTTTGAGACGGAGTCTCGCTCTGTGGCCCATGCTGGAGTGCAGTGGCTCAATCTCGGCTCACTGCAATCTCCACCTCCCCAGGTTCAAGCGATTCTCCTGCCTCAACCTCCCAAGTAGCTGGGACTACAGGCCAGGATGGTCTTGATCTCCTGACCTCGTGATCCACCCACATTGGCCTCCCAAAGTGTTTGGATTACAGGCGTGAGCCACCGCGCCTGGCCAGGACTTTTTTTTTTTTTTTGAGATGGAGTCTCGTTCTGTCACCCAGGCTGGAGTGCGGTGCTAAGATCTTGGCTTACTGCAACCTCCGCCTCCCAGGTTCAAGCGATTCTCCTGCCTCAGCCCCCAAGTAGCTGGGATTACAGGCATCCACTACCACACCCAGCTAATTTTTTATTTTTTTAAGGCAGATTCTCACTCCATCACTCGGGTTGGAGTGCAGTGGTGTGATCTTGGCCCAGTGCACCCTCTCTGCCTCCCAGGTTTAAGTGATTCTTGTCATGCCTCAGCCTCCTGAGTAGCTGGGATTATAGGCGGGACCACCATGCCCGGCTAACTTTTGTATTTTTAGTAGAGATGGGGTTTTGCTATGTTGGCCAGGCTGGGCTCGAACTCCTGACCTCAAGTGATCCAGTGGCCTTAGTCTCCCAAAATGCTGGGTTTACAGGTGTAAGCCACTGCACCTGGCCAAGTAAAAGATATTTTTGAAAGCACTAAATATTCTTTATGGGTTTTAGGACTCCCAAAAATGAGGTTTCAGGTAAATAGGGAAGCTAAACATTTCATCTATCTGCCCATTGATCTCGTCCTCATTTCTGGCATGTCCTCTTATATGTACCAGGTCTGTATGGTGGATAGACGTACATCAATCGGTGATTGTTAAAAAATAATATGTGCAAGGATTTTCGAGGTACAGTGAATGTCCACCTAACCTTTAACAGGACTAAGGAAAGAGGGAGGAGGTATCTTAGAAAAGGTCGCAGTTTTTCCTAAGAGTAAGAAACCTCCAGGTGCTGGCTGTGAAGAGAGGAGAAAGGAAGGAACACATGAGTGGCTGTTAATTTTACAGATTGAAGGAGCAAAAGCTTTGAAGTGGAAAATAACAAGGAGAGTGGTGAGCAGGGGGAGGGATTTGGGATGGTGGCAGGGAGAAGGGTGGTATTGTTAGGACCCTGAATGTGCCAGAATGCTGAGAAGGACTGTCAAGGGTCAGATGTTCAGGCACCTCATGCATCATGTTAAGGAGCCTAAAGTTTATCCCTAAAGTTATTGAAGGGTTTTTATGTTCAGAAAGGATATGCTTAGGTCTGTCATTCTAATGGATCAGGGGAAGGAGGATTGGGAGATGGAAGATAGACGAGACAAGAGACCTAGAATCTATTTAGACTCTGACAGTGTCCCAGACACTGGAATGAGGATCTGAAGTAGTAGGAACAACGGGACAGAGACATTCGGTAATATGTAAGAGCTTCAGCTGGTGTATGTAATATGTAAGAGCCTGGTGATCAGTTTAATGTGACAGAGAAGAGGGAGGAAGAAATATCAGAATGGGATTTCCATTTCAAGAATATAAGTACTAGGCTCATCACCACCACATGAGATAGAAAACATACACACACACACACACACACACACACACACACACACACACACACACACACACACAGTGAGTTAATTGAAACATTTCTTAGAATGAAGATATAGACACTAAGTCTTAAATTCCTGGCTTACGTTCATGGAACATATTACCCTGCTTGTAAAACAAGTCTTGTGTCTACAAATTGTTCACTGGCATATATTAACAAGATGATAATAAGGCCCCCAGATATTCACATTTGTACGAAAGCATTGAATATATTTGCATTTGCCTATACCTAATAAATGTTTATTTTTGCTTGGCACTTTATACTAGTTACTTAGATGAGTGCTTAAATTAATTTTTCTTTTCTGGAGAATGGAATCATTTTGGAAAGCTAAATCTTGCAGTTCTATCGGTAAAAAAATTATTTTGCTCTTTTTTTATACATCAGCTGATTCTCATTTTGAAATTTCCTATTTGACTTCTCTCTGTTGTCTTTGCGTGCTCTCTCTCTCCAGCCCGCTCTCCCCAACCCTAGTTACACATTCTCTCACATTTGGTATTCTCTTTTTCTCAGGAATAGTAAACTATTATTCATTATATTTGTTTCTTGTGGTCTCTCCTCCCCTTCCCCTCCCCTCTTCTTTTTTTCCAACATGGTCTTACTGTTCCCCAGGCTGGAGTGCAGTGGTGCAATTACAGCTCACTGTAGCTTCGACCTCCCAGCCTCAAGTGATCCTCCCACCTCAGCCTCCTGAGTAGCTGGGACTACAGGCATGCACCATTCATGTCTGGCTACTTTTGTTTTTATTTTTTGTAGAGATGGGATCTCACTATGTTGCCTAGGCTGGTCTTGAACTCCTGGATTCAGACAACCACCCTGCCCTGACCTCCCAAAGTGTTGGAATTACAAGCTTGAGCCACCATGCCTGGCCTCTTTGTGTCTTTTGTGCTTGTCAACTTTATATATTATTTGCTTTCTTACTCTCAACAATTCCAAGACTCAAAGGCCTATTTATTTGATAAGGACTGTGGAAGAATGGCACTATAATATCCCTCATTGTTATTTCTTTTCTCTTAGCTACCAAAGGCAGCAAACATTCCAATCTAAACTTTTGGAAATGGGAGTGTATAGTAGCTAACTTAAAATTGTTCATGAGATTAAAATCTATAATCTCACTTACCAACATTACCTATCTCAGTGCTTTTCTTTTTGTAATATTTATTTATTTAGAGACAGTCTTATTAGTCCATCACCCCAGGGTGGACTGCAGTGGACGATTATGGTTCACGATAGCCTCAAACTCCTGGCCTCAATCAATCCGTCCTCCCACCTCAGGCTCCCAAGTAGCTAGGAGTACAGGTGCCACCACCACACCCAGTTTTTTTTTTTAAATATTGATAGAATTGGTAGAGAGACAGCGTCTTGCTATATAACCCAGGCTGGTCATGAACTCCTGGCCTCAAGTTATCCTTCCAACTCAGCCTCCCAAAATGCTGGTATTACACTCAGCCACTATGCCTGGCCCTATCTCAGTATTTTTTTTTTAATGTTCATTTGGCTTCTGGAGTACTCTAGATGATAGGTATTTATATAATATAATCTGATAAGAAATTGATTAGGAGATTTTACAAAAACTGATACTTAAGGGGAGGATACATTGCTGGGAAACATGGTATCAAAATAAGACAGGTCAAATTTGGGAAATCTCTGATTCTACAGGTTACCCTACAGGTAACTGACTCAATGTCTCAGTCCTAAATTTCCAGGAGAGCCATTCTGATGTAAGCACCTGGATTTAGAAGCTGTTTTCACCTAGACAAACATGAGTACCTAGGCACCATTCCATTATTAGAAATTGAGCATAGATGCTAATTTCTAGAAAAGAGAGCTGGGTTGTCCAGGTGGGCAAGAAGTTGCAGTTTTGATCAGGCTGCTGCTGCTGGTAATTTTTTTCCAGTTACAAAGTTCCAGGATACACAGTTTGCCTCTTTCTCCCCTACCCCCAGCTGGCCCCCCCATTATAGGTCAAATTTATTTTTTTTTTAAAGTTGATAGCATTGACGTATCCTGGAATTGTGACCATTTAAATTCCCAGATAATACACCATGTGATCATCTTTTTATAGGGTTATGTCAAGAACCTTTTGTATGTACCACCTCTTCCCCACAGTGATGAAGAAACAAAGAATGCATGTTAGTTGCAAAAAGTCTGAGTGAAGTAGACTCCTAGATTAACGTGTCTTATGTGACACTAGGAGCATATAGATCATTTTTATGGGCATATAAGTAACCGTGATGATTAATGTTTACAAATTGGTTTTAATTTTTTGAAACTGTTGTTGTGCCATGTAATCCATTATGGTTTTCTTCACACAAACATTTAAATGGAGTTTTTTCCTTTATCTAAACTCTTAACCAAAAAATTTTTTTCTTTTGTTTTGAGATGGAGTCTCACTCTGTTGCCCAGGCTGGAGTGCAGTGGTGCAATCTTGGCTCACTACAACCTCCTCCCCGCGAGTTCAAGCCACTCTCCTGTCTCAGCCTCCCGAGTAGCTAGGATTATAGGTGTCTACCACCATACTCAGCTAATTTTTTTTTTGTATTTTTAGTAGAGGCGGGGTTTCACCATGTTGGCCAGGCTGGTCTCGAATTCCTGATATCAGGTGATTTGCCCACCTTGGCCTCTGAAAGTGCTGGGATTACAGGTGCGAGCCGCTGTGCTGGCATTGATCGATTTCTTTTATACCTGATATAAAGAACAGCTTTGGGGCCTATTTCCAACTTTATTCCACTGTTTTCTAATTTGTTTGCTTCTGCTTTTTAAAGCTTTAATACTTACTCTACTTATTATGACATTGTTTTGTTTATTAAGAATTTATTTCTGAACCAGGCGCAGTGGCTCACGCCTGTAATCCCAGCACTTTGAGAGGCCAAGATGGGCGGATCACAAGGTCAGGAGATCGAGACCATCCTGGCTAACATGGTGAAACTCTGTCTCTACTAAAAATACAAAAAAATTAGCCAGGCATAGTGGTGGGTGCCTATAGTCCCAGCTACTTGGGAGGCTGAGGCAGGAGAATGGTGTGAACCCAGGAGGCGGAGCTTGCAGTGAGCCGAGATCACACCACTGCACTCCAGCCTGAGCCACAAAGAGAGACTCCATCTCAAAAAAAAAAAAAAGAATTTATTTCTGAAATTGTCAAATATATAAAACAGTAAACAACAATATAACAAACACCCTGCGTACATTCATCAACCGATTCTAAAACATGAACAGCTCATAGCCAATTCTTCATACACCCCCTGTAGTAGTTTCCTAGGGCTGCTGTAACAAAATATCACAAACTGGGTGGCTTAAAGCAGCAGAAATTTCTTCTCACGATTAAGGAGGCTACAAGTCTGAAGTCAAGATATCAGCTGGGTTGCATCCTTCTGAGAACTCTTAAGGGAAATCTCTTCCATGCCTCCTAGCTTCTGGTGATGGGTGTCAATGATTGGCACTTTTTTTTTTTTTTTTAATCACCCTAATCTCTGCTTCTGTCTTCACATTCCATTCTTCCTTTGTCTCTGTCTCCATATGGCCATCTTCTTATTAGGAGATCAGTCATATTGGATTAGGGGCCTGCCCTACTCCATCATGTGACCTCATCCTAATTACATTTGCAATGATCGTTTTTCCAAATGAAGTTACTCTCTAAGATACTGGGGGTTAAGGACTTCACATACATTTCTTGGGGACCACAATTCAACCCATAGCAGACTGCCTTCTGGTCCCCCCAGAATTTGTGTTCTTTCCACATACAGAATAGATGTGCTGTATCCCAGTATCCCCCAAAAGTGTTAATCTATTTTGATGTAAACTCTATAAGTAAGTCTCACATCTTACCTGAATAGAATAAACTCAGAAAGTCCCAAATCTCAACTTCTGAATCATCTGAATTGGCGATGGGTTAAGACGTTGGTTAATCCTGAAGCAAAATTTCTATCTCTGCTGGGCATGGTGGCTCACGCCTGTAATCTCAGCACTTTAGGAGGCTGAGGCAGGCAGCTTACCTGAGGTCAGGAGTTGAAGACCAGCCTGGCTAACACAGTAAAACCCTGTCTCTACTAAAAATACAAAAAGTAGCCGGGTGTGGTGGCACATGCCTGTAGTCCCAGCTACTCGGGAGGCTGAGGCAGGAGAGCTGCTTGAACCTGGGAGGCAGAGGTTGCAGTGAGCTGAGATTGCGCCATTGCACTCCAGCCTGGGTGGCCAGAGTGAGACTCTGTCTTAAAAAAAAGAGAAAAAAAAATCCTTCTATTTCTAAACCTGTGATACATAGAAAACAAGTTATCTGTTTCTGAGATGCAATGGTGGGACAGGCAGAGAAGCATTCCCATTCCAAAAGAGATAAATTGGAAGGAAAAAGGGCTTAAAGCAGGTTTGTAAGTCTGCAGGACTAATTCCATTCAGTTCTGAGACTTGAAAATAGTTCTCTGTGGCTTGATATTCTGTTCTCTAGGCCCACTGGCATGGCCTTACCCCTTGGTCCTGGGTTGGCAGCCTGCCCTTTTTTTTTTTCTTATGACTACTTAGTTCCTGTTTTGTTTTGTTTTGTTTTTCTACCTTTTTAATCTTAAGTACAGATGCTTCTTAAGTTATGAGCAGATTACATTCTGGTAAGGCAAGAGGATTATTTGAGCCCAGGATTTTGAGGCTTTAGTGCGTGATTATTGCACCTGTGAACAGCCACTTCACTGCAGCCTAGGCAATATAGTGAGACCCCATCTCTTTAAAAAAAGAAAAGAAAGAAATATACCTTATTTATCTAACACCTTGGCTTAGCCTAGCCTACATTAAACATGCTCAGAACACTTACATTAGCCTACAGTTGGGAAAAAATCATCTGGCTACATGGTTCACTGGTCAAGCAAGCATTGGTTGTTTAGTCTCATGATGGTGTGGCTGACTGGGAGTTGTGTCTTGCTGCCGCTGCCCTTTTATTTTATTTTTGAGATAGGGTCTTGCTCTGTCACCCTGTCTGGAGTGCAGTGGCACTGTCATGGTCACTGCAACATCAACCTCCCAGGTTCAAGTGATCCTCCCTGCTCAGCCTCACAAGCAGCAGGGACTACTGCCACATTGTCAGGGGAAATTCAGCCCATGATATTTCACATGAGTTCTTTTCTATTTTCCCTAAATGTCAGCCGGTCTGAGAAATAAAGGGAAACAGTACAAAAGAGAGAAATTTTAAAGCTGGGTGTCCGGGGGAGACATCCGATGTCGGCAGGTTCCGTGATGCCCCCTAAGCTGCAAAACCAGCAAGTTGTTATGAGTGACTTTCAAAAGGGGAGGGAGTGTACGAATAAGGTGTGGGTCACAGACATCACATGCTTCACAAGGTAATACAATATCACAAGGCAAATGGAGGCAGGGCGAGATCAGAGGACCGGGGTGAAATTAAAATTGCTAATGAAGTTTCGGGCACACATTGTCATTGATAACATCTTATCAGGAGACGGTTTGAGAGCAGACAACCAGTCTGACCAAAATTTATAAGGCGGGAATTTCCTTGTCCTAATAAGCCTGGGAGCGCTGCGGAAGACTGGGGCTTATTTCATCCCTTATCAACAACAATAAAAGACAAACGTTCCCAAAACGGCCATTTTAGAGACCCCCCCCTTAGGAATGCATTCTCTTTCTCAGGGATGCTCCTTGCTGAGAAAAAGAATTCAGCAATATTTCTCCTATTTGCTTTTGAAAGAAGAGAAATATGGCTCTCTTCCGCCCGGCCCACAGGCCGCCAGACTTTAAGGTTATCTCCTTTGTTCCCTGAACATCGCTGTTATCCTGTTCTTTTTTCAAGGTGCCCAGATTTCATACAGTTCAAACACACGTGCTCTACCAACAATTTGTGCAGTTAACACAACCATCACAGGGTCCTGAGGCAACATTCATCCTCAGTTTACGAAGATGACAGGATTAAGAGATTAAGTAAAGACAGGCATAGGAAATCACAAGAGTATTGATTGGGGAAGTGATAAATGTCCATTAAATCTTCACAATTTATGTTCAGAGATTGCAGTAAAGACAGGCGTAAGAAATTATAAAAGTATTAATTTGGGGAACTAATAAATGTCCATGAAATCTTCACAATTTATGTTCTTCTGCCATGGCTTCAGCCGGTCCCTCCGTTCGGGGTCCCTGAATTCCCGCAACAACATGCCATCATGCCTAAGTTTTTTCTTGTTTGCAGTGACGGGTTATGTTGCCCAGGCTGGTGTCAAACTCCTGGGCTCAAGCTATCCTCCTGCTTCAGTCTCCCAAAGTGCTGGGAAGTACAGGTGTTTGGCTCACTGGCCTGGCCTTCTTTATGATTTTTAAAACGATTTTTCTTGGGTTATTTTCTTAGTGGTTGTTGTAGGGCTTACTATCTTTATCTTGCTAGACTGTACTTAATTGTAGTAAGATGTATAAGCATATCTTTTTTTTCTTAAGCATATCTCATTTTATTGGGCTCCTATTTATTGTACTTGACAGGAATTGCATGGTTTTTTTTTTTTTTTTTACCAAATTGAAGGTTTGCGGCAACCCTGGAGTAAGCAAGTCTATCAGTTTCATTTTTCCAACAGCATGTGCTCACTTAGTGGCTCTTTGTCCCTTTTTAAAATTCTCATAATATTTCACACATTTTCATTATTATATCTGTTATGGTTATGTATGATCAGTGACCTTTGATATTACTATGAGGTGAAGTTAATAAATGTTGTAAGTGTTCTGACTGCTGTACTAGCTGGCTGTTCCCTCATCTCTCTCTACTCTCCTCAGGCCTCCCTATTCCTTAAGACACAGCAATATTGAATGTAGGCCAATTAGTAACCCTTTGACAATGCACATAGTCACCTAGGAGCTCTGATGAAGATGTATAAGAAAATGTTCTTTTCGTGCCTGCTAACACAACATCCATCCTGCAGTCCGTGGATCCAGGAGACAATTTGATATAAAAGTCTTATTATTTAAGAAATACATTTTGAAAGGCTATGGCTGCTATATAGAGGGTGATTCCTCTGATGGATCTGGGCAAAGTACATTGAAAACTTTCTGGAAAGAATTCACCATTCTAGGTACCATTAAGAACATTTGTGTTTTATGGGAGGAGGTCAAAATATCAACATGAACGGGAATTTGAAAAGAAGTTGATTCTGTCCTTCATGGATGACTGAGAGATTCAAGACTTTGATGGAGGCTGCAGATGTGGTGGCCAGTAGCAAGAGAGCTAGAATTAGAAGTGGAGCCTGAAGATGTGACTGAATTGCTGCAATCTCATGGTCAAACTTGAAAGAATGTCTTCTCATAGATGAACAAAGAAAGTGCTTTCCTGAGATGGAATCTATTTCCTGTGAAGATGGTGTAAACATTGTTGAAATGACAACAAAGGATGTAGAATATGCCCTATACTTAGTTGATAAAGTGGCAGCAAGGTTTCAGAGAATTGGCCCCAATTTTGAAGAGAGTTTTACTGTAGGTAAAATGCTGTCAAACAGCAGCACATGCTACAGAGCAGTGTTTTATGAAAGGAAGAGTCAATTGATGTAGCCACTTTTATTGTTATTTTAAAAAAGGGCTGGAAGTTCATTAATCACAACCTTTTCAAAGACAGTAGGATTGCTTGAAGCCAGGAGTTTGAGACCACCCAGGGCAACAAAGCAAGACCTTGTCTCTACTAAAAACAAAACAAAACAAAACAAAAACAGTGAAGTGAAAGTGCCACAACCACCACCTCAGTGAGTCAGAAGCCATCAACACTGAGGCAGGACTTTTTACCTGCAAAAAGATAAAGACTTGCAGAAAGCAGTTTTCTCCTGTAAAGCTCCATTGCCCTCTTCCCCCTTTTGCTGTTATTAGAATAAACATTATATATGAAATCACGCCACTGCACTCTAGCCTGGGCAGCAGAGTGAGACTCCTGTCTCAAAAAAAAAAAAAAAAAAAAAACCCAGGCTGGGTGCAGTGGCTCATGCCTGTAATCTCAGCACTTTGGGAGGCCGAGGTGGGAGGATCACGGGGACAGGAGATCGAGGCCATCTTGGCTAACATGGTGAAACCCTGTCTCTACTAAAAATACAAAAAAAAAAAAAAAAAAAATAGCCGGGCATGGTGGTGGCGCCTGTAGTCCCAGCTACTCGGGAGGCTGAGGCAGGAGAATGGTGTGAACCCGGGAGGCAGAGCTTGCAGTAAGCTGAGATGGTGCCATTGCACTCCAGCCTGAGGGACAAAGCAAAACTCCGTCTCAAAAAAAAAAAAAAAAAGGAAGCAAGCTGGGTATGTGCGTTTAGAGGTGCTGTACATTTTCAGCATTATAAATGAATAGAGATGAGTGGCAGTAGTTTTTTTGGTCCATAGATTTTTGGTATCTTAACTAGTTTTGGATCTCTTCCACTAAAGGGATTGCCTGTTCAACGTTGTTAGGAATGTACGTACTGAAGGCAAATTGCCTGGGTTTGAATTTTGTTCTGTCCCTTGCACCCTGCCTGGTTTCAAATCCTAGCTCTGCTTATTAAGTTCTTTTAAGGTGATGATCTTTGAGCAAATGTCTTAGGTTCTGCTTTCCCAGTAAATGGATACAATAGTTGCTACCTTGTGAAAGATTCATGTAATTGACCAGCGTTTACCAAGTAGCATCAGTGTTTAGTTTCAGTCATTGGTGATTCTGCAGTTGGACTGTGAGGGGGTATTGGGGTGGGGGGTGGTGTGTGTGTAGCACTTAATTGCAGGCAGGAAGGAAAAGATACTTTTGATAACCGACAGGCAGCTTTTCTCTGCTTTTGTGTCAAAAGGGAGGAAGGGAGTTTGGAGAGGGAAATGAATTCTCTGTAACACTAAGCTCTCTTCCTCAAAACCAGAGGTAGATAGAATGTGTAATAAATTTACAGAATTTCTAGACTGAAACAGTCTGATTTTTTAAAATTTATCTTTATTTTTTCAGGTTGAGACTGAGCTAAAGTTAATCTGCGGCGATGTTCTGGATGCACTGGACAAACACCTCATTCCAGCAGCTACCACTGGCAAGTCCAAGGTTTTCTATTATGAAATGTAGGTTCTATACTAGAAAGGAAAATGTAAGATTAAAAGTTGGCCTTTTTAGAATCATGACTTTCTTCTATGTAGGTTTCCAACTTTTATTTACAAATAATTGTTTAATGTTAGAAGGATAGTTGATGTTGGAATAAAAAGATGGTCAGGCTATTATAAAAATGCATTAGCTTTTGCTTTACTTATTTATATTGTTTTGCTTTCATGGGACCTATCTCATTCCCCTCCCCTAAATGGCCACATATTGCACAGTGCTGGCTGAATGTTTCATGTAGAAATTTTATTTTATGATTAATACACTTGTGCCATTTCTTGGAACCACTTGCTTGTTTAATTCTAGTCTATCAAGCGATAGTTTTGCTGATATTTAGAGGCTCCTCAGTTAATCTCTGTGGGATTTTTGGTTACATTTAATAAGGAAAATAGTATGAAATGTCTAAGAAAAAAATGAAATGAAGCCAAATATTCCTGAGTGTTTAAAATTATTGAAGTACACTTGTTAATTGTTACGTATATTTTTTGTCACATATTTTATATTATATAGAACAATTTTAGCTCTTTTACTTTAAAAATCATTGTTCCTGGTTTAATTTTTTTTTTTAATTTTGCTGTAGGAAAGGGGTCTACCACAGGTATCTGGCAGAATTTGCCACAGGAAATGACAGGAAGGAGGTGGCAGAGAACAGCTTGGTGGCTTACAAAGCTGCTAGTGATATTGCAGTAAGAGAACTTTCACCAATGCATCCCATTCATTTATGTCTTGCTCTCAATTTTTCCATATTCTCCTGTGAAATTCTGAATTTCCCTGACCCTGCCTTCAGGTAAGATGTGGGGAAGAACACAAGCTGTCAGTGTGAAAGTGAAGAAGGATAGCCATTTGAGTGTTCCGTCTTGTTTCTTGGGACTGCCTTTGTAGGCCTGGCTGCGTAGTAATTCCTAGGCTCTTAGTTGAAGCTGCTTTGTATTAAAACAGACCTATCTCAACCCAGTAGCTTAGCAGTCAGGATAATTATTTTGATGTGGCATATTGTTGTTGTTAGTAGACTGAAAAGAAATCTAACATGTTAATATAACTAGAGGAAGGAAATGAGAGAAAATTATAATAGAATTATCTTAATTTTTGTATATTAGTGTTCAGTCTTTGTGGGCATGTTTTTAATAGTTATTCTCCTAGCAAACATCATTTTATATTTTCTGTTTTAGCATAAACAAGTTTCATTCTTACTGATGTGTGTTAAATTGTTCCCCCTTTTATACTTCAGCTTGTTCCCAGTTTTTGATAATGTAGATACAAATTTAAGGAATATTTATATGTATATAACTTTTTACTTTTAAAAAGTTGTGACAAAATATACATAAAGTTTATCATTATAGCCATTTTGAAATGTACAGTTCAGTGGCACTACGTACATCAATAGTGTTGTGTAAACACCACCACTATGTGAAAACTTTTTCTTCACTCACACAAAACAAACTATAGCCATTAAACAATAACTCTTCATTTCCCCCTCCCCAGCTGCCAGTAACCTCTATTTTACTTTGTCCCTATGAATTGGCCCATTTTAGATACCTCATAGAAGAGGGATCATATAATATTTGTGCCTTGTGGCTGTCTTTATTTCAGTTAGCATAATGCTTTCAATGTTTTGTTAATATTAAGCGTGGATCAGAGCTTCAGTCCTTTTTATGACTGAATAATAATCCATTTTATGTATTTTTCACACATCGTTTGGCCATTGAACTTTTGATGGACAGTGAGTTTCTTTTCACCTTTTCCTATTGTGTGACTAATGGTGCTATGAACATTGGTGCACTATTTGCTTGAGTTCTTGTTTCAATTCCACCTGGGAGTGGAAGTGGAACAGATAATTACTTTCTTTTAAGACACAGGATCTTATTCTGTCCTTGCAGTGGTGCAATCATAGCTCACTGCAGCCTTAACTTCCTGGACTCAGGTGATTCTCCTGCCTGAGCCTCCCAAGTAGCTGGCACTAGAGGCTCGTGCCACCATGCCTGGCTCATTTTTAATTTTTTTTTGTAGAGGCAGGGTCTCGCTATGTTGTCTAGGCTGGTCTTGAACTCCTGGCCCAAAGTGATCCTCCTGCCTCAGCCTCCCAAAATGCTGGCACTACAGGTATGAGCCACTGCACCTGGCCTTTTTGCCCATTTTTGAATTTGTTTTTTTGTTTGAGTGTTTGGAGTTCTTTATCTATCCCAGATAGTAATCTCTTTGTGAGTATTTTCTCCTGTTTGGTAGGCTGTCATTTTGCTTTGTTGATATTGCTTTTTGTTTTTTTCTTTTTGAGATGGAGTCTCACTCTGTCTCCCAGGCTGGAGTGCAGTGGTGCGATCTCGGCTCACTGCAACCTCTGCCTCCTGGGTTCAAGCGATTCTTCTGCCTCAGCCTCCCAAGTAGCTGGTACTACAGGTGCGTGCCACCTCACCTGGCTGATTTTTTTTTTTTTGTATTTTTAGTAGATGGGGTTTCACTGTGTTGGCCAGGCTGGTCTCGAACTCCTGGACTGAAGCTATCAGCTTGACCTCACCTCCCAAAGTGCTGGGATTATAGGCATGAGCCACTGCACCTGGCCAAGAAGAAAAATTATCTCTGTTTGCCCATTGATTTTCTATGTAGAGAACCATAAAGATTCTACAAAAAATTGTTAGAGCAAATAAACCAATTCAGCAAAGCGCAAAAATCAGTTGCATTTATATACGATAGCAATAAACAGTCCAGAGAAAAGAAAATCATTGTAATAGCATCAAAAAGAATAAGGCACTTTACAATAAATTTATCCAAGAAGGTGAAAGACTCACACACTGAAAATGATAAAACCTTGCTGAAAGTAATTAAAGAAGACATAAATAAATGAAAGACATCCTATGTTTATGAAGGAAGACTTAATATTATTATGATGTGTCAAGACTATCCAAAGCAATCTACAGATTCAATGTAATCGTTCTGAATATTCCAATGGCATGTTTGATTTTCTTTCTGAAATAGAAAACTCGTTCTAAACCTCATAGGGAATTTCAAGGCACCCTCCCTGAATAATCAAAACAATTGTGAAAAAGAAGAAGATTTGGAGAACTTGGCCGGGGGTAGTGGCTCACGCCTGTAATCCCAGCACTTTGGGAGGCCAAGGCAGGTGGATCACAAGGTCAGGAGATCGAGACCATCCTGGCTAACACAGTGAAACCTCGTTTCTACTAAAAATACAAAAAAATTTGCCAGGCGTGGTGGTGGGCACCTGTAGTCCCAGCTAGTCAGGAGGCTGAGGCAGGAGAATGGCGTGAACCCGGGAGGCAGAGCTTTCAGTGAGCTGAGATCATGCCACTGCACTCTACCTGGGCAACAGAGTGAGACTCCTGTCTCAAAAAAACAAAACAGGCTGGGTGCAGTGGCTCACACCTGTAATCCCAGCACTTTGGGCGGCCCAGGTGGGTGCATCTCTTGAGGTCAGGAGTTCGAGACCAGCCTGGCCAACATGGTGAAACTCCATCTCTATTACAAATACAAAATAGCTGGGCATGGTGGCGTGCACCTGTAATTCCAGCTACTCGGGAGGCTGAGGCAGGAGAGTCACTTGAACCCAGGAGGCAGAGGTTGTAGTGAGCCAAGATCACGCCGCTGCATTCCAGCCTGGGTGACAGAGTGAGACTCTGTTTCAAAAAAAAAAAAAAAGGAAAAGAAAAACCAAAAACTGTGATACTGGCATAAGGACAGATATCTAGATCAATGGGGTGAAATAGAGGGCCCAGAAACAAACCCTCACGTCAGTGGTCAGTTGAGTTTTGAAAAGGGTGCCAAGATGTGCTGGGCACAGTGGCTCACACCAGTAATCCTAATACTTTGGGAGGCTGAGGCAGGAGGATCACTTGTGGTCAGGAGTTTGAGACCACCCTGGCCAATATGGCAAAACCTTGTCTTTACCAAAAATACAAAAATTAGCCAGGCGTGGCGGCGCATGCCTGTAATCCTAGATACTCGAGAAGCTGAGGCACGAGAATCACTTGAAGCTGGAAGGTTCAAGTTGCAGTGAGCCGAGATTATTCCACTGCACTCCAGCCTGGGTGACAGAGTGAGACTCTTGAGAAAGAAAGAGAGAGAGTTGAGGTTGCAGTGAGCCAAGATCACTCCACTGTACTTCAGCCCGGGTGACAAAGTGAGACGAGAGAGAGAGAGAGAGAGATAGAAAGACAGAGAAAGAGAGAAGGAAAGAAGGAAGGGAGGGAGGGAGGAAATAGACAGAGAAAAGAAAAGAAAGAAAGGAAAGAGAGATGTGCCAAGACCATTTAATGGGGGGAAAAACAATCTTTTCAATAAACAGTGCTGAGAAAACTGAGTATATGTAAAAAAATGAAGTAGGACTCTTACCATACACCATATATAAATTTAACTCAAAATGGATCAAAAACATAGGAGCTAAAATCATGAAACTCTTAGAAGAAAACATAGGGGAAACCCTTGAAAACATGGGATTCAGCAATGTTTTCTTGGATATAACACCCAAAGCACAGGCAACACAAGAAAATAGATAAATTGATCTTCATCAGTTGAAGAACTTTCATCAAAAAACACTATGAAGGGAGTGACAAGAGGCCAGGTGTGGTGGCTCATGCCTGTAAATCCCAGCATTTTGGAATGCCAAGGTGGGAAGATCAGTTGTTCCCAGGAGTTTTGAGACCAGCCTGGGCAACACAGGGAGACCCCCATCTCTATAAATAAAAAAAAATAAAAAATAAAAAATTAGCTGGGCATGGTGGCATGTGCCTGTAGTCCCAGCTACTTGGGAGGCTGAGGTGGGAGGACCACTTGAGCCCAAGAGGTCGAGGCTGCAGTGAGCCATGATTACACCACCTCACTCCAACATGGGTGACAGAGTGAGACCCTATCTCAAAAGAAAAGACCAAAAAAAGTGTGAAAAGACAACTGACAGAATGAGAGAAGATATTTGCAAATTGTATGTATAATGAGGGATTAATATCTAGAACATATTAAAAAAACTCCTACAACTCAACAATTACAAAAACAAGGAAGCCAATTCAAAACTGGGCAAAAGGCTTAGACATTTCCCCAAAGAAGACAAGCACACATGAAAAGAAGCTCCACATCACTGATCACACCAGGGCGGTGGCTCATGGTGGAGGGAGAATGGTTTGAATCCAGGAATTTGAGACCAGCTTGGGCAACATAGTGAGATCCCATCTTTACAAAAAGTAAAATAAAACTCAGCCAGGCATGGTGGTGCACACTTGTGGTCCCAGCTACTCTGGGTGGGGCGCCGAGGCAGGAGGATCGCCTGAATCCAAGGAATTCAAGCTTGAAATAAGCTATGATTGCATCACTGCACTCCAGCCTGGGCAACAGAGCAAGACCTTGTCTCAAAGAAAAGAAAAAGAACTCAGTCTAAACTCAATTTTCATCCTTCTGTGTTCCCTACACATTTGCAAGATACCACACCATTATTCATCATTAAACAGCAATGGCTGCATAACTTTCTAGCCTTCAGATGGCCATAGTGAAATTTATTCACCCTTTCTTGGTCATGTAGGTCATTTCTCTCTTTTTTTTTTTTTAAGTGTCTTGCTATTGGCTGTTTATTAGTCTTTGCTTTCTGAATCATTTCTGCTTCGGGTCCTGTGGCCCTGCTTGGCTCCTGCCCCTTCTTTCCATTGGCTGCCACCTCTCCCTTCTTCCTTTCCCACTGGGTCAGGGACTTCCTGGGAAAGACACGTCTGGCTTTGTGTGCCTTGCCCATAGCCATGGTTTTACCATGTGATGTCACCACATCACTGACACTTGACTTAAGGAGATGAGTCATAACTTGTGCTGTCATTTCTCTCCTGAGAAGCTAAATTAAGAGATACAGGAAATGCTCCTGAGCAGCCCTGGAGAGCCAAACTGAAAAGCCACTCACACTTGGGGTTGAGGCCACCGATTTTATTTTATTTTATTTTATTTTATTTTATTTTATTATTTTATTTTATTTATTTTATTTTATTTTATTTTATTTTATTTTAGTATTGTAGTGTAGTGTAGTGTAGTGTAGTGTATTGTAGTGTAATTTTTGAGACAGGATCTCACTCCGTCGCCCAGGCTGGAGTACAGTGGTGCGCTATCGGCTCACTGCAGCCTCTGTCCCCCAGACTCAAGCGGTCCTCCTACCTCAGCCTCCTGAGTAGCTGGTACCAAAGGTGGATGCCACCATACCCGGCTAGTTTTTTGTATTTTTCGTAGAGACGCGGTTTTGCCGTATTGCCCAGGCTGATCGTGAACTCCTGGGCTCAACTGATCCACCTGCTTCAGTCTCCCAAAGTGCTGGAATCAAAGATGTCAGCTATTGTGACCGGAGGCTACCATTTTGCATCACCCATGTACTGATGGATCAGCCTAGAAAGTGTGTTGTGACAACTCAAGCGTCAGTTACAGATTAATGGGTAAAGAAATGGTGGTAGAGACATACAAGACAATAACATTCAACCCCAAAAAAAGAAGGGAATCTTGCCTTTTGCAGCTACATGGATGGACCTGGAGGACATTATGCCAAGTGCAATAAGCCAGGCACAGAAGGACAAATACTGCATGGTTCCTTTTTTTCTTTTTTTGAGACGGAGTCTCGCTCTGTCGCCCAGGCTGGAGTGCAGTGGCGCGATCTTGGCTCACTGCAAGCTCCGCCTCCCCGGTTCACGCCATTCTCCTGCCTCAGCCTCTTGAGTAGCTGGGACTTCAGGTGCCCGCCACCACGTCCGGCTAATTTTTTGTATTTTTAGTAGAGATGGGGTTTCATCGTGTTAGCCAAGATGGTCTTGATCTCCTGACCTCGTGATCTGCCCACCTCGGCCTCCCAATCACAAAGTGCTAGGATTACAGGCGTGAGCCACCGCGCCCGGCCGCATGGTTCCATTTTTATGAGGTATCTACAACAGTGAAACTCACAGAAGCAGTGTATACAATAGTGGTTAGCAGGGGCTGGAGGGTGGGCAAAACGGGGAGTTTTTCCATGGGTGTAAAGTTTCAGTTATGCTAGAGGAATACGTTCTAGAGATCTGCTGTACAACACAGGGCCTATGAATAACAATGCTGTACATTTCAAAATCTGTTAAGTGGGTAGGTCTCTTGTTGTGTTGTTACCACACACGGGAAAACCCAAAACAAAACCAAAACCAAAGAGACACAAGGAAACTTGGGGAGGTGTTGGCTATGTCTATTCCCTCAGGGTAGTGACAGTATCATGGGTGTTTGCAAATGTCCAGACTTACCAAATTGTACACATTAACCACGTGCAGTTCTGTGCATATCAGTTATTCCTCAATAAGGCTGTTTCTTTTTTCTGTTTTTGAGACGGCGTCTCATTCTATCTCCCAGGCTGGAGTGCAGTGGTGCGATCATAGCTCGTTGCAGCCTTGAATTCCCAGGCTCAAGTGATCCTCCCGCCTCAGCCTTCAGAGTAGCTGGGACCACAGGCATGTGCTACCAGGCTTTGCTAATTTCTATTTTTTTAATTTTTTGTAGAGATGCAACCTCGATATGTTGCCCAGGCTCTTCTTGAACTCCTGGGCTCAAATTATTCTCCTGTCTTGGCCTCTTAAAGTGCTGGGATTATAGGCGTGAGCCACTGCGCCTGGCCTCCTCTCTCCCTTTTTCTGTTCAGGATAAGCCAGTGGTCCCTGGGGTCCTTTCTCATCTGTACCCCAGGAGTCTTCTGGAGCTGAACCGAGGCTCTTGCACACGCACATCTGGGCTTGGACCCAACATCATCAGAACTGACGCTCTAGACACATGGCTTTGACTCCTTTCATAAAACGTCCACATCAGCAGCTTTTACCCATTTGTTCAACAAATACTCATTAGCAGGCTCCTGTTCCCTCAGCCTTGGTGTAGGCCCTGGGGTTACTGGGGGTAATGGTGGGTATGGCCCCTACTCTCATGAAGGTTAGTGGTGAGAGAAAGGAAGAAATAACTACACAAGATGCTTTTGGTGATGAACGCCCTGAAGAACAGAAAGCAGGGAGATGTGGAAGTGCCTGGGGTTGGCAGGGCAGGCCTCACAGGGGCACTTGAGTTGAGACCTGGACGATAGATCACGTCAGAGTACCAAGCGGGGCTGTTTGTCACAAACAACAGTATCCCACTCTGGTTAACATAAGCAGAAAAGGAATGCATGGGAAGGGGTGTCAGGTGGTTCAGAGAATGAACTGGAGGCCTGGAGAGTTGGGCCAGCACACAGGGGCTTCCTAAGGGAGTCGGCAGCCAGAACCTTCAGCGGAGTCATGCTGCAGAGGGATCTGGTGGGGACCGAGCTGCCGCCACCCTGGATACTGGATGCCATTTGGGCCTTGAAGGCCAGACCCTCTGGCAGGCCCCCAACAGAGGGACCTTCAACCTGGGCCTGCTGACCTGCCCCAGATGACAGGTTTGTTTTCTACTGGGCGTCTTTTAGAACTCAAGACGGCTTCCCATCTCACGCATAGTGAAAGCAACAGTCTTTATAAAGTTCTACATGTAGCTGGTGCAGTGGTTCACGCCTGTAATCCCAGCACTCAGCACTTTAGGAGGCTGTGGTGGGATTGCACGAGCCCAGGAGTTCAAGGCCAGCCTGGGTAACATAGCAAAACCCCATCTCTGCGAAATAAAAATTAAAAGAATAGCCAGGCATGATGACACATGCCTAGTCTCATCTACTCAGGAGGCTAAAGCAGGAGGTCAAGGCCGCAGTGAGCCATGATCACACCACTGCACTCCAGCCTGGGAGGTACAATGAGAACCTGTCTCAAAAAAAAAAAAAAGTTTCTACATGACTTGGGTCCGATCCTCTGCCCCCATCCATTGTTCTTCCCTTGCCCCATCCTGCTCTGGCCACATTGGCCACTTTGCTTTTCCTCAGTCATGCCAAGCATGGCTCTGCCTTCAGAACCTTTTCCCCAGGTGTCCCCATTGCTCCCTTCCGCCCCTCCAAGTCTTAGCTCAACACTTACCTTGAGGCCCGCCCGACCTCCCTATTAAGCATAACCTTGCCTGCCCACCCAGTTCCTTTATGCTCATAGTTTTTGCTACTGGTCACCTTCTAACATACCATTATTGTGTCTTCATAGATGATCTCCCTGATGACTGTCTCTCAGGGGCCCAGGCAGGGACTGACGTTAGAGTCAATACTCCACAGCTGTTTGTTGAATGAGTAGGTAACAGCATGGCTGGCTGGTCCTGGTGCAGAAAGTCTTGGGAGGCCTCAGTTTGCATCGTGCTTCTGTCATCAGCCAGCTGTGTGATTCTGCACAAGTATTTTAACCTCTCTGGGCCTCAGTTTCCCCATCTGTAACTTGGGGGCCTACCTCAAATGGTTCCTGGTGAAGAGTAACAAGACCATACCCTAAGTTCCAGTTGCCTTTTCCTCTGCCTTTCCACCTTCCCCTCCAGCCCCTCCAAGTCTCTTTTGTTAAGACAGGGTCTCACTCTGTCACCCAGGCTGGAATGCCGTGATCTCGGTTCACTGCAGCCTCTATCTCCCAGGCTCAAGTGAAACCCACCACAGCCTCCCAAAGTGCTGAGTGCTGGGATTACAGGTGTGAAACACTGCACCAGCTACATGTAGAACTTGATAAAGACTGGCTTTCACCGTGTATGAGATGGGGAGCCATCTTCAGTTCTAATGCAGCTGGGACTACAGGTGCGTGCCACCACACCCGGCTAATTGGTTTTGTGTTTTTTTTTGTTTGTTTTCTGTTTTTTTTGTACAGACGGGTTTCTCCATGTTGGCCAGGCTGGGCTCGAACTCCTGGTTTCAAGTGAACCTCCCAACTTGGCTTCCCAAAGTGCTGAGATTACAGGCGTGAGCCACCATCCCCGCCCCCTCAAAATCTGTTAGGACGACAGTCTCGCCAAGGCAATGCAGTCGCAATATGCCGTTTCCATTGCAATCACAATATGACATTTCCATTTACTTTGGATTATACGTCATTATGAATATTAACAAGACTTAAAAAGGACACCTTCGGGTATGTCAGATGAAAGTACAAAAATTGCGTTGTGGGGCTGCAGTTTGAGGACAGTGTCTGCAGCCGTCACGTGGTAGCAAAACGGTGTTAAGCATTGCAGGAGAGTCTGCATCTACGACAGCCAGAGTCCATACGTCGGGAGGTTTATTTGGTTTGAGAGGGAACAACAGGCAGGATGGGCACCACCCGGGGCTGGACAGTCAGGCGGGCTAGGGTGCGGTTCCTCGCACTCGCCACTAGAGGTGAGGCGTTTACCGCTTCAGGGCTGGAAGATGGGCCCTCGGGGACTGGCTACTGCTGGCCCGGGGCGGAAACCTGGGCGGGGGTTGGATGCGACGCCTCAGGCGGCCCCCCTGGTTACTGACACCCGACTTTGGCATGACTTTATTTGTTTTTCCCCCCATCAGATTTCCTGTCTTTGTGGGCTGATGGACTAGAGGAAAGATGCCTGTTGACGGTCAAAGGCAGAGCCTCTTCGGCAGCTTCTTAAAGCGCCTTCTTTAACAGAGAAACAATCTGCATGGGGTCTAGAACGGTTCTGAAATCCTGCTGAAGGTTTCGAAACTTCCTGGGGGGGGTCTCCTGCCAGAGCGCCTACGCTGCCTCTGGGCTGGCTGGCCAGTGAGCCCCGTCTCACAGCCTGACAGTCCCCACATCAGCCCGGACCGTCTTTCGGGACCAGCCCCATTTGCACAGCCTGAGCTGTAGAGGGCCCTGGAGTTCGGAGTTCTTGTCCCAACTGTGCCCCTGCAGGCCTGTTCCACCCACTGAGGCTCAGTTTCCCCATGTGCCTAATGAGGAAGTCATGCTAGGTGGGGCTTACAGCCTCTTGCAGCTTTGCCATTGATCACTTCCGTGTCTTCAGAGAGGCTGCCAAGTCTCCTCTGAATGAAGTTCCCCAAAAAGCAAACGTAAGAAAATACACAGAGCTTACCCAGACACCAGGCCCTTTAGAAATAGACCATTTCTTACCTTAGGCCCCCAGAAGGTCCTCATTCTAGCTTTGTGGAGAAAAGAAGAGTCTTTGCCTCAGCCCCCAGAGGTTGGGGTGGGGTGGCTGAATTTTGAGGCTGGGATTGGCAACTCTGGTGAAGCCCAAAGTGACACGGATGGTTTCAAAGCCACCTAGAGGATAAGGTGTCAGGACAGTGACAAGACCCCAGGTCCCTATCACACACCAGAGCTCACTGAGCCTCCACCTGGGGTCTCTGCTGAATCTCTGACAGGCTAGGAGAGAAGGGACTGGGGTTACTGACCCCCAGAAAGTCAGAGAAAGTGGCAGTTGGAGGACCTGGGTTTGAGTCCTGGATCACCCCTTCCCCGCCTTGGCAAACTACTCAGACTCTGGAAACCTGTTTCACCTGTAAGATGGGGATGACAATCAAACCCACCTTGCAGGGCCGTGAAGATGCTTAAGACAAGTGCATGCAAAAACTTTCACACACACAAAGCCTTCCTAAAGATGGGGAGACAAGGCCTCATGAGCAGCAGGTGGCCAGGCACTATGTGGGGGCTGGAGTCCTGTTTTCCCTTCAACCTGGGAAAGGACTGATGGGCACTTAGTAGGTTTTGAATCATGACCCTGGACCTCAGGTGGCGGTATGCTTTGTGTCTGCAGCAGAAGGCCCCAGCCTCGTGCCTGTGAGTCCCACTACCGATGTTGAAGGGGTGGACAGCAGGCGGGTGAGCCCCAGGCTGGCAGCTAGCAAGACCTCTCACGTGTGAGCCCAGCACCCCACTTCCCCTGAAATGTGATGTCCAGTGCTCCAGGCTGGGGGCCGTGGATCCTGATTCCAGCTGTGTGAGGGCTGGAAGGCCCTGGGCAGGTCACCTGACCTCTCTGGGCCTATTTCCATCACACACTTGAGGGGCTGAGCACACTGGACTCTATAGCTGTACAACTCCTTGGCTCTGCTTTTGTTCCTGAGGGCCCCTTAGTAGGCAGGGAAAGTGAGGGCCTCAGGGCTGGGCCCCAAGACTCAGATGCTCTCAACCCCTTCCTGGAGTGCCTAACTCAGGGGAGCAGACAGGCCCAGCAGGCAGGGTGCCTCTCTTGCTCAACTCCTGGAGCTATATGTTTTTTTAGCTTACTATTTTACTTAAGAATAGATCATGAGCATTGACTATTCTAAAACATGACTTTCATGACTATATAAAAGTCCATTGTATCAATATACAATCACTTAACCAATTCTTTATTGAAATGGTGGTGTATACATACAAGAAAATACCATTCAGCCCTAAAAAAGAAGGGAATCTTGCCATTTGCAACCACATGGATGGACCTGGAGGACATTATGCTAAGTGAAATAAGCCAGGCACTTGTTTTCCAATTTCTGGTTGATTGATGTGTAACTCTTTAGACGTTGAATCTTATTTGGACATGGGATGTGAGGCACAGACGGGAACTTTATGCCTTTCCAAGCCCTTAGTCAATCATCCCTGCACCATTGATTTAATAATCAAGACATCCTCTCCTCACGGCTTTGAAATGCCTCGGTGCCCATGTACTTCATTTGTACATTCCTGCGGGTCTGTGTGTGGGCTCCCTTGTCTACTCATCCCACTGCTGTTCTATTCTCGTGCTAGTCCCAAACCTCTTTGACTTTGTGGCAGAAAGTTCAGTGGCCGGATGACCAACCACGCAAGGCTGGTTCTGCTTTGGTTCCTCTACTGGATAGGGCTTGACCCCTGCTTTTGCTTGGGAATGTCAACTGCAGCCAGTTGTTACTGAACATTTAGTATTGACATGGAAAACCAGCACTTTCTATTTAAGAGGGAAAAACTGTTGTGATGATTGTGGAACTAGCTCTTCTAACTACAGTCGTCATCCTTAAGAACGCCCATCACCACCAATGTCCAAGAGACTGGGAAATCTCAAGAACTCTGGTGACACTGACTTCCTGCAGTTCTGTAAAATGATCCCAAACTACTACTCTTCTGCCTCTAACAGCTCTCCTTCTTGTCATATTCTGTCCTGATCACCCATGGGTTGCAAACTCCAATAATTAAGCTTGGTGATGGTATTGGTTGCTGCTGTGTACTGACTGCCTCTTTGTGCCAGGCTCTGCTAGACAGTGTATTTAACCTCGAATCCTTACCACAACTTTGTTATGTAGCTATGATGATCCTTAACATTTTGAGATGAGAGTTTTTTAGCAGTGAATAATAATAGACTGTTTATGAAACAAGGTGGATAGACGTGTATCGGAAACTCGAGGAAGGATCCTCTGGGAAAAGCATCTTAGTAAAGCCCCCAAGCCTCAGTGCATGGGAGGAAGAAGGGGAAATGAAAGTCAGGTTGCAAAGTGTTATCAAGGAATGAGGATGAAGAGGGAGCGGGAGTAGAGAAAGGCAGGGGGCCTCTGGCGGAGCAAGGTTTTGGAGGGGTAGAAAGGGAGTAGATGAAGAGTTGAAGTGGAGGCATTTGTTCAGAGGAAGGGGATATCTGCTCCTCTGAGTTATCATAAAAGGAGGAGAAGCTATATAAAGATGCAGAGAAATGTGGAGGTTAAGCCAAGTGTCTGGTCACAGATGTTTTGTGGGAAAGGAGAGAGAAGTCATTGGATAGAGTTGTTGAGCTCCTTATTGGGATGAAGCTCATAATGGTAGCTGGCTTGAAATTGCACTCTGTATTGACTGCTTTCACTTCCCTACCTGACTTCTCTCTCTGCCAGTGTTTCCGGGGATCACCTCCCAAATAAGCTGCTTGCCTGCCTGCCTGCCTGCCTGCCTTCCTTCTTTCCTTCCTTCCTTCCTTCCTTCCTTCCTTTCTTCCTTCCTTCCTTTTTCTTTCTTTCTTTTTTTGACATAGTCTTGCACTGTTGCCTGGGCTGGAGTGCACTGATGCAATCTTGGCTCACTGCAACCTCCACCTCTCAGGTTCAAGCAATTCTCCTAAAGCAAAACCAAAATTTTGAAAAAAAATTAGGCTGGCGCGGCGGCTCACGCCTGTAATCCCAGCACTTTGGGAAGCCAAGGCAGGCGGATCACAGGGTCAGGAGATCAAGACCATCCTGGCTAACATGGTGAAACCCCGTCTCTACTAAAAATACAGAAAAATTAGCCGGGCATGGTGGTGGGCACCTGTAGTCCCAGCTACTCGGGAGGCTGAGGCAGGAGAATGGCTTGAACCCGGGAGGTGGAGCTTACAGTTAGCCGCGATCATGCCACTGCACTTCAGCCTGGGGGTCAGAGCGAGACTCCATCTCAAAAAAAAAAAAAAAAGTTAGGATCCTGTCTTATTTACCTGTCTCTCTACTTAGTACTGGAGAAGGCACATGGCAAGCTCTCTGTAAGGCATTAAATATCCCCATTTTACAGATCAGCAAACTGAGGCCTACAGAGGGAAAAATGACTCACCCCAATGACACTGCTAGTCCGGGGCGGGGCAGAATGGAATTAAGGATTTGGAGACTCTCTTGTCCGGTGCTGTTCCCTGCACTGCCCTGTTACTGTACAGTTACAGAAGCCGGATTTAGGAGAAATCAAAACACAAAGAGTCATTATTTTCAAGTTTGTTATTTTTTACTATGCTTGACTCTGGTCTTTCCAAACATGATTTTCTTGAAAATTCAGGACCTGAGAGGAAAACCTTCACACAGCTTTGCTCTCAAACGGGTCAGAAAGAGCAACTGGCACTTTGGGAGGCCAGGGCAGGTGGATCACTTGAGGGCAGGAGCTCAAGACCAGCCTGGCCAACTTGAACTCTACTAAAAATACAAAAAATTATCTGGGCATGGTGGTGGGCACCTGTAATACCACTTACTCAGGAGGCTGAGGCAGGAGAATCACTTGGACCCAGGAGGCAAAGGTTGCAGTGAGCCAAGATCGGGCCATTGCACTCCAGCCTGGCGACAGAGAGAGACTCTGTCTAAAAAAAACCAGGAGGCCGGGCGTGGTGGCTCACACCTGTAATCCCAGCACTTTTGGAGGCCGAGGCAGGCGGATCATAAGGTCAGAAGATTGAGACCATCCTGGCTAACACGGTGAAACCCCGTCTGTACTAAAAACACAAAAAATTAGCCGGGCGTGGTGGCGGGCGCCTGTAGTCCCAGCTACTCAGGAGGCTGAGGCAGGAGAATGGTGTGAACCAGAGAGGCGAAGTTTGCAGTGAGCCGAGATTGCACCACTGCACTCCAGCCTGGGCGACAGAGCGAGACTCCGTCTCAAAAACAAAAAACAAAAAACAGGAGCAACTGGGGCGTTAGAGCTGAAAGCAGCCTCTGGGATCATCTAGTCCACCCACCCCACTGCCTCCTCGAGAGGGGAGGTGACTCTTAGACAGTCACATGGGGGGCAGCCGAGCTGGACTCCTTTTACAGTGCTCCATTCATTCACAGGAAGTCAGGTGGCATCGGCATGGGCTGAGCAGCAGAATGGAGCCTGGGTATTTACAGGACAGATGCTCACAGAAGCCTCCGGCACTGGCAGTCAAGCCCTGCAACCTCCAACAGGTCCCCACAGAGGCAGCAAAGCCCATGCAGGGAGGGAGGCAAAGCTTAGGGGGCAAGACAGGTGGGCCTTGCCCCACCCGAAGGACCTTTCTTGTCCATGCTCTTTCCCGACTGCTGCTATGCCGTGCTCTTTACAGCTTTGTCAAGAGGAGGGCAGTTACCATCTGAGCCTAGAGATTTATGGCTGAAGAAGGAACCAGGGATGTCCCACCTTATTCAGCCCTTTGAAAGTGGATTTACAGGATTGATCTCTGGGCTGGGGCACTTTGCCTTATCTTCAGGAAGGACTGTCCCACCCAGTTCTGCTTTGCTGCTGACACCTGCTGGGCCCCATGGCTGGAGAAATGAAACACACTGAGCCTGAGACTGGGAAATGCAGGTAGATGTCCCCACGGGAGGGAGACGTGCGTGGGTCTCGCTGGTCCAGGTCGGGGGTTGAGCAGGCCCTGCTGAGTGCCCCCAGGGTTATTGCTAGGACTCAGGAGAGCACAGTTGGGCAGCTGGTAGGATTGCACCTGGTCACGGCTCCTACATAGGCCAGGTTCATTCACTCACCTCTTCATTCATCACACCACCCAACATACATATGCCAAAAAAAAGAAAGAACCCATCACCTACCATGAGTCAGGCAGCTACAGGCTGAGGATCCAGAGAAGAGTGATATCCCAGCCCTGGCCTTGAGGCGCTCCTGGACTAGAGGCCAGTGAACACAGTTACAGCCCGCTGAGGGAGAGCAGTCAGGGAAGACTTCCTAGAGGAGGATGAAAGATGGGAACAGGCACTTCAGGAAGAGGGACCAGTCTGTCCCAAGGCGTGGAGGTGTGGATGGGCAGGCACATGGAGCTCAGCGTGGCATGTGCAGCGTGGGTCAGGGAGAGGAAGGAGGCAAGACGGGTGGCAGTGGACACAGGTCACCGAGATGCATGTGCATCCTGGGGAGCTTGGATTTTATTGTGGAGACCATGGAGAGCCACACAGGGGTTTTAAGAAGAATCCAGATCACACAATCAGATTTGCTGTCATGGAGGCACTTGGGTGGCAGGTGATAAAATGTGGATCAGAAGGAAGCGGGTGCTTGGCTGTGCGTCGTAATCACCCGGGGAGCTCTGGGAAGCACTGATGCCTGGGTCCCACCTCCAGAGGCAACCCTGAATGGGCCGGGGTGTGGCCTCAGCATCAAGAAGGGGAAACTCCTTCCCCTGTGCAGGCGAGGGTGACCAAGTGGAGAGGGATCCCCATTAGCAGGCACTGTAGCCTTCCAGGTATGAACTGAAGAGGTGGTTTCCGTGCAGATGCAAGTGAGCACAGATTCAGGAGGGAGAAACACAGCCCATACTTATGAGTTGGATGTGGATTCATAGAGAAAACGAAAAAAAAAAAGTGGCAGGTCCTCAAAAGGTTACACACAGAGTAACCAGATGATCCAGCAGCCCCACTCCCAGGTTCATGCCCAGGAGAAATGAAAGCATATGTCCACCCAAGAACATGGACAAGCATGTTCAGAGCAGCGGTTTTTTTTCTTTTCTTTTCTTTTTTTTTTTTTTGAGGCAGGGGGACAGAGTCTGGCTCTGTCACCCAGGCTGGAGTTCAGTGGTCTGATCTCCGCTCACTGCAACCTCAAGTGATTCTTGTGCCTCAGCCTCCTGAGTAGCTGGAATTACAGGCACGCACCACCACACCCAGCTAATTTTTGTATTTCTAGTAAAGACAGGGTTTCACCATGTTAGCCAGGCTGGTCTTGAACTTCTGGCTTCAAGTGATCCGCCCACCTCAGACTCCCAAAGTTCTGGGATTACAGGTGTGAGCCATTGCGCCCAGCCCAAAGCAGCATTTTTATAGTAGCCCCAAACTGGAAGTAACCCAAATGCCCATCAAGTGATACATGGATAAACAGAATGCTGTGCCTGTATGCAATGGAATAGTATTTGGCTATAAAAATAATGCAATACTAATATAGGCAAAAACATGGATGAACCTGGAACACAGTGTGCTAAGTCAAAGAAGCCAGTGAAGAATGTTGTATGAGTCCATTGACATGAAATGTCCAGAACAGGAGAACCCATGGAGTCAGCACATAGATCAGTAGTTGCCAGAGATGAGGAGAAATGGCGGTGGGGGTGGGGGAGCTGGAGGGCGATGTTTAAGGAATATGGGGTTTCTTCGAGGATAATGAAAATATTTGGGCTGGGCACAATGGCTCGTGCCTGTAATCCTAGCACTTTGGGAGGCCGAGGCAGGCAGATCACCTGAGCTCAGGAGTTAGAGACCAGCCTAGCTAACATAGTGAAATCCCATCTCTACTGAAAATACAAAAAATTAGCTGGGTGTAGTTGCATGTGTCTGTAATCCCAGCTACTCAGGAGGCTGAGGCAGGAGAATCGTTTGAGCCTGAGAGGCGGAGGTTGCAGTGAGCCGAGATTGCGCCAGTGCACTGCAGCCTGGGTGACAGAGCAAGAAGCTGTCTCAAAAAAAAAAAAAAAAAAAGAAAGAAAGAAAATATTCAAAGATTGTTGCAGTGTTGTTTGCGTAACTATGATATACCAAAACCCATTGAATTGTACTCTTTAAATGGATAAATTCTATTTTATGTGAATTATATCTCAATAAAGCTGTGAAAGAGAGAAGCTGGGTGCAATGGTGCCTACCTATAGTCCCAGCTACTTGGGAGGCTGAGGTGGGAGGATCGCCCGAGCCCAGGAGTTCAAGTCCAGCCTAGGCAACATAGTGAGAAGTGAGACCCCATCTCAAAAAATAAAAAAGACAGAGAAAGGGAAGACTCAAGTTTGGGTTCTGACACTAGGATGTCAGCTAAGTGGTGGTTACATAGATCAGTTACAAAATAGAGGTAAGATGAGCAAGTTGGGGACAGTATGATACTGATTTATTCACTTATTCAGCAAATATTTTTTGAGCACTAGGCAGTGGGAAATATCAGTGAACAAAACAAAAATATCCCTTTCCTGTAGCTCTTACACTCTAGTGGGAAGAGAAAATTATACAATAAATAAACCCATTTGTAAGGTGATCAGTGCAATGGAAAAACCTATAGCAAGCAAGAAGGATGGCATGCCTGGAAGGGCTGCGGCTTTAAAAGGGGTGGGCAGGCATGGCCTTGCAGGAAAGGTGACATGTGAGCAGAGACTTGAAGGCAGCAAGGGATGAACTTGGGTGACTGAGGGAAGAGCATTCCAAGCAGAGGGAACGTTGGTGCGAGGCTCTGAGGCAGGCGTAGTGGAGGCACGGTGGGAGGCAGGGCAGACAAGCAAGGCAGGAAAGAGGAGAAGGGGTGGAGGAAAGGGAGAGAGGGCGATGATAAGTCGGGGCTCAGCAGGTTGGGAAGCGGAACCCTGCAGGCTGTGTCCTCCACCCGGAGGGTATGCATCTTACTCTGAGTGATGTGGGAGCCATGGGGGATTGTGAGCAGAGCGGTACCATGGCCTGACCTACCAGGTAAAGTCTCCCTCTAGATCAGGATTTCTCAACCCGGCACTAGTGACACCTGGGGCAGGATCATTCCTTGTAATGGAGACTGTCCTATGCATTGTGGGATGTTCAGCAGCACCCCCGACCTCTGTCTACAAGACTCCACGAAGGACCATCTGTCTTAGTTGTGACAAACAAAAATATCCCCAGACCCTGCCAAATGTAACCTGGGGGGCAAAAACACCCACATTTGAGAACCATGGTTCTAGGATATAGGAGTGTGTACACAGGCAGCTCAGGTTTACACAGGCTGGATTTGAGGTGCCTGTGAGACCTGCGCGCTGAGATTCCTTTGAGCAGGCAGACAGGAGGGGCTGGAGCCCAGGAGAAAAGTCTGGGCAGCTTTTGTTGTCTTCAGGCTCAGCGGCTGTTAGAAGGAATTTCGCAGAAAAAAAGAGTGATACCCAAAGAATCTATTTCATTTAATTTAACGTTTTGAGCAAGGATTATGCTAAAGTCACCAGGCAAGAGACCAAGATAAGCCCGCCTCACAAACACAGAAACCTCAGATCCAAGGCAGCTATGTAAGGTACAGAACGTTCCAGACTGTAGAAAAGAGAGGGTTAATCCAACTTGATCAGGAGAGAAATGCCATTATCCACTGAAATATTTCTTGACTATCTCCTATATGCTAGTGAAACTCACTAGCATTATCTCATTTAATCTTTGAAAAACTAAATAAAAGTGTGAAGTAAATATTTTCCCCTCCCTTTTTTTTTAAAGATTAGAAAACGGGCTCAAAAGGACCCACATACTCAGAGTCTACCCTGTCAATGACAGAGTGACTCAACCTGGCACTAGCGACATTTGGGGCAGGATCATTCCTTGTTACAGGCTGTTTAATGCCAAAGCCCAATACTGGCTTCTGGAAGCTTCTAGAAGGTGGGGCTGGAACTTCTCATTGAAGAGGTTGACAGGCAGTGTTGCGGGG
The DNA here is from genome assembly GCF_000001405.40 of Homo sapiens. Taxonomy (NCBI): domain Eukaryota; kingdom Metazoa; phylum Chordata; class Mammalia; order Primates; family Hominidae; genus Homo; species Homo sapiens. The sequence continues at coordinate 2,073,940 of NT_187614.1, read as the reverse complement.
AAATGGGAGAGCGAAACATACCAGGCAAAGGGAACTGCTTGGGCATGGCTTCGGCAGAGAACAAGGTACAGAGATTTGAGGACAGGGTGATTTCTTGGAACACAGAGCTTGGTTCAGTAGAAAGAGCATGGGAAAGCCAGGATGTGGCCAGTTGAAAGGGAGGGGCTTTGACCATGTGGTGAGCCATTTTGCATTTTACTCTATTGGCATCTAGGAGACAAATAATGAGAACTCTGACTTGGGAAAAATGTTAAGGATCAATTTATCTCAAATATCACACATAGCTCTTAAGTCTGGGGACCCTCTATTCCCCATCTTACCTAAAAGGCACAAACACACCTCTCCAAGTCAGGTATAAGACCCCCAACAATAGTTGCCCAGTCAAAAAATGCATCCTCAGAGTTGACGACTACTATAATAAATCTGGGGACAGTTTCTGAAAACTTGTTTCCCTAAAACGTTTTCATCAAACTATATTCAGTGACATGTAACGATAATCATCAAGACTAAATCACATCCCAGGAGGTATCTGAGTGCAACCGTGAGGTGCTCCTTCATGTCTGAAGGTGCATTTATAACAATCTGGAAAACAGTCTAGAAGATCTTCTTGGAAGTTAGACCTTCAACTTTATCTGAGTTTTGGTGACAAATTAAGAAGAGCTCTTATTGTGCAGTTTCTGAGGTTCTTCAAAAGAGTGACTTTCTCTGTTTCCCCAGAAAGACTACAATGTGTGGTGTGTGTGTGTGTAGGTGCATGTGCACATATGTGGGTGGGTGTGAATGTGCCTATATGTGTGTGTGGATGGAGTACGTATACATGCTGTGAGTGTGTGTGTGGATGCGGATTGTGAGTGTGGGTGGGAGATTGTATGTGAGTGCATGTGAGTGTGTGTGTGGATGGAGTAGATATACATGCATGTGAGTGTGTGTGTGGATGTGGATGTGTGTGGGTGGGAGTTTGTGTGTGAGTGCATGTGAGTGAGTGTGTGTGGTGAGTGTATGGAATGGGTTAGCTCATGCACAGAGCATTTCTTAGCCTACTTAACAGCTTAGGAGCCACCTCTTCCAGGAAGCCTTCCTTAACCTGTCTTTCGTCCTGCCCCTCGGGACCCAGGTGACACTGGGCATGCAGTTGCTCTATTGCTGCAGGTTTGCCCCCGACTCATCTCATCTCCAAACACAGACACATGCAAGAATGTGACCCTCCCTTCCCAATACAACACTAGGACATTTTATTCTCTTTGTATTCCTGATATCTGGCACACGGTAGGTCATCAATAAATAATAAATTGAATTAAACCTTGCAAAGGCCTCCAAATATCAGAATTGGTAAGCTCTAAAGGCTCTGTTTATTCTTGCAGATTCCTTCTCAGGTTTCAGCAGATTATAGAGAAAATCTCTCCCGCCAGTGCTAGTGTCAGTGGGACAGTAAAGTGAAACAGAAACACCACCATCCAATACCCCCTCCCCTTCAGTCCCTCCAAATTGAGCTGCTGCTGCTAGGGGAACCAGAGCTAAGCTTCTGCAGAGGCCTGTGCCCATGTCACTCACCCCAGCTCCGCAGTCCTACCTGGCATGAGTCTTCCCATAACTATACCTAGGCTTGCTGACTGCTCTGTGGGGACACCGAGCCTCATTGCACCACGGGATGGGGCAGTTAGAGCAGGGCTTCTTACACTTTAACATGTGCATGATCACCTGCTTAGCATGTAGATGCTGATCCAGTAGGTCTGGGATGGGGCTTGAGATTCTGCACATCTAACATGCTCCCAGGTCCTGCCCATGTTGCTGGCCTGTGGCCCATCCTTCCACCGGAAGTGCTTAGAAGGCTTTAGTCTTCTCGCGGCTGTTCAAGAGACCATGCGGTGGAAATCGGGTGCTGAGTCATTTGGTCACTGCCGCTTCTTGTTAAGTGAACTTCTATCATTTCACATGCATAGAAGTTTTGACAAGCCCTTGAGTCTTGTTTCTTTCTGCACCCCAGTAAAAAAGAAAGAACAGGCCGGGCATGGTGGCTCACACCTGCAATTCCAGCACATTGGGAGGCCAAGGTGGGCAGATCACGAGGTCAGGAGATCGAGACCATCCTGGCTAACACAGTGAAACCCCGTCTCTACTAAAAAGACAAAAAATTAGCTGGGTGTGGTGGCAGGCGCCTGTAGTCCCAGCTACTCGGGAGGCTGAGGCGGGAGAATCACTTGAACCTGGGAGGCGGAGCTTGCAGTGAGCCGAGATCGCACCACTGCACTCCAGCCTGGGTGACAGAGCGAGACTCCGTCTCAACAACAACAACAACAACAAAAGACAACCAAAAACAAAAAACAAACAAAAAACTGATCCTATACTTACTGCTCCCAGTCTACTAAAGCAGAAAGAAAACTGGACCCATGACCTTCAGCAGGAGGGACCTCATATGACTCATTCAATCATATACAGATCCTCTCTATCTTCTAGTGCTCCTGGTCCAGCCACCTCATTTTATAGAAGTGACTTGGTCCCAGAGAGGAAGCGTGACTTGCTTCAGATCACTCAGCTCGTAGATGGCAGTGTTAGGCTTAGAATGCAAGTAAAACCCAAGACTATTACTCATTAAAAAACAAAATTATTTTTCAATAAAATTCACTTTTCAGTCCAGACACAGTGGCTGACGCCTATAATCCCGGCACATTGGGAGGCCAAGGCAGGCAGATCACTTGAGCCCAGGAGTTGAAGACCAGCCTGGGCAATGTGATGAAAACCCATCTCTACAAAATATACAAAAATGAGCCAGGAGTGGTGGCACACACCTGTGGTCCCAGCTACTCAGGAGGCTGCGGTGGGAGGATCACTCGAGCCCAGGAGGTCAAGGCTGCAGTGAGCCATATTCCCGCTACTGCACTCTAGCCTGGATGACAGAGAGAGATCCTGTCTCAAAAACATAAAATAAAATTCACTTTTCAATCCCATAATTATTCATCTCCATCACTTCCTTGCATATCCTCAACTCTCTCTTCCTTCACTTCACGCTGCTTTGCCGAAACCACAGCCCTGGTTAAATCCAACTCTGCTTATTTGGCACCTGATCCTGTGTAGCTGAACAAAATTTGTGAAGAAAGCACAACCATACCAGCTGCTCTTGCATTCACATTCACATTTAATGATGCCAGGGAGTCATACTACACATTCCCAGTCAATAGATATTGGCACATCCCACTCAATATTTGTTGAATGAATGAGTTGAATGCATGAATTTTCATTAGGGTCTCATTAATGCTATAGTTCTGCTTGGCTTGTCCAACTTTAAACATTTCACAAAATGAATTTTGAAACCAGGTTCAGGCTGAAATGGTAATATTGTCATCTTTGTTTGGAAGCTGTCTTAATGGTGTTTGCCTGGGCTGGTTCAACCTATAGGCGAAGGAGGCTTTTACTTGATTTAAATTGTTGTTGGAGCCAGGGCTTGACCTGAGAGCCTCAGGACTTTTCTTCCTCCAGAAAGAGCCTTTTGAAACAAGTCTAGAGGTTGGTCCAAAGCTCAGGAGCTGCAAGTCAACTTACAATGCCTTTTTATAGTATTACTTGCATAAGCTAAATAGTTGGCTTCCTATTTCAAGAAAAGATGTGTTTGTTCTCAAGGCTGTCTCCTGGCACCCATTGGGGATGCTGGAAAACACACCTCTGCCCTCCTGATGTTGTTTTGAAATAGCTGGCGCAGTTTGGATTCTTCGACCACAAAAATAATTGTACGCTGCAGCTGAAATACAAGCCACACTGCTTCCTCGGCTCCGCTTTGAATCCCATCTGTCCCCTACCTCATCATAAAGCTTACTAAGAACCTGGCCTCCTTTCCACTCACTGTAGGTGCTCATGCTGATGATATGCATTATTTGTTTTTTATTGATGTCAGCAGTGCTAATGATTAAGTGAAACACTCCACTCCATTCAAATGTCTTGCTTTCACCTGCCGATCCCATTGTGAAGAAAGGTGCAGCATGCCTTCCAATATTTCTCCTAGAACAGCTCAAGTGAGGTGAAACAGTGGAAAGTCAGCCCTGCTGATTTGAATCATGCCACCCCACCTTACCAGCGCCCCAAATGTCAGCCTTCTTCCCACTCAGATGTGGTTGTCCTTGGAAAGACCCAGAACAGACGTTTCATCACCAAGTGGTACTAGACAAAAACGGAAGGTATAAGCAAAGCAGACATAAGTACTTATCAAGGTAGGTACTTCAGTCGTGCACTCTTTATGTAACTGACAACCCAATCGAATTTTTTTTTTTTTTTTTGAGATGAAGTCTCGCTTGTCACCCAGGCTGGAGTGCAATGGCACAATCTCGGCTCACTGCAACATCTGCCTCCCGGGTTCAAGCGATTCTCCAGACTCAGCCTCCCAAGTAGCTGGGACTACAGGTACGTGCCACCACACTTGGCTAGTTTTTGTATTTTTAGTAGAGACGGTGTTTCACTATGTTGGCCAGGCTGGTCTCGAACTCCTGACCTCATGATCTACCTGCCTCGGCTGAATTTTTTTTTAATGATGCAGAATTCTAGCTCATGTTCTGACTAAGGTAGGATTTAGGGGTGGGGGCAAGCAAGAATGCTATTACTCTGAGGTCTGGGTTGTCTTTAACAAGAGAACACTAAAACAGTGAAGAAAAATTGCCAATTGTTGTTTCAAAAAAAGAACAATAAAAGGCAAGCCCCCTGCCCCTGCCTGCTACTCTTTCCCCCTTAACACTCTCAGTCTCTCCATGAGATTTAAAAAAGAAAAGCCCAGGAAATTCCAAGCATGAATGCCTCCCCAGATAAGACAGAAATGGAAGAAAACCAAACTTTGAAAAGTAAGCATTTTGATCTTCATGCAAACATGGAGTTAATCTGGGGACAGCTAGGCACAATTACACAGATGAATTCATTGTGTGAAATGGTCGCTGAGCGTAGAGAATGTCAGTGCCAGTTCAGAGTCCAAGCTCTGTAGGGGTCATACCTGAATCTGCTGAGCTGAGCACATGGAAACCTCAGTGTGCATTCAGCCTTGACCATTCTTTTTAATTTATTTCAGAGTGGCTCACTGGGGTGGCTTCAGGAAATACAAATCAAGTATCCGCCGTGGTGTTTGAAAACATGCCGGGTTTTGATATGTGTTTGACTGAAAATAGAAATAAAAATCTATGGGTCTTTATTTACATGTGTTAAAGTTGTTCTTAAGATAATCGTATGTTTTTTAGACTCTTTTACCCTTCAAGTCAGCTTGTATTCATCTGGAGAGGAAGCCCTCTCGAGTGACAGCCTTAGGCTGATGGCAGCCAGGTGCTGACTGTGGTTGTGTCAAATTCCCCAGGGGTCCTAGGGGACATCATTCCTTGACTCTGGGTCTCCACATCTGTCAACTGAGGAGTCCCAGAACTGGTGGCTACAGTGCAAGTGAGGTGAAACAGTGGAAAGTCAGCCCTGTTGATCTGAATCATGCCACCCCACCCTTCCAGCACCCTGAATGTCGGCCTTCTCCCCACTCGGATGTGGTTGTCCTTGGAAAGACCCAGAACAGATATTTCACTACCAAGGGGTACTAGACAAAAACGGAAGGTATTAGCAAAGCAGAAGTATGTGCTGGACTAACTCCATTATCCAGTTCTCTAGTTCTGAGGCTCCAACTCAGTGGAGTTTGGAAATACCACTCCATCTTGAGGATTTGATTTTAAACAAATGGCTAGTATTTTGACAAGGTAAACTACTTGTGACTCTGCAGCCTAATTGACTTACCAAACCCACAGACTCAGGGCCCCAGCTGGAAAGGACTCAAGTCTTTTGTTTTAAACACCCATCCCTGTTCCAATCAAGAAAAAATTCTAAACTCATCAGGTATCATAGGCCATGATGCATGTGTGACATTTAGCATGACAAAGGAACTACATTATTGACAGGATCTTCTCAGTGTTTATAATTATAAAATATTTGCACTGAAAGAGTCCTTAACAAGCACGTAAACCCAGAATGATTAAGCAACTTGCCCAAGAGCACACAGGCAGCAGGGAGGGAGTCAGGACCAAAATGCAGGTCTCCTGGCTCCCAGCCGGGTTCAGGCTCCTGCATGTGCCCTTCAGAGATAGGAAAGTTCACCTTTTGAATTTGCCTTTTCATATTCACCTGCACCCTTAACAAATAGGGAATGGAAATGTTGAATTTTGAATGTTGGAGTTAGAGCATGTTGCAATTCATTAGAGAAATCAGGATTGATGAAAAATTCACAGTTGCCTAGTCTGTAGGACAGATGATGTTCTTCATTTGACGCTGCCCCTGTTTCGTCACCAGAAGCAGAGCAACCAGGAGACAACGGAAGGAAAGAGGCCCTGGTCTCCTCGGGAACTGTGTTACTGACAGAACAAGGAACAGCTTTGGCTGGAGATGTTTATGCTGACTTTGGAGTATGGATCAGAAGAGGGTCCTGGCTTGCTGATGGAGCTCAGGCCTATGGAAAACAGGATGATCTTAGAGTTAAAAACAAACAACCCTGGGTGTGGTCTCAGGGCCTGGGAGGAAAGGATGAGTCAGCTGAAACTGATGGAAATTAACGGTAAGTCTAAGAGAAGCTAGCATGGCACTGCAAGGTGAAGTGGGGGGAATGGCCCAGAATCAGAAGAGCTGAGCTTCCCTACATTTGGGCTGTGTGACCTTGGGCAGGAAATTTGCCCTGTTTCCTTTTCAGTGAGATAAGGAGAACCATACCTCCTGAAAGTATTAAAGGAGAAGATTTATATCTAGTTCCCTTCCTCCTCCACTTTCCTTAACAGAATCTCTCAAGAGATGCTGCCATTTCCTGAGCACCTGTGAGCTCATCTTATCCTCACAACTGAAAGTGCTTTTTCCGACGTCAGACATGGAAAAATATGGCACCTAAAAGAGGATGTCACTTTGACAACCAATACTCCCCCAGCCCAAAACCAATTATTATAATCACTGATGAAACTGTGATATGGCCTGTGATTCACTTACATACTCTTCTGTGTCCATAAGATCAGCTTCTGTCTTCCGCTTCCACCACTCCCAGTTCTCATTCTATTCCTAGTGTTACCTCTTGAAGATGATGCCTGTCCCTTAAGTAGCAGAAGCAGCTTTCTGTATCTGGAAGAGGAGGGGCCACACTGGGCTTGAGGAGACACCATGATTTATGGTCCTAGATGATGTCCCCTTCTCACCATTCCCACACACAGCCACCCTTTGAGCTTGCACCATCCTCATAGGGGACCCTGTTGGCACTACTATGTGGGGGAACAGCGACCCTCAAGGTTCAGGTGCAGAAGCAAGCACCCGTCAGGTGTGATCCTGGCTCTGCCACTCACTGTGGGACCTAAGCCAATCCACTTCCTCTCTCTGAGCCTCAGTTTTCCAAAGGGTAAAAAGAAGGATCTAGATGAGATACCTCTCAAGGGCCACTCCAGCTCAGATCCTCTGACTTGCTTAGTGTGTGATGAGAGTTATCTTCTCCCAGAAAAGGCTTCTTTTTCTAAAGCCAAGTGTAGTAAGGACTCCTCTACTCTTTCTAGGCATTTCAGACTTTCTTTAAAAAGATCTTATTTTGGCCCAGCGCGATGGCTAAAGCCTGTAATCCCAGCACTTTGGGAGGCCGAGGCGGGTGGATCACGAGGTCAGGAGTTCGAGACCAGCCTAACAAACATGGTGAAATCCCGTCTCTACTAAAGATACAAAAAAAAAAAAAAAAGAAAGAAAAAATTAGCCAAGCATGGTGGTGTGCACCTGTAATCCCAGCTACTCAGGAGGCTGAGGCAGGAGAATCACTTGAACCTGGGAGTCAGAGGTTGCAGTGAGCCGAGACTGCACTATTGTGCTCCAGCCTGGATGACAGGGCAAGACTGTCTCAAAAAAGAAAAAAAAAAAAAAAGAAAGAAAAAAAAGATCTTACTTTACCAGGCTTTTTGGGGCCCACTGCCACTCAGAGGCCAAAATTCTCCCAATGTCAGTGGCTAGAAGAAAATCAGATCAAAAAGTATCCCTGTGCCTCATCTGAACCCAGTTTCTGCTTTGAACCTTTTGCCAAGTCTAGGGCTTATCAGCCAGAGTGTGTGTGAATTACCACATGAAAGGACTCTCTTGGATCATATTTAAAAGAATCATCATTTCAATTTAGATCAGAAAAACACCCAGTCCTTCAGAAAATACATATAAATTCTTCTCTAAATGTCCAAACAGATTTATGCCATAGAAGATGTAATTATCTCCTTCTGGGATAAAGGAATCTTCTAGCTGTGAGGGTGAGCCAAGAAGCCAGAACTTTCTGCCTAAGAGGAGACTGCAGCAGGGCCACTACAGAAGGTTGTCCAAGTTGTTCACTGCACAAGGGCACTGGGCCAAAAGTGGGTAGGGGAGGCAGGAGTAGCTGCTTAAATCCAGCCTGAGCTCCACCGGCCAAGTCATGTGTTCAGTGCAAGGTTAGGTCAGTTCAAATGGAGGTGCACCTTTTGGTAATTCAGTAGAGGCACTGTATATGCTAGCAGGCAGCCACTCAGCATGGAAAAATGGGTCTTTCCTTTGTTAACAAACACAACAGCTCCCAAAGGCTCACAGCAAGAGCAGATGGCAGGAAAGCAGAAGTGAAGGCTGGGTGGCGGGGCAGGCGTGGGGAGAAGATGGGGAAACGATCTTGGGTGTCTGTAGAGGAGCTTACACCCTAATGCCTCCCAGCTGGCCTAAATGAACACAGTTCTGAGAAGACCCCAGTAAGAGACTGTTTCCAGCCCCTCCCCTCCTTTACTGCCCCTCCTTTCGGGCTCTCCTCAGCCTTCCCTGACCTCCCAGCCTACATCAGAGTCCCCATTGCAGGTTCTCTGAGCACCTTTGTTTTTCCTTTACAACACTCAAGCTGCACTTTGTAATTATGTGGGTGTAGGGAATTTGAGTCACCTCTATTCTCCCCCCGTTAGACTGGAAGCCGTGTGAAGGCAAACTATGTTGGGTTTTGCTCTTGTATCCCCAGGACCCAGCATAGTGTCTGGGGCATGAAGCAGGAACTATGAATGAATTAAAATGGTGTGAATTAAAGGGTGTGGGCCTTGCACTCTGCATCCCTTTTTGCCAGGCCTAGGAGGCTGTCTGGGCACAGTGACATGTGGTCACCATGATGTAAGTTCTGTGCCCACCCCCAGGAGACACAGTCCAGAAAAGACATATCCAACCCTGGCTAGGCATTCAAAACACATATGAAGACCAATGAAAGCAGCTTCCCAAAACCCACCCCAAGAGATTGTGATTCAGGGCTAGGATTTGTGTATTTAACAAGGTCCCCCAGGTGACACGAATCTGCCTATCAGAACCAACAGATACTGTTGCAATAGATACAAAGAAGCACGGGGACCAAAGAGAAGGAGGTCCCACATAAAGATCTGTGGAAGGCTTTCCAGCACAAATGATGTCCCAGCCAGGTCTTGATGGCTGGGAAGGGCATTCTGGGTCAAGGGAATGACATAAACAAAGACAGAGACAGAGACATTGGTGCACATGGGGTGAACAAATGGGGACAGGGCAGCAGGGTTGAATCCAAATGACAAGAATCCATTCCTGGGGGACGATCAAGCGTAAGTCACCCACCACTCAGCTGGGCTCCCAGAGCCCTTTTAGGTAAGAAGCCCATATTTTGGCAGTCCCCAGAGGAGTTCCTCTGCACCCCCATTTTTCATGCAGCTTCCATCCTATTTTCAGTCCCATTTCCTGTCTCCCTCTTTCTCATGTTCTTTCTCTAGTTAGACTGTGGGCTCCTGAGGTCCCATGGCCATCAGGGAAGTATTGCCATGGACTTCTTTGATAAATAGGCCTGATTTAAGAACTCTAAACTATCCTGGCTGGATATAGGAGACTGCTGAAGCTGGCAGAAATAGTAGTCCCTAAAGCCAATATCTACAGCCACGCATCTCCAGTGTGGCAGAGAAGGGTCACCTTACTTAATATAAAAGCAGTATCTGGAGCATGAAGGTCAGGCCCCAGAGAGGCCTGCACATCATGCTGCACTTCCATCTTTTTTCTTTTTTGAGCCCAGAATGAGGAGGTTAACGTTAGAAACAACAGAGAGGATGCCTGTGGGATGGGAGGGCAGATCCTCAAAGACCTGCCTGAGCCCTGCCTGAGCTGGAGGGGAGAATCCACACGCTGGGTGACTCAGGCTGTAGGAATGAGCTCTCACCCCAGGCTCCCATCTATCCTTCCACATCTTTCCATGACTTCCTCTCTCCCCACCCCTCTCCCTCTTCCTCCAATGGGCCTGGGCTGGGTTGGCATGCCGGTGCTCTCTCTTAACTGGACTTTTCTAACGGGCCTGCCTGTTGCCTGGACATGTTTTCTACAAGTAAATGTGCTGGAGAGAGGAAACAGAAGTCCTCAGCACGTGTTTCCTCTCTTTGGACCAAGTGGCCTCTGGGGAACCGGTGAGGATCTGAAGTTCCCAGCCTCTGCACCAAGCTGCAGACCCAGGTGTCTTTTGAGCAATGCCCTGCGCCACAGTTCAGTGCCACCTCGCCAAAGCCCGAACTATCTTGTCTGCTGTCCGGTTATAAATTAATCTCTTGTCATCAGTGATTAACTTATTCAAGACACAGGAGCTGCTGAACCAAAACAGCCCCTTGGGGTGAAAGAGCCTCCAGCATGGTGTGGCGTGTAGGTCTGCCTGTGACCCTGGCCATGCTGGCTCTTGTGCTGTGTCAGCAGGGCTGCAGGGATGGCCAGGGCAGGGGTCCGGCTCTGGGCACTGCTGCCCTGGAATGTTCACTGAGTGCCTCGAAGTGGAGATCCATGCTGCAAATATCTAGGGCTTGTTTTTGTGTGTGTGTTTGTCTGCAAGGAAGGCTTTGAAAAGGGGGTTGGGGTGGGCCACGTCCCTAGGGGCACATGTCACCTGAATACAAACAGCCTGGACTGATAGAGGAGCAGAGGGGAGCCCAACTTTGGAATTCACAGATGTTGAGGGGAGTTATGGGCCACCTATTATAGCATAAGCCATTACAGTGGAAAGAGGCCTCCAAGGTCATTAGCTCCAACTTCCTAATTCTATAGAGGCCAAGGAAGAAGGCTTGACTCACCCAAGGCCACACTCTAGAGCCAATGGGGAGGAAAAGAACAAATGTCAAATCTTGTCTATATGTCAGATAAAGGCTCATTTAGTCACCACCATGATGATAGGCAACAAACAACTTCCTTAGGAAAAAATTTCCAAGGAATCCTTCTATACCCCACCACTACCATTTAAAGACCTCAAAAGTAAGATTTCTCTGATTTTTTTCTGAATAGCCCTGGTAGATTTGGTCTCACTTCTTAGTTCAGGGCACCTCACAGCAATTTAAAAATGGTGCCTTTATTCACCTCTAGGGTGGTCCTCCCCCAGAAAACCGTAACCCCAGCCTAACCAGGAGAAAAACATCAGAACAACCCAAAGCAATGGATGTTCTACAAAGAACTTCACCCCTACTACTCAAAACTGTCACGGTCACCAAAGCCAAGGAAAGCCTGAGAAACTGTCACAGACTGGGGGGCTAAGGAGACACGATGATTGAGTGCAATGTGGCACCCTGGATGGGATCCAGGAATAGGAAAAAGTCATTAGGAAAAATTAGTGGAATATGAATAAAGTGTAGAGTTTAGTTAACAGTAGTGTAACAATGCTGGCTCCTTAGTTGCAACAAATGGACTACAGTAATGTAAGTCTATGGCCACACCACCCTGAACTTGTCTAGAGTAATGTAAAATGTTAACAATAGGGGAAACTTGGGATGAGATACACAAACTCTGTACTCCTGTTGCATCTTTTCTGTAAATCTTTTTTTTTTTTTGAGATGGAGTCTTGCTCTGTCGCCCCGGCTGGAGTGCAGTGGCGCGATCTCAGCTCACTGCAAGCTCCGCCTCCAGGGTTCAAGCAATTCTCCTGCCTCAGCCTCCCAAGTAGCTGGGACTACAGGCGCCCACCACCACGCCTGGCTAATTTTTTGTATTTTTAGTAGAGACAGGGTTTCACCGTGTTAGCCAGGATGGTCTTGATCTCCTGACCTCATGATCCAGCCGCCTCGGCCTCCCAAAGTGCTGGGATTATAGGCGTGAGCCACTGCTCCCGGCCGAGAGTTTCTTAAAAAAGAGAGTTACTTTAAAAAGACAGAGTTTCGTTCTTGTCACCCAGGCTGAAGTGCAATGGCACAATCTCAGCTCACTGCAACCTCTGCTTCCCAGGTTCAAGCGATTCTCTTGCCTCAGTCTCCCAAGTAGCTGGGATTACAGGTGCCCGCCACCACGCCTGGCTAATTTTTGTATTTTTAGTAAGGATGGGGTTTCACTATGTTGGCCAGGCTGGTCTCGAACTCCTGACCTCAGTTGATCCACCCACCTCGGCCTCCCAAAGTGTGGGGATTACAGGCGTCAGCCACCGCACCCGGCCCTTTTCTGTAAATCTAAAACTATTTTAAAACAAAGCATTTATTTAAAACTTTTTTAAAATGGTGCTTTTCCGTTTTCTTTAGTCTGGAACCTTTACCAGAAGGTTCATTACAGTGTCCATAACATGGTAGGTGTGGAATAACAAGTATTTGAAAGAGGAAAGAAAGAATGAGAGAGGGAAGGAAGGAGGACTAGAGAAGAGAGGAAGGAAAGAAGGAAGGGCAAGAGGGAGGGAGAAAGATATTAAGGGACAAAATACGAAAGTAAATAGAACCAGTCAGGTGTGGTGGCTCACACCTGTAATCCCTTCACTGAGAGGCCTAGGCAGGTGGATTGCTTGAGCCCAGGAATTGGAGACCAGCCTAAGCAACATGATGCGACCCCATCTCTACTAAAAATACAAAAAATTAGCTGGGCATGGTGTCGTGTGCTTGTAGTCCCCACTGCTTGGGAGGCTGACGTGGGAGGATCACCTGAGCCCAGGAAGTAGAGGCCGCAGTGAGCTGTGATTGGAGCACTGCACTCCAACCTTGGTGACAGAATGAGACCCTGCCTCAAAAAGAAAAAAGTAAGTAGAACCATTCATCAACTGATAAATGGATAACTGTAGTATCTCTATGCAATGGATTCAATGGGATATTGGGCCATAAAAAGAAATTAAGTAGTAATACATTCTATAACATGGAAGAGCTTGGAGACATTATGCTAAGTTAAAGTAAGTCCACCAAAGAGACCACATATTGCATGGTTCCATTTATATGAAATGTCCATATGCAGATATGAAATGTCCAAAGGCAAATCCATAGAATAGCAAATAGATGAGTGATTACCATCTTATCTGTTGGGGACTGAGGAGGAGAAACAGGAGCAGCTGCTCACGGTCATAGGGTTTCTTTTTGGGGCAATGAAAATGTCCCAGAATTAGACAGAAGTGATGGTTGCACAACCTTGTGAATATATTAAAAGCACTGAATTGTACACTTTAAAATGGTGAATTTTATGGCATGTAAATTACATAATAAAGTTTAAAATAAAATAAATGAAAATTTGCAAAACTCAATACAACCCGATCTGTACCTTCAAGGAGCTCACAGTGTACTGGGGGCACCATTTCGGTCCAGGTGACTATAAGCCTCTCCCCTTGTCTGTAAACTCTATGGGGGTAGGAGCCATAAGTGTCTTGTTCATTCTTGTGCCCAGCACCTGGTAGGATCTCAGTAAGCACTCACTGAATGAAGGAGTCAGTATGTGAAGTCTTGAGACAAGTATATGTACAGGAGCTCTGGGGCCACAGAGGAGAGGCTAACTGTATTTATTTATTTATTTATTTACTTATTTATTTATTTAGTTTTGAGACAGAATCTTGCCCTGATGCCCAACCTGGAGTGCAGTGGTGCCTTCATAGCTTACTGCAGCCTCAAACTCAAGCATCCGCAGCAGTGGGGACTACAGACATGCACCACCGCGCCCAGTCTTTTTTATTTTTGTAGAGATGAGATCTCTCTATGCTGCCCAGGCTGGTCTCGAACTCTCAGCCTCAAGCAATCCTCCCACCTTGGCCTCCCAAAGTGCTTGGATTACAGGTGTGAGCCACTGCACTTGGCCAGAGAGGCTAACTTTCTAAGGCATTCAGAAAAACCACAGGCTCTGATGTGGACAAGATTTAACAAATCATGACACCATAAAGATTTTGAAAACTCTCCCTAGTGACTAATCCAGGCAGTTCCAAGTCCCCAGGCAAAGCCCTGAAAAGTTGGCTGCTTCTAGCCCACTGCCCACTCCCTGTGCTCGGCAACCACTTTCTCTTGAATACCCACAAACTCCTTGGGGAAATGTGGTCTACCCTATCCCAAGAACTCATAATCTAGAGAAAGGGATGAATCTGCACACCCCCTAACACCCTACCTCTGCTGCTGCAGTATGCTGAGAAGGAGAGCAAAGGGATGTGCCCCAGGGCCATGACTAGCAGGTCACAGCCCTGGAGCAGCTTTGGTGACATCATATCAGTATGAGGGGCCTTGAAGCACAAAGGAATGAATTTATTCTGAAATACAGTTTCTGGGTTGGTCTATCTCCACTATTCCTCCTACAAATGGTTGTGTGTTTTCTTCTTCCTCCTTTCAAGCGGGAGTGCTTCATAGGTCCTTAGATCTAGCCTTTAAGGTCATCAAGGCCCCAGTAAGACCCCCAGGTGACCTGACTACTCAAAGCTAAGTGCTACTAAACAAAAAAAAATGAAAACTGCTTTTTGACTTCCTGAGCCACCCAGAAGGAAGTGAATATTTTTTTAATCTAGTTTCAAGTACCTAAAAATACTGGGCAGCTCTGGCTGGAAACTGTCACAGATACAGAAAGGACTCAGCAGAGGGCTCTTGATCACAAAAGTGAGCTTAGCGGGGGAAAGAAATCTACCCAACTAAGCACTGCAGTCTTGGCAGATCAGAAGTGGAAACGCAAAGGACTTGTAGGCGCACAAGGCTGGATGTAGTAACAGCCCAGCTATGTCAGCTTAGGAAGGTAAACTCTGAGCCTCATGTGTAACAAGAGGATATAGTGCCCACCTCACTGTGTCATTTTTAGATTACAAAGATTATGGGTGTCAAAGCATCCTGATTAAGGTCTGGCAAATAAGAGACAGTAAACTGCAGGACTTGTTTTTCATTGTTGCTGTTACTATTATAATTATACCTTGTAAATTTGGAAAGTATTTGGAAATAAATTTTTCATCAAAAAACTGTCTCTAATCCTCCAGTGTATTCTAAAACCTATTCAAAGAACAAATTGAGCCCTGGATCTTTATCCTGGACTAAATTGCAAATAGCGTTTCTATGCCGTTTTGTAATGAGTACGTTGTGATAAAATCACAGAACATCAGACACCGGATTTTAGACATCCACTCCCCTGCCTTTCAGCCTTGTCTGTAAAACAAAACAAAATACAACAAAGCACCAATGAGCCGCAGTGGATAGGCTGAGAAGGAGATTTTGGCCCTAAAATGTCTCAAACTTCACGTGAAATCTGATTTCAATCTTTATTTCTTATTAAAATGTCAGCTTTGCAGGAATGCACTACTTTAACACCTGATAGAAGTAGAAACTCACATGGTTTCAACAGAAGAAGGAGGAAGAGGGGGAAGGAGGGGGAGGGAGAATAAGTGGTAGCAATAGCAACTGCTCTGCACCAAATAGCTCTGATCTTGGCTAGCTACTAACTTTTGAATTTCTCTGGAAAATCAAGGGCGATGCATTACACATAGGAGTTCTAGGAACCAGGTTTACCAAGTTTGATTTACCTAACTCATCAATTAGCACATGCTTCCCCACAACCCCGCTCCCCCAACCCCACCACCACCAGTGACCAAACACTATTTGGAGGTTGTCTTCTCCTTGTCTGCCTTCTAAATCCTGCCCACCCTTTAGGGTCCAATCCCCATTCCCATGAAGTCTCCAGAAATGATTCACCATTCTTTTGCTTTGATGAACTCAGACTGACAGAAACTTAAGGTTGAAGTGGACAGTGGAGTTTCTTACCCACCCTCAAATACTGCAAAATTCCCGAGCCATCACCACCTGTGCTGAAATATCTCTGGTAACAGAGAATGCATCGCTGAACGTGGCATTCGTAGGTTCTGTTGCTGACTGCTAGAAACAGCAGAACCAAACTCAGTTTCCCTGCTACTTCCATTCATAGAGCCCCAGTCAGCCTCAGGGCCACAGAGGGTAGATGTCATTCCTCTTCCTCAGCAGGCTGGCTTCAGGACCCTGGACTCAGAAGGGCACTATGTGACAGGCTCTGCTTTAGCCACAGGGCATTCAATTCAGGGGTGTTTAAGTCATGGTCCCTGGCCCCACCCCCTGCATTTGGAGTGGGTGGCAGACAAGGAAGCAGATTATAAACAAGAGGTTCTCAAAGTGTGATCCCTGGACCAACACCAGCAGCAGCACCTGGGAACGTGTCAGAGATGCCGAATCTCAGAGCCCCACCCCAGACCTGCTGAGTCAACAGTGTTGGAGGTAGGCCCAGAAATCTGTTTGAAGGAGCTCACCAGGTGGCTCTGATGCACACTCAAGCTTGAGAACCACTGACATAACACAATATTATGCAGCCGCTGAAAATTGTGTTTCAAAAGATACTTAATGACATTGGAAGATGATCCTGATATAATGATAAACTAGTGGGGAGAATCAGTTTACAAAATTAAGTATAAAATATGACAATTTGGGGAAGCAGAAACTACAGAGAGAAAAGTGCTGGAAATAAATACTATCAAATATTCATAGTGGCTCTCTCTGGAGCTAAGTTAGTTTATATTTTCTTTTTTTTTCTGTGAGACAGTCTCACTCTGTCGCCAGGATGGAGTTCAGTGGCGCGATCTCGGCTCACTGCAACCCCTACCTCCCGAGTTCAAGTGATTCTCCTGCCTCAGCCTCCTGAGTAGCTGGGATTACAGGCGTGCGCCACCATGCCAAGCTAATTTTTTGTAGTTTTTAGTAGAGACAGAGTTTCACCATGTTGGCCAGGATGGTCTTCATCCTTGACTTCATGATCCAACCAACTTGGCTTCCCAAAGTGCTGGGGTTACAGGCATGAGCCACTGCGCCTGGCCTATATTTTCTTTTTTATGTTGCTCCATGCTGTCTATATTTTCCACTTTTATAGGCAGAACCTTACTATTACAATAGATGATTGTAATTCACTAAGGCCCTGCCTTCCTTGTCAAGACCGTGAAGCCCCATTCACACCTAGGCCTGGGTAGTTAGCAGAACTTAACATACCCCTTCTCTCTGCTATAACATTTGGCCCCTATGACCAGATTGTAGCTCATCCCAGATCTGGATTCTCTCCTCCAGAGTGGTAGGAATCTACCCCCTTAGCCTCCTGTCTAGAAGAAGAACAGCATTTACTCAGTGCTAGTTATAGGCTAAATGCCTTGCATGTGTTACATTTACTCTCTCTAAGGTTCCTAGCAGGTTGGTTAAATTCTCCCTGTTTACCAATGAGAAAACTGAGACTCAGAGGAATTAAGGCACTTGTTCAAAGATCACACCTTTTTTCAGTCTGGGCCATTTCTGCTAACAGGCATTTTAAC
Organism: Homo sapiens; assembly: GCF_000001405.40. NCBI lineage: Eukaryota > Metazoa > Chordata > Mammalia > Primates > Hominidae > Homo > Homo sapiens. The sequence goes on along the minus strand of NT_187614.1, from coordinate 2,056,446 downwards.
CCTGGCTTCATTTAAAAGTTTTCTGGGCTGGGTGTGGTGGCTCACTTCTGTAATCCCAGCACTTTGGGAGGCCAAGGCGGGCGGATCACCTGAGGTTAGGAACTCGAGACCAGCCTGGCCAACATGGTGAAACCCCATCTCTACCAAAAATACAAAAATTAGCAGGGCATGGTGGTGGGCACCTGTAATCCCAGCTACTTGGGAGGCTGAGGCAAGAGAATCGCTTGAACCCAGGAGGTGGAGGTTGCAGTGAGTCGGGATAGCGCCATTGCACTCCAGACTGGGCAACAAGAGCGAGACTCCGTCTCAAATTTAAAAAAAAAAAAAAAAGTTTTCTGGAAAACTTAAAAGAAAAACAAACAAAAAAAAAAACCAAGCCTGATTCCCACTACAAACCAATGACATCCACATCTCTGGGGGTAAGGTCCAGGTATTGGTATGTCTTACAAACACCCCAGGTAGTTCCAGTGTGCAGCCAGAGGGAGATCCATTAGGGGGTGCCAATTCCTTGAGCTCTTAACCATCCTCCCAACCCCAGTAAAATAGTAAACAGGAAATACTTGCTTCTTGTGTCTTCCTCCAGGCCCAGTTGGGTTTAACAGAATTGCACCAACCCGACATTTATTGTACTTGATAGATACTGCTGGACACCACGTGCTTATTGTAAAATAATCACTTGGAGCACTAGGAACCACAATAGATCAAGGCCAACACTGTGCATTAGCATTTAATAGAGGAGCCCAAGGCCTCAGCCAGGTGGGTGTGGCTGTTTAAACACTTGATGACTTAAGGGATTTCAAATATTCACTGGACAATCTAAACTACTGGTCTCATCACAAACACCACATCCAAAGAAGAAAATTAGAATTTTTTTTTTTTTTTTTTTTTGAGACAGAGTCTTGCTCTGTCGCCCAGGCTGCAGTGCAGTGGCACAATCTCGGCTCACTGCAAGCTCCGCCTCTCAGGTTCACGCCATTCTCCTGCCTCAGCCTCCCGAGTAGCTGGGACTACAGGTGCCCACCACCACGCCCGGCTAACTTTTTTTTTTGTATTTTTAGTAGAGACAGGGTTTCACCGTGTTAGCCAGGATGGTCTCCATCTCCTGACCTCGTGATCCGCCCGCCTCGGCCTCCCAAAGTGCTGGGATTACAGGCGGGAGCCACCGCGCCTGGCCGAAAAAAGTTTTTAAATAATTTTTAAAATTATAGTTCTTTCTTTTCAGCTTTATCCCATCACGGTTTCAGGTTGTTTCTGAAGTTTCCTTCTGTTCATGTCACCACTAGATGGTGCACATTACAAAACATTAGCCCAGGAGCGGAGCTGCATTTGTCACTTTGCAATAACTAGAAGGGAATCAGAGGTAGGGCTGCCAGATTGACCAAATCAAAATACAAGACTTCCAGGGGCCAGGTGCAGTGGCTCACACCTGTAATCCCAGCACTTTGGGAGGCCCAGGTGGGTGGATCACGAGGTCAGGAGTTCGTGACCAGCATGGCCAATATGGTAAATCCCCGTCTCTACTAAAAATACAAAAATTAGCTGGGCGTGGTGGTGGGCGCCTGTAGTCCCAGCTGCTGGGGAGGCTGAGGCAGAAGAATCGTTTGAACCCAGGAGGTGGAGGTTGCAGTGAGCTGAGATCACACCACTGCACTCCAGCCTGGGCGACAGAGCAAGATTCTGTCTCAAAAAAAAAAAAAAAAAAAGGGCTTAAAGTTAAATTTGAATTTTAGCTAAAATATCGCATGGGACATACTTATGCTAAAAAAAATAAAAATAAAAATAAAACCTACTCGTTGTTTATCTGAAATTCTAATTTAACTGGATGTCCTAAATTCTACCTGGCAACTCTACTGCGGGGGGGACTTCAGGAAATAAGTAGATAATACAATAGCTCTTAGCTTTTTCAAACACTAGAATTTTTGCTGGCATGCTTGGAGGGATCAAAAGACTCAAAGCCACAGGAAACAAGCCAGCAATTATGACAACACCATCACAACTACAGCACGACAATGTCTTCAGGGTCCAAAAGCCTTAGCAACGAACCCACTACTTCCTGGTTTGCCCCCCAAGTCATTGCGTTCCTGCCCTGAACACATCTCTTATGTAATCAAGGCAAAGTTCTTGAATGCTTCAGCAAACTCCCTTGCTTTCCTTGGCAATGGCTTGATGGAACCTTGCCCTGTGCCATCTAGATCTTAAAGTAAGTTGGACCTAAACTATTTTGAGGCATAGAACCTCAGTGTTCAGTTTGACAGGGAAGAGTGTAATCATTTGTAAGAAAACTAATTTTTATATGTTGATCAAAACTTAGCAGCATATATGTAAACGTGGGTATTGCACCTCCTGCCCATAGCTGGCAGCCCTTGGCCAGCCTCAAGTTTAATAACTCGTGGAGAAGAAAAGCTACTTAACCTGCATTCGGAGCTCTTTCTTGACATGCATTGGCTTGACCTGCTTGACCATAAGCCCTCTACAAGAAGGGACCATCTTTACAGCATCTTGAATAGAGAAAAGCTGAAACGCAACCTTGAATTCAGGGTATTGCACTCTGAATCAATGTTGCACTCAATATACTTTCTAGAAAATTGATTGTCCCCACTTTGTGATCCAAGCTGTAGTCCACAGATCTACCTGTGTGACAAAGGGGTCCCTGAGTATAGGATAGGGAGATGAAAAAAGAAAAAGAGAATTGGAGAAGCTCAGATTGGAAGCATTAACCATCAAAGCTTCAGAGTTGGAGCCCACTCTGATATCTGATTACTCTCTCTGTTGAGAGGGTGAGGAAGGCCTGATGGTCAGCTAGCTCAGTCTGAACTCCACTATTTCTTTCTCCTGGAAAATGATTGCTTGCAGGAATAGGTAACATGGGAGGAAACATAGATGGTACGATTCATTCTTGACTATGCTCTGAAACTTGTGAACACATTGAGAAGAATCAACTTTCTTACTTCTAGAAACCCATTCCAAGTAGAGCAGCCCCACAGGAATGCTGCCTCCCCCATAAGACTAAAAAGAGAATATTCGGCTGGGCGTGGTGGCTCACGCCTGTAATCCCAGCACTTTGGGAGGCTGAGGTGGACAGATCATCTGAGGTCAGGAGTTCAAAACCAAGCCTGGCCAACATGGTGAAACCCCGTCTCTAATAAAAATACAAAAAAGTAGCCAGGCATGGTGGCGTGGCGCCTGTAGTCCCAGCTACTTGGGAGGGCTGAGGCAGGAGAATCACTTGAACCCGGAGGCAGGGGTTGCAGTGAGCCGAGATCACATGAACCCGGAGGCAGAGGTTGCAGTGAGCCGAGATCACACCACTGCACTCCAGCCTGGGCGACAGAGCAAGACTCCATCTCAAAAAAAAACCAGAGAGAATATTCATTTTGCTGGTGAAGAGGGGACATTTGGGAGCCGGGGACCTCCTCTTGGTAGATTCCTGACAAGTTGTGTAAGTCGTTAGGCCCAGGGGAGTTTAGAGAAGATCATGAGGTTTTTCACCTGCAGAATGGGTACATGATCCCTTCGCTTCCTCTCGGTAATCCTTAACTAACATACTCACACCTAGGAAAATTTAGGTCCTAAAGTTAACATCCTGTTTAGACAGTCACATAAGAATTGTCAGGCAGTGACATGATTTAGACATTTTTGCTCTGTGAGATATTCTGAATTCCTTAGGTTAACACATGGATAAACATGCAAAGGAAAAGACCCCACATTTTTCAGATTTTGCTCACAATCCTCAAAGCATAACGGTTCTGGAGGAAGCTGAGCATTCCTACTTGGGAAGGGAGGGTAGGAATCAAGATTGATTGAAGTGAGTCATCCTAACTCCCCTGCTGAGAGGTTCCCATCCCCAGGAACTCTGCCTGTCTGCACGGATTCATTCCTCACACACTGTCGAGCATCTTGTGTGCCAGGTGCTGCAGATGAAAATATCGCATAGTTTTGCAAGTGAGAAAACCAAGACTCAGAGAGTTCCCAAGATAACACAGCAAGTGATGCAGCTGAGATTTTAACCCAGGCAGTCTGGCTGCAGAGAAGCTGGAGTACTTAGCCATTATAGAAACTTCAACAACAATCAAAACGCAGTTCCTGGGCCGGGCGTGGTGGCTCATGCCTGTAATCCCAGCACTTTGGGAGGCCGAGACAGGTGGATCATGAGGTCAGGAGATCGAGACCATCCTGGCCAAGATGGAGAAACCCCATCTCTACTAAAATACAAAAAATTAACTGGGCGTGGTGGCACGCACGTGTAGTCCCAGCTATTCGGGAGGCTGAGGCAGGAGAATCGCTTGAATCTGGGAGGCGGAGGTTGTAGTGAGCTGAGATCACACCACTGCACTCCAGCCTGATGACAGAGCGAGACTCCATCAAAAAAAAAAAAGTGGTCCCTATTCTCGAGGAGATTATCATTAAGTGAGGAGAGCAGATAAATAAATCAATAATTAAGTAGAGACAGAGTGGTATTAGAGGTGAATCATATAGGAAAGCCACAGAGGTACCAACCAGGGGAACTTAAACCAGTGGTGGGTGGAAGTGAGCACAAGGCGAGCACAAGATTTCCTGAAATAATGAGTTTTGAAAAACAAGGAAGGATCTTCCAGGGAAAAGAGGGGAAGAATTGTTACTCTGTAGAAAGAAAATAGCAGATGCAACGTTTCTGATGCAGTAAGTAGCTTTAAGAAATCTAAAAATATCAGTGATTGGAGCAGAGGGCAGAAGTGGCCAAGAAGAGTAGTAAGAAGTGAGACAGAAGAGGCAGGCAGGGGTCAATAACAAATGGCCTTTTATACTACTTGAAAGTTGGATTTTATTCTGAAACTAATGGGATCCATTGAAGGATTTTCAACAGAGAGGGCAAGGTAATCTAAAACTTTACCAAGTTTGCTTGAGCAATATGATGGATAATGGATTGGAGGGACACAAGAAGCAGCTAAAAATACTCAAAAATATCTTCCATACGTGCTCCAGTCTGAGCCAATTGTTCTCTAGAGAAGATACACGGCTTTCTTTGTCGCCCTTCACTCTATTGTCTTCCTACATTGGCTTTATCTTCCTCTTCCTGTCCACACCTTGTTGGAGTAGATTCTCATGTAAAAATACTAAGGAAATCTGCTTTATAGGAAAAATTTCTGAGTTCTTGTACATCTGAACTGCCTTTATTCTGCCCTCATTCTTGATAGATAATTTGACTGGGTATAGAATTCTAGGTTGAAGCTGAAAAAAAAAAAAAAAGAAAAAGAAAAAGAAAAGAAGAAAAAAAGAAAAGAAAAGAAAAACAAAAAGAAATATATCTAACCAAAGAAGTGAAAGAGTTCTACGAGGAAAACTACAAAACACTGCTGAAAGAAATCATTGATGACACAAACAAATAAAAACACATCCCATACTCATGGATAGGTAGAATCAATGTCGTGAAAATGACCATACTGCCAAAAGCAATCTACAGATTTGTTCAGTTCCCCTCAAAATACCATATTGTTCTTCAGAGAACTAGAAAAAACAATCCTAAAATTCATCTGAAACCAAAAAAGAGCCCACATAGCCAAAGAAATACTAAGCAAGAAGAACAAATCTGGAGGCATCACATTACCTGACTTCAAATTATATTTACAAGGTTATAGTCATCAAAACAGCATGGCATTAAAATATGCATGTAGACCAATGGACAGAACCCTTAAATCAAATCAAATACTTACAGCCAACTGATCTTCAACAAAGCATACAAAATATAAATTGGGAAAAAGAAACCCTATTCAATAAATGGTGCTGGGAAAACTGGCAAGCCACATGTAGAAGAATGAAATTGGATCCTCATGTATTACTTTATGCAAAAATCAACTCAAGATGGATCAAAGACTTAAATCTAAGACCTGAAGCCACAAAAAATTATAAAAGATAACATCAGAAAAACTCTTCTAGACACTGGCTTAGGCAAAGAATTCATAACTAAGACCCCAAAAGCAAATGCAACAAAAACAAAAATAAATAAATGGGACCTAATTAAATTGTATACCCATTCAAAAATAAATAAATGGGGCCTAATTAAACTAAAAGTCTTTTGCACAGCAAAAGAGATAATCAGCAGGGTAAACAGACAACCCACAGAGTGGGAGAAATATTCATAAACTATGTATCCGACAAAGGACTAATATCCAAAATCTACAAGGAACTCAAACAAATCAGCAAGAAAAAGATAAATAATCCCATCAGAAAGTGGGCAAAGGACATGAATAGACAATTCTCAAAAGAAGACAAACATGAAAAAGCACTCAACATTGCTAAGTATCAGGGAAATGCAAACTTAAACCACAATGAGATACCACCTTACTCCTGCAAGAATAGTTATAATTAAAAAGTCAAAAAATAATAGATGTTGGCGTGGATGTGGTGAAAAGGGAACACTTCCACACTGCTCATGGGAATGTAAACTAGTAAAACCACTATGGAAAACAGTACAGAGATTCCTTAAAGAACTAAAAGTAGAACTACCATTCGACACAGAAATCCTACTACTGGGTGTCCACTCAAAGGAAAAGAAGTCATTATATAAAAAAGATACATGCACGTGCATGTTTATAGTGGCAGAATTCACAATTGCAAAGATATGAAACCAACCTAAGTGCCCATCGACTAACAAGTGGATAAAGAAAATATGGTTTATATATGCTATATTGGAATACTACCCAGCCATAAAAAGGAATGAAATAATGTCTTTTGCAGCAACTCGGATGGAGCTGGAGGCCATATTCTAAGTGAAGTAACTCAAGAATGGAAAACCAGATATCACATGTTCTCATTTATAAGTAGGAGCTAAGCTATGAGGATGCAAAGGCGTAAGAATGACGTAACGAACACTGGGGACTCAAGGGGAAAAGGGTGTGAGGAGGGTGAGGGATAAAAGACTATATATAGGGTACAGCATATACTGCTTGAGTGATGGGTGTACTAAAATTTCAGAAATTACCACTAAAGAACTTATCTATGTAACCAAAAACACCTGTAACTGAGAAACTATTGAAATTTTTTAAAAAAGAATTCTAGCTTGAAAAAAACATTTTCCCTCGGGACTTTGAAAGCATTGCTCCATTATCTTCTAGTGATCCCCGTCTGGTTCTCTTTCCTTTGCTCTCCTATTCATAAGAATTGTCTTGTATTTCACATCATCTTGGGCATTACACTTCAGCGGTGCTGGCCTTCCTCTTGTTCCTTGAACATATCAAACTTTACTTACCTACCTCTTGCCTCTTCCTGAAATGTTCTTCCCCCAATCCCCTTGTGGCTGGCTTCATTTCATCAATCAGGTCTGAGCTCAAATGTTGGCTCTGAGAGGACTTTCTTTACCAACCTAGCTAAACTGGCAAACACTAGATGTGTAAAAATACTGAATTAATTTAAAATAATTAATTCATTCATCAAATCTAATTAGGCCAGGCACAGTAGCATGTAATCCCAGATCCTCAGGAGGCTGAGGTGGGAGGATTGCTTGAGCCCAGGAGTTTGAAACCAGCCTGGGCAACATATTAAGACCCACATCTCAAAAAAAAAAAAAAAAAATTGAGGTTCTGCAGAATATTTCAAAAAGGAGTTAGTATTATTTGAACTTTGCCAAATTCACAATTTTATTCATTTTCATGACTATGCATGTGGGAAACAAATGAATCCCAAATGCCTACCTCACACCATACATAAAAAATAATTTAGGTGCCTTATAGATCTAAATGTAGAAGAAAAACTAATAAATATTCTAGAATAAGACATAAAATATCTTCATGATCTTTGTAGGATGGCAGATTCTTAAGCAGGACGTAAAAAGCCTTAACCAAAACTTAATAAATTGGACTAGATTAAAATTTAAAGCTTCTGTTCATCAAAAGACATCATGAAGTGAGTAAAAAGACAAATGAGAATAGATATTTGCAATACACAATGCACAAAGAACCCATTTTTAGAATATATAAAGAACATTGATCATTAATAAGCAGAAGGCAGACAATGAAGATGTACCAACAGAAAAATGAGCAAAATAATTGAACAAATACTATTCAAAAGAAGATATCCAAGTGGCTGATAAAGATATGAACATAGTGCTCAACTTCACTACTCCTCAAAGAAATGCAGTTTAAAAGCATAACATAATATCACTATACATTCACCAGAGTAGCTAAAATGAAAAAGACAAATGATATCAAATGCCAGCCAGTGTTTGGAGCTTCTAGGACTCATATTCAGTGCTGGATGTGTATACTTATCAATTTCCTTTGGAAATCATCTTTAAAGCTAAACATATCCATGCACTGTGACTTGGCAATTCCACTCCTGGAAAAATTCCCGATAGAATTGCTCACGTATTTTCATCAAAAGGTATTTACCAAAAGAATGCTCACAGCAGAACTATTAGTAATAGCCCAAAACAGGAGGCCAGGCGCGGTGGCTCACGCCTATAATCCCAGCACTTTGGGAGGCCAAGGCGGGTGGATCACCTGAGGTCAGGAGTTTGAGACCAGCCTGACCAACATGGAGAAACCTTGTCTCTACTGCAAATACAAAATTAGCTGGGCGTGGTGGCACATGCCTGTAATCCCAGCTACTCGGGAGGCTGAGGCAGGAGAATCACTTGAACCCAGGAGGCAGAGGTTTCAGTGAGCCAAGATCATGCCATTGCACTCCAGCCTGGGCAACAAGAGCAAAACTCTGTCTCAAAAAAAAAAAAAAAAAAAAAAAAAACAAACAAACCAGGAAACTACCCAAATATCTCTCAAAAGTAGAATGGATAAATTGTGCTGTAGTCATAAAATGGAATACTATTTAGTATGAGAATAAATGAACTATTACATGCAACAACATGAATATACCTCATAAACATACATAGTAAGAGAAGCAATATACCAAAGATTTTATATTCTGTTCCATTTATATAAAATTCAAAAATAGGCAAAAACAATCTATGGGTTTAAAGTTATTATCTTTGCTTTCTCTTGGAGTAGGTGGGTAGTGGGGGCTGAACAGAACTGAGAGAGGGCACCAGTGAGATTTCTGGGGCACTGGTAATGTTTTTAGCTTTTGATCTGGGTGCTGATTACATGGATATATTCACTTTGTGAAAATTCATCAATCTATACATTTCTGATTTGTGCACTTCTCTGTATGTATGTTATAGTTCAATAGAAAGGTTGCCAAGAAATGATGTTGTGGGAATTAAATAAGATAAAAAATTAAGTGCATAGCAGATGACAAGTACCCATTAAATGTTTATTGTTAAATTTCATAGTATAGTAATCATAGTGAGCCAAAGTGAGACTTTTTTTTTACCACGGCAAAAAGTGATTTTGAAAAACAGAATCTTACCCATTAGGATGGCCATTATTTGGGAAAAAAAAAAAAACAGACAATGAGAAGTGTTGGCAAAGATGTGGAGACATTGGAAACCTGTACATTGCTGACAGGAATGTAAGACGGTGCAGCCACTGTGGAAAATAGTATGGTGGTTCCTCAAACAATTAAACATGGAATTACCACATGATCCAGCAATTCCACTTCTAGATGTATACCCAAAAGAATGGAAAGCAGGGACTTGAAGAGATATTTGTACACCAAAGTTCATAGCAGCAATATCCACAATAGCTATAAGGTAAAAACAACCCAATGTCCATCAACACGAATGTATAAGCAAAATGTGGTATATCCATACAATTGAATAGTATTCAGCCTTAAACGCTGGGCAGGGTGACTCACGCCTGCAATCCTAGCACTTTGGGAGGCCAAGGCGGATGGATCACAAGGTCAGGAGATCAAGACCATCCTGGTTAACATGGTGAAACCCCGTCTCTACTAAAAATACAAAAAATTAGCTGGGTGTGGTGGCGGATGCCTGTAGTCCCAGCTACTCGGCAGGCTGAGGCAGGAGAATGGCATGAACCCGGGAGGCGGAGCTTGCAGTGAGCCAAGATTGTGCCACTGTACTCCAGCCTGGGTGACAGAGCGAGTTTCCATCTCAAAAATAATAATAATAAAAAAAAAGGAATGAAATTCTGACACATGCTACAACTTGGATAAACCTTGAAGACAGTATGCTAAGTGAAATAAGCCATACATAAAAGGACATTGTCTAAAAAAATCTTTTCCAACTGCTCTGAAATATTATCTTTATCATAAATCAAGTGGCCTATACGTGTCAGTTCACTTCTAGACCCTCTATTCTATTCATGCGTTTGTCTATTTTGGGTCCATAATACCATACTATCTTAGTTACTGTAACTTCCAATAAGGCATGATATGCAGTAGTATAATCCTTCCAGCTCTGTTTTGCTTCAGGATTATCATGGCTATTTGCATTTCTATGCATATTTTAGACTCCCACTGCTTATCGATTTCCATTAAAGCACATGCTGGGATTTTGAATGAAATTGCATTGAATTTATGAATCAATTTGATAAGAATAACGATGCTTTGAATTAGTAACTATCCCCATTAGGGAGATGAGAAAACAGATTTGAAGAGATTATGTAACTTGCTCAAAGTCACACAGCCAGAATTTGAACCCAACACTGCACTCTTCTATGTCTGACTTCAGAGCCTTCACATTGAACCATGCCTTCTAAGTAGACTAAAATATCTCTACTACTACTGTCACTCATTGCCACCTGAGGACAGAAATTATGTCATCTATGTTTGTATCTACTTAGCTGCTAGACATTGCCCAGGACTAAGAAACTGTTCAATAAGTTCTGATTCAGTGATCAATTAAATGGGTGGGTGAGTAAGGGAGTGAATAACTAGCTTCTGAGAACATAATGCCTTGCTGGCTGCTAGATGCATTTGCATTTGCCCCTCAGAGACAAATACCTAAATAAACAAACCAAACAGACTGGGTGTGGTGGCTGTCATCCTAGCACTTTGGGAGGCCGAGATGGGAGGATCGCTTGAGCCCAGGAGTTCAAGACCAGCCCGGGCAACATATGGAGACCCTGTCTCTACAAAAAGAAAAAGAAAAAAAAATAAAAATGCTTAAAAGATTTTTTTTTTTTTTGAGACGGAGTCTAGCTCTGTCTCCCAGGCTGGAGTGCAGTGGCACAATCTTGGCTTGCTGCAAGTTCTGCCTTCTGGGTTCACGTCATTCTCCTGCCTCAGCCTCTGGAGTAGCTGGGACTACAGGCACCCGCCACCACACCCTGCTGATTTTTTGTATTTTTAGTAGAGACTGGGTTTCACCATGATAGCCAGGATGATCTCGATCTCCTGACCTTGTGATTCACCCACCTCGGCCTCCCAAAGTGCTGGGATTTTTAAAAACCGAAACTGACATTAACTAAATAAAAATTTTGTTCTGTTACTTTTTTCTTTTTCTTTTTTTTTTTTTTTTTTTGAGACGGAGTCTCACCCAGGCTGGAGTGCAGTGGCGTGATCTCGGCTCACTGCAACCTCCACCTCCCAGGTTCAAATGATTCTCCTGCCTCAGCCTCCCGAGTAGCTGGGATTACTAGATGTGTGCCACCACACCCAGCTAATTTTTGTATTTTTAGTAGAGATGGGGTTTCACCATGTTGGCCAGGCTGGTCTTAAACTCCTGACCTCGTGATCTGCCCGCCTCAGCCTCCCAAAGTGCTGGGATTACAGAAGTGAGCCACTGTGCCCGTCCTGTTCTGTTACATTTTAACCCCTAACAGCTTAAGTCTTACCACCTAACTACTATTTGACTTCCTATAGAACTCTCCAACTCATTCTCATTTTGATCCAACTGCCATGACTGAATGGAATAACGTCTACCGTACCATGTAACCAACATCACTAGGTGTAAGGGAAGTCTGTTGGATTAGAACTGCCCCACATTTACTCCCCATCCCTAACAGCATCCTAGTTTCCTTTATTGGAATCACCTCTTCTGCACCAGGCATAGGTTGGTGGTTCTACTTACTCCTAGCTGAGAGGTGGGCGGGTGGCCTAAGCTTGATCAGTCTGATGTTCTTTCCCTGGCATTGGAATCTTGAGCAAAGAGAAAATAAGCAGGGATTGGCCACAGCACCATGCCACCCTGCCCCACACTGACCAGGCAGTTCCTCGAGAGGATGGCTGCTGAGGTTTTCCAGCCATGCTCTCCAGTCTCCTGATGATTCTTTGAGCCTCTGGGAGCCTTCCAACATCTTTATTTTTTGCTTAAAATTTTTTACTACCAAAAGTTTCCTCACTGATACAGAATCTAATACCAGAAGTGGGATGTTGCAAGGCTAAGTGGAAGCATTTGAGTGAAAAGAAATAATTGATATCTGAGAATTTAGTAATTCTTTGTTAAGTTATAGTAAATGGCTGGTTAAACCATTGGCTAGTAAGTCCTGAGATTTAGACTATATGCTTCCTGAGGCTTTAACACTAAATGATGTTGTAAAAAAAAAAAAAGTTTTGGATTTTGGAGTGTGCTGACAACTTCTTCAGTAAGGTCTTCCAAGCAAGAGGTAAGATTAGACTGAAACTGTCAGGGGCGTTTGAGCCAGAGCAACTCCATCTTGAATAGGAGCTGGGTAAAATAAGGCTGAGACCTACGGGGCTGCATTCCCTGGAGGTTATGACATTCTTAGTCACAGAATGAGATACGAGGTCAGCACAAGATACAAGTCACAAAGACCTTGCTGATAAAACATCATGTGGTAAAGAAGCCTGCCAAATCCCACCAAAACCAAGACGGTGACAAAAGTGACCTATGGTCGTCCTCACTGCTCATTATACGCTAATTATAATGCATTGGCATGCTAAAAGACACTCCCACCAGCACCTTAACAGTTTACAAATGCCATGGCAACGTCAAGAAGTTACCATATACTGTCTAAAAAGGGGAGAAAACCTCGGTTCTGGAAAGCACCCACCCCTTTCCTGAAAAACTCATTAATAATTCATCCCTTGTTTAGCATATAATCAAGAAATAACCATAAAAATGGCCAACCAGCAGCTCATGCTACTGCTCTGCCTATGGAGTAGCCATTTTTTATTCCTTTGCTTCCTTAATAAACTTGCTTTCACTGTATGCATTCACCCTGAATTCTCTTGCACAAGATCCAAAAACCCTCTCCTGGGGTCTGGATTGGGACTCATTTCCAATAACAAAACTGGCCCATCTAAAAGCAAGAGACAAGAGAAAATAGCAGGCTTGCTAAGAGTTGCCTTTTTTGCCACTGGCCTGCTGTTCCATTTGTCCGGGAGTATAGGAAAAGCTCCTTTCTTCACCCTCAAAGTTGGCAAAAGAGCTGGCCATGGTGGCTTCTGCCTATAATCCCAGTAGTTTACTAAGGCAGGTAGATAGTTGGAAGCCAGGAGTTCAAGACCAGCCTGGGCAACATAGTGAGAGTCTACCTCTACAAAAAAAAAAAAAATTTTTAATTGGCTGGGCATGGTGACGTGTCTTCCCCCCCTACTAGGGAGGCTGAGGCAGGAGGATCACTTGAGTGCAGAAGTTCAAGGCTGCAGGAGCTATGATCACACCACTGCACTCCAGCCTGAGTGACAGAGGGAGACCCCATATAAAATACAATACAATATAATAGGAAACATAAAGTGAGCAAAAGAAAAGCAGGAACATGGGAACCAAACAGGAAATAAGATTGAGGCCTGAGAGGCAGCCCTCCCAAGCACCTCCTATTATGCCTTGAACAAAGAAGTCAACACTGCCCTTGGGAAGATGCAGCAGGATGCAGCCCGATAGCAGCACACAACAGGGATTATTGCTCCACGAGGACTGCGGGCCCAGGCCCCCTGGGGTTGAATCCCCACTCTGCCTCTTACTAGCAGGTTACTTTATTGCTCCATGAATAGTTTTCCCAAATTGTGCATGGTAACAGTTCCTGTCTCACAGGGCTGCTTATGAAGATTAAGTGAGTTAATAATACATATAAAGACTTTAGAACAGTGCCTGCCCCGTAGTAAGCAATCAATACACGTTACTCCTAATATTTTTGTTGTTATTATGAGGAATGAGTAGTTTGAGTCCTCCCCACCCACCCTATTATTTTGGCTTTTCTCCAGTTGAGGCCAAGACAGAAGCATCAAATTGAAGGGATCAGGGGATGGCCAGAGCACTGGGCCCCATGCTAGGAGGTTGATATTCCCAGGGAGTGTTTTGTTTCAAAAAGTATGACATGATAAGATCTCTGACTCTGGGTACTCTCCATGGCATTAGCCAGGAGCAAATAGACCAGGACCTTGTTAACTTTTTAAGGGTGTCATTTTGCCAAATAATCCTCAAGCCTGGCCTATAATGGCCTAGGATAGTGAATTCCAGGCTTCCAAACTCACATCAACAGAGAGAGAGCTGCTGAAACAGAGCAGCTCCCAGAAAGGGGTACCCCTCCTCAATGTGCATGTCACAGGGTCCCATGAAGGACAATCCACAGGACAGATTTTCCCAGACAGACAAGCAGGGGCCCCAGAAGCCAACAGGCAAAGGGAAGCCTTGCAGAGGGCAGAGCTGGGGGAAGTCACTTATTTGCTCCCAGGAGACCAAGTCCATGTGATTTCTGGCAGAGTCAGATATGGGCTATGGGCCAGTGACCACTAGGAGTTGTTTCCTATTCTTTCGTTTTCCAAAGGAGAGTTATTACTGCAATTTCCCTGTTCTCTCTCTACCACTGTCTACTGAGTGCTGATTAAATTTACCACTTAACCTTAGTGGACCACAGGAGACCAATAAGAGATCCATGTATGAGGACCACACATCACCCAGAGAACCAGAACTGGATAAAATCATGGCTTGTCTCTTTGAGGGAAAGAGGTTGATTGGGTTTGGTGTGGAGGGTGGATATTTTTGAAGGCATGTTTATGGAGATAGAGGTAAGTGTGGCTTTTGGGCAGCTAGAGGGGGTAGACTGTACTAGACATATGTTGTTTTTGCAACCCAGCCTCCACTCAGTCTTCTGATAAAATAGCCTCTTCCAAATGTGGTTGGGTTGGCATCCCAGTCCTATGCAAAAATCGAGGGATGGGCCTTGATTCTCTTAAGGCAATTGACATGCCCCCACCTATATAAAGAAAGCCAGTGAAATTTGATACATGTACTAAGTCTGGAAAAAGAAGAGTTTCTCATTCCTCTCTCCATCTGTCTTCAGCAGAAGTTACTGGAAAGAGACCTCTCTTCCCCTGGATGGCATCGTGTGAAGACATGTGACTTGCAGTCACTGTGGACATTTGTGACCACAAAGACCCATGAAACTGGATGATGAAGCCAAATCTAATACCACAGAAGGCAGAGCAAGGAGAGGGGGAGAGGCTGGCCTTGGTGACATTGTTTGAATCTAGTCTTCTCTGAATCAGTCCCACCTTAGCCCTTCTCAATCATGTAAGTCAGAATATCCCCTCGTTTAAGCCACAGCTTCTGTCATAGCATAAGGAGTTCTCATAGGTTCACTAGCAGAATTGGTGCTTTTTATCTTTTAATAATAAAACATGTTATTTATCAAGAGCTTTATAGTTTACAAAACATTTGCATAGACAGACCTCTTTTGATGTTGTTACCTCCCAAATATGGCAGGCAGACCTTGCGTTATTATCCTTCTTTTAATAGATGAGGAAACTGGGCTTAGAGAGTCTACTGCCAAGGGACACTCAGCCAGTAATTAGAAGGGCTAGAGCTTGAACTCAGGTCTTCTGACTTTCAGAAAAATTCTCATGTTGCAGTAGGTGTTGCACAGACCCATAGCAGAACATAGCTTCTGTTCTAAATTCTGCAGTAGAACAGGATAGTCCTGCACCCAACCCAACTGATGTTCTCTCTCCATCAAATTCTCAACAGTCTTGCCTGGATTTCAAATCCTGAGCCCCGGAACAATCGCTTCTGCAGGAGGGGAAAGGACTCTGAGATATCTCTGGGGCAGTCATGCAGGAGATCATTTTCCCTTGTGGTTTCATTGATTTTATGATCAGGGAGTCTGTGATCTTAGTTGGAAATATTTATGCTCTAAGGGGAGAGACTCAGGAGTCTCAATCGTGTCTGTAGGCCACCCACCCCCAGGGACCTTCTTAATTTAGTGATTCCTCCCCTCCGGCCCCCCTTCTCCTGTCAGCCTGCCTTTACTCAGGGCGAGCCAGAGTGGGTGATGTATTTATGAGAGTGGAGTTCCAGAGCCCACGTGGAGGAGTAAATTACAAGTGAATGCACCTCCAGGATGGGGTGGCCTCCCTTGTCCTGGCGGCACTTCAAAGCTGCCTGAAAATTCCCCAAGGAGAACAGCCAGTCTCAGATGGCTTCAACCCTCTGATGGCTTTGTCAGACACCTGTCCAAGCATCCTACAAGATCTACCAGCTTTAACTCACTTGTTTCCTCCAAGATCTGCCAGCTTTAACTCACTTGTTTCCACACCTGCTCACACAGAGAGCGGTGCCCCTTTGCAGAAGGAGACACGGAGGTGCAGGGAGGCCCAGATTATAAAGTTAGAAGGCTCAGGGGCTAAATCCACCCTCCAGATGCCCTTCTGGAGTTCCATCTACCAGCACTACCTTCCCTGAAGGGCCAGAACTGTGTCTCATCTGTCTTTAAATCCCCATCTCTAGCACAAACTATGGCCAACAGATGGGGCTCAGTACATTTTTGTGGAAATCATTGGCAATTTTGCCATCCTTTTGATTAAAGTCCAACTTGAATTTCCCATTGCTTTAGGCCACAGACAACAAAGACCTTAAGATGCTCATAGGCATTGGATAGTAACCCATCTGATTCCTCAGTAACTCTTCCAGGTACCAAAATAAAAATCATTTACATTAGTAAAATTGCTTTAGAATTTACAAAGCCCCTTTACTTATATCCTGCCTTTCATCTCTACAACCATGAGGCTGGCACAGGTTCACCCATCTCAGAGATGAGGAAACGAAGACACAGAGAGTTTGGGTAATTTGCCAAAAGTCACACAGCTGATAAGTGACAAAGACAGGACTCACACCCAGGTTTTTTAATTCTGAGTCCAGGGTTCTTTCCACTGCATCATAACAAGCAGTGTTTCTTGTTTTTTTTGTTGTTGCTGCTGTTGTTTTGAGATGGAGTCTCGCACTGTTGCCTGAGCTGGATGGAGTGCAATGGCGTGATCTTGGCTCACTGCAACCTCCACCTCCCAGGTTCACGCGATTCTCCTGCCTCAGCCTCCCGAGTAGCTGAGATTACAGGCGCCCACCACCACACCTGGGTAATTTTTTGTATTTTTAGTAGAGACGGGGTTTCACCATGTTGTCCAGGCTGGTCTCAAACTCCTGACCCCATGGAACGCCCTCCTCGGCCTCCCAAAGTGCTGGGATTACAGGCGTGAGCCACCGCACCCCGCTATGGTGTATTTTTATCACCACCTTCTCACAGGCCCTGATGGGCTACTGGAGAAAGAGGAAGCTGAGTCCAGGGTGGGAAATCCCCTACTCCACCTGAGGCAATGGAGCAGGAAGATGAAGGTTGTCTCCAGGCTTCCTCCACTTCCTGTGCACCTACTGCAGGCCAGGTCCCTACACACACTGACCTGCTTCCAGGAGAGGATTTACAGAGAAGCTGAAGCGTCAAGCCCCTCCTGTGGCCCCGGTTAATGAGTGCCACCAATTGACTACACAAGAACACCTGAAATACCCTGAGCTCATAAATAAAAGAAACCTCAGAGAGGTTTTCCCAAATTTGACAACAATCCTAAAAATGTGCATGACATTACAAATAATGATTAGTGGCGCTGAATAATAAGCTCCCAGTAATCAAAACCAACTTTTGATGAACCGTGCTATTAAAAGACTGAATTATACTTCTCTTCTGGCTATGGACAATATTACAAAATCTTTGTCATTGTAGGGAGTGATCAAACAGCATTTAGTCAAAACGTAGGAAAGAAAGTATTTCAATTTTATTTTATTATTTATTTATTTATTTATTTATTTATTTATTTTTGAGACGGAGTCTCGCTCTGTCCCCCAGACTGGAGTACAGTGGCACAATCTTGGGTCACTGCAAGCTCCGCCTCCCGGGTTCACACCATTCTCCCGCCTCAGCCTCTCTAGTAGCTGGGACTACAGGCGCCCGCCACCACGCCCGGCTAATTTTTTGTATTTTTAGTAGAGACGGGGTTTTCACCATGTTAGCCAGGATGGTCTCGATCTCCTGATCTCGTGATCCACCCGCCTCGGCCTCCCAAAGTGCTGGGATTATAGGCGTGAGCCACCGTGCCCGGACAAGTATTTCAATTTTAGATTTGGGGGTATGTGTGCAGGTTTGTTACAAAGATATATTGTGTAATGCTGGCGTTTGGGCTTCTCTTGAACCCCACCCAAATAGTGAACGTAGTGCCCAATAGATAGTTTTTCTACCCACCCTCCCGTCCTTCCTCCCCCATTTTGGAGTCCCCAGTGTCTATTGTTTCCATCATTACGTTCATGCACACCCATTGTTTAACTCCCACTTATAAGTAAGAACACGCAGGATTTGGTTTTCTGTTTCTGCATTAATTTGTTTAGGATTATGGCATCCAGCTGCATCCATGTCACTGCAAAGGATATGATTTCATCGGAAAGAAAGTATTTGAAAGAGCTTTGTTCAGGTAGTTAATTTTTTCTTGGATTTGTGATATTTATGCTATTTGTTGGCTTTTAAAATATATAATTCTTGTCAATTCTAATTGTAAATAAATGCTCATTTTGTACCTAACTTATTATAATTTTCCATCCTGTTTCCTTAAAGAAAGCCCCATCAAACTGTAAAAGCCTCAGGTTGGATCCAACCCTGCAGGGCCATCTCATTTAGATATTATTAGCATAATAACTCTATGAAAGAATTACTATTATTATCTTCATTTTACAGATGAAGAAACTAAGGTTCGGAGATGATCATTTTGTCCAGATCCCACAGACTAGTCAGGAGCAAGTCTTGGTTTCAAACTCAGATGTGACCCACAGTCCAAGCTTTTCCTACTGTGTGATTACTAGAACCAACCTTTGTGGAAATTCATTTATGGTCCAGCCACTTAATGTTTCGGGAAACTGTGGTTTTAAAATACGTCCACAAATTATTTGGTACTCTTTCCTCCAAGAGGTCATCCCTAACTCCGCTCCCATTGTGGGCAGGCTGGACTTAATGACTTGCTTTGAGCAAATAGAATATTGAGGATGATGGCAAGAGATTGGATCTTGAAAGATGCTGGGGCTTCCTTCTAGTTCTCTCTTTCTTGGACTACTCTTTCCAGGTCATGCTAACTATCATGTCATGAGGACACTCACGCAGCCTATGGAGAGGTCCACATGGTGAGGAACTGAGACCTCTGGCCAACAGCTTTGTAAGTCCATCATCTCAAATCTCCAACCCCAATCTAGCCTTCAGATGACTGTAGCCCAACCAACATCGTGACTGCAATCTCATGAGAGACCACTCATTGCAAACCTGATCCTGGATTCCTGACCCTCAGATACTATGAGATAATAAATGTTTTTAGCTGCTAAGTTTGGGGGTAATTTGTTATGCAGCAATAGATAATTAATATGGGAACTGCTTAATGTTGTTGTAATGGAGATGCTGGCTAGGTGTTTCTAAAATGTTTACATGGGAGATGGATTGGGAGGGTGCAATTGGCTCCCTGCAAATCCATCACTACTGGAAAACAATTTATACACGTTTTTACCAAGGGTGGATCAATATTGTATTTTAATGTGCATTTGCAAATATCCTCTCAATTAATCAGATTAGCTGTGGTGGTGCAGATTTTCCAGCTGCCCTCCCATCACCAAAAAGATCTCTTTACATTGAGGACCCAAGCGAAGGTTAAGAAGGAAAATATCTCATTTTTTGTTATCTCTCTCACTTGACAAAGGATTTGAAACTTTTTATAATATTACATCCTTTTAGCATATAAATAAGACAATGAAAAACAAAAGTCAAAAGCAGAATGTTGAACAATCTGAAGATCAAGACTAGAGCCAAGTTGGAATGTGCTATGCAAGCTCCAGGTCCTCCACAGTTATTCAAAACAAGCCATTCATTTTGGCTCTGAGCTTCCCAGAGGAAGCACAGGAAGCAAATTCCCACTGTCAGGGCCAGCTTCATGTGTCAGCAGCCAGTGAAGTTGCACAAGGCCCTGTACTCCAAAGGGCCCCATACTTGGGAGTAGTGCCCTGAGGTTGCCATTTTGAAATTCTTCAGTATTTTATCCTTGAATTTGTGTTTTGTAAGTGAAATCTGACATCCCAATGGAGCATATAATGGGGATTTGGAGCCTCTGCTCACAGTCTGTTCCTGCTGCCTGCTGCCTGTCACCTTCCTGTCCCCTGGTGGGCTACGCTGGCCCCGCCTCCCCTTCCCTTGCCTGCTCTACAACAGCCACCACCCTCCACCCAGGGAGGTATCAGCAGAGGGAGGCCACCACCCTGCCATCACTCTCTGCCCTGCCACAGGGACCTGGGCATAGATGTGGGTAGGATAAGAGGTGTGTGCCCCATTGTGTGTTGGTGCAGGACAAGGTGGTGGTCGTCCCCACCTCTGGTTGGAAGTGCCCCACGTGTCTAAAAGGAATCCTCCCTACAGCTCTCAGGAAAGGAGAGACTGAGGGATATTCTTTGCTGCTGTGGCCAGGCAGAGGCACTGGCACCGGGGTGAGGAGTGTGGTGGCTGAGAGGCTCCATCCCAGCCATGCAGAGTGGCAGGTCACCTTTGGCTGCAAACTTGGCAGAGGTCTCGTGTCCACCCCGGATCCTGGTACCAATCATGCCCCAGCACAGAGCTTGCAGTCCCTGGGGGTCACCTGTCCACCGTGGGTGGGGCAGCAAGTGCATGGAAAGGGGACATTGACTTCCCAGGGCCCCACATTTTCATTTTGCACTGAGCCCACAAATTATTTGGCCAGCCTTGTCTATCGTGCCCTTGGGAAAGAAGAAATCCATTTCTGAGGGTTAAGGAAGTTTTTCCGTCCCACGTGTCTAAAAGGAATCCTCCCTATAGCTCTCAAGAAAGGAGAGGCTGAGGGATATTCTTTGCTGCTGTGGCCAGGCAGAGGCACTGGCACCGGGGTGAGGAGTGTGGTGGCTGAGAGGCTCCATCCCAGCCATGCAGAGAGGCCAGCTGCCCAGGGACCCACCCATGCAAGGAGCTCTGCAGCCTCCGAATCCAACCCTGAAGCACCAAGTGTCTGCAGCCCGGCTGAGCTCTCGCAGCAGCCCACGAGGTGCAGAACAGGCTGTGCTGCATTCTCTGTGACTGGAAATTCACTAGGCATTCAGTGAGCCTACTCCATGTGGTTTGAAAATGCCACTAAAATGTCGTACAGGCTTGGCAGCCGGTCCGTGTGTCCTGGGGGGAGTCTCTATGCCAGGGGCTGCTCCTTTGCCTGGGAGCAAATCACAGTGTCCCACACAGGTAGGTTGACTTGGTAAAGGAGGGGACACAGGCCCACCCTGTGCAGGCAGCAGGGGTTTGTCATGGGGGTCTAGAGTCTGACCAAAATCAAGGGACTCTATGGGAAAGATGTGAAGACAGAGTTTACAGACTTGCCACATGGACCTATTTACAGCAGTCTCCTCCTCTCTGCCCTCCCATTGCCTCCTTGTCAAATGAGGCATTTCCAGGTATCTCCCTCTGCAGGGTCTTTGGGGCCAGGCTTGCCAATCCTGAGCAGAGTACAGAATGCACTGGGAGGAATTCATGTCATATTTCGTTCCTAGATGGTGAGCTCTTCTGATTCCAAAGGAGTACATTTCCTTTTCCATCCAAAACAAAAATCTCCAAACACTCCCTTGGGCCAACAAGTCTACCTGAGATGTCACCGGCATTTAGGGTTTGTCAAGGACATTTAGATCGTCGTCTTTGTTTGTCCAGGGCTGAGGGGTTTCAGTGCTAAAATGAGGCCACTCTCAGGCAAATAGGAAGGTTGGTCATCCAATTGCCATTTAGATAACTGAGAAGCCAGGTAAATCCAGATTATTTTTTTCAATAAAAAATTAATGATCACATTTATCACTCACCTTCAGGAGGACATATCTTAATATGAAATAAAACTGTGTGTGCTGAATTTCCTCAGGAAAGCCCAGGGGTCTTTCATGAGGATACAGTAAGGGAAAGGAAGGACAGAGACCTGTTTCCTAGACTTGGCCTCTTTGCCTTAAAGTTGAGTTTTATCTAGCAGCACCTGCAAAAGATAACTCCTCGGATAACTGTGCTTTTCTAGAAAGGCGAGTAAGGTGAGAGGTCAGTTGTTCTCTGTGTACACACGCCTATGTGGGAGAAAACTGTTCAACTTAAAATGCTAGAAAGGGCCTCCTAGGGATGCCTACTTTTCAAAGGTTTGAGCTATTCTTGAATATGAAAATGAGCCTGCAACATCAGCTGTGCAAGAAGTTTAACTTTTTTTAAAGCTCTTAGCTTAAGTTCTGCCAGGAGTCTCCATTGTATTGTGGTGGCGGAAGCTTGATCTTAGCCTATTCTGGAGTCCCCATCTTTTCTTCAGGGTTAATATCGAAGTTAGGAGGGGTCAGGAGAGGGAGTACTTAGTGTAATGCCAAGGTGTAAGGCAAGAAGGCGGGGGCAGTGGCATCTCATGAGACCAGGAGCAAATACTTAGTGAGCACTTCCGCTGTGCCAGACACTAAAAGCTTCATCTGTGTTCCATCTTTTGATATCTTGGATCAGTAGTGATCCGTATGATTTTTACCCACATTTTATAGATGAGGCACAGAGAAGGTAAGGGGCTTACAAAAGGATTACTTGGCTAGGAAGAGGCAGAGCTGAGATTTAAAACCAAAGGCCTGATTCCAGAGGTAGCACACCTAAGGTCATTCATTTAACAAATATTGACGGATCACCTATTATCTGACCTAGGCCCACAGTATGGAGCCTAAACAGAAAGGAATCCCTGCCTCAAGGAACTTCCATTCTGGCCTCTTCACTCCACTGTTTCTTGCAGCAGCCGTGAGGCATCCACTCCCTGTCCTGGTCCTGAGGCATTATTTCCTCCAGGCTGCTTTTTTCCTTGCTCTCATTCTAGGGGACCCTTCGGGCCCTGTGACTGTTTACTTCCACTCTTCTCCTAGGAAGGTGGACATGCATTCTGCTGTCTGCACCGTGCTGGCTCGGACCCCTTCTACTTCCACCTGCTCACAAACTCAAAGCACTTCTAAACCCCAGGCACATCCGCTCACTCATCATGCCCAGGGCCATTTCAGGCTGGCACATCAACCATGCACACGGGCCATTCCTGCTCTGGGGCCTGATCCCCAGAACTCTGAACATCTAGCTCAAATGGGGAACAGGGTGTCATAACTGCCTTTCTCAGGAAGATCTACGCATGCCTCATTTCTCTTCTTACTCTCCTCTTTCCCTGGTGGTGGGAAAACTGGTTCTAACTCACCCACTTTTTTCTAGGTCCTGGGTCATCTCACAGCCATGGATTTTAAGTTTCCAAACCCTAAAGCATTCTCTGCTCGCTACAGAAAATCCCTTCCCTCCCACTGGGTGTGTGTGGCTGATCCTAAGTAGCAGAAGGGTCAAGCAGGGAATAGAGAAAAGACAGGGGAACGAACCCACCAGTTAACACTGCACAAGATCCTTTCACTTCAAACACCTGCCTGTTATGATTTCTACATTTCGGGCCCCATAGGTAAACACTTTTCATGCACTACTAATGCTCACCATGCCCTTTTGACAAATCCCCCTTTGTGCCTCAATTTACTCACTTGTAAAGTAGGAATAATGATAGTGCCCACCTCGTACAATGGTTGGGAAGATTAAAATCAGTTACAGAGTATGAAGTGCTCAGAACAGTTTCTGGCAAAGAGGGAGTGCCATGTACATTGTTAGCTGTTATTATTATGATTATTATCATTTATTGTTGTTGTCATATTTGTCTTTCTCATTACACATGTTTCAGGGTGAAGATAACGTTTTAAAAATTTATCTCCGCATCTGATTCAGCACATACCAGGGCCCAGTACACAGTAGATATTCAGTACATGTTGATTTATTGTTTTTATTTATTTTAGAGACAGGGCCTCGCTCTGTCAGCCAGACTGGAGTGCAGTGACACAACCATAGCTCACTGCAGCCTTGAAGTCCTTGACTCAAGCGATCCTCCCACCTCAGCCTCCTGAGTAGCTAGGAAAACAGGCACACACCGCCACACCTGGCTAATTTTTAAAAATTTTCTCTAGAGATGGGATCTCACTATGTTGCCCAGGCTTTGAATTTTAACTGAAGAAACAAACTGTTGTGTTTTGTTCTGTCTTAATACAAATTCAGATTCAGATCTTTGATGTAAAGAAGTCACCTGACTCCTCCCCATTCACCACCCACCCCTACTGCTTACAAAAGATTACATTCCTTAGACTGTCAGAGCTGGAAGAGACCTGGGGGATCATCTGGTCTAACCTTAGTTCACAGAGAAGAATTACAAAGCCCAGGAAGAGGAAAATGAACGGCTCATGGTCACTTAGTGGGTAAAAGAAGAATTTATAAGCCAGCTGGTGGGAGTCTAATCATTTCCTTTGCAGGACTGCTCTCTGAGAAACAAAGCTCATCCCTTCCTTGTGCTCATGACTCATTGACAACATTTAATGAACACTCACCCTATGCCATGCTTAGGAGTGGGAAGACTGCAGGCCATGAGGCTAGAACAGGGTTCAAATCCCAGTTCCACCCCTCGACAGCTCACACCCTTGAATAAACCGAGCCTCATTATCCTCATTTATAAAATGGACAAATAATAAAGAGATGGCAGGAGTTTTGAGGGGAGTCAATGAACTAAAGCGTTCATGTTTCTAGCATATAGTAGCAATGTTTGTTCCCCTCCTCTCCACTCTGGTAGCAAGCCAAAGAAGCAGAAGATGGGCCCTTGTCCTCAAGGAGATTATGATCCTGTCTCTTTGCAAGATGAAGAAGCTTGAGCAGAGATGATGAGCTGAGTGGAAAGTCAAAGGACAGGGAGAGTTAACTGGGAATGTTTAACGGGAGAGGCAATTCTAGTTTTAAAAGAGAGAAAGAAGATCGCTTGGCAGGGAGCATTAGAAAGATTTCCTAACGTGCTCTTCAGAGAGGCTTCCCCTGACCACCTGTGCAAAGTAGCCCCCCATCACTCTCTGCCCGCTTGCCCAGCATTGTATATCACCGCATTTACAGCTCTGACACCCTTGCTTGTCTTTCTGTTTGTCATCTGTACCCCCAACTAGCATGTATGCTCCAAAGAACAGGGAATTCTTCATTTGCCATCTGCTCGGTGCTGTCACTCCTGTTCTAAACAATGTCTGGCATATCATAATTGCTTGAAAAATGTTTGTCATGTGAATATAGAGTGACAAATTGCAAACGTAGCTGAGTGATCTCGGGAAGAAAGGAATGATTTGCCTGGGAAGAGCATCTATGTTTAAAATATCAAGGAATTAGTGAATGGTGCTACAGTACTAACGGCTGGGATTTGACCATTTCCGATGGCAGAAAGGAGGCCTTTTCTGTTGAGCTGGTGGAGTAGCTTCTCTCCCTGGAAGGCCCACATTCCCGACCTTTGGCCAGCTCTTTTCACTCCCCTACCAACATGAGCCGAGATAGATAACCCCACCTCCTCAAGACTCGGGGTGCCTTTAGGTTAGCGCTTTACATGGGATCATCTGAAGTCACAAGTAATTCTCGAGTACGTCTGACTTTGTCAGCTAAGTGTTAGAGAGATGGATGCTCACAGCCCACAAATAGCATGGTTGAATCACCAAGCATCTTGTTTGTGTTAGAGAGTGAGATAAACTCTAGGAGCCTTCACCCATAAAACTGTCTGCAGTATTGAAAACATGCTTCATAAAAACTCCCTGATGACCAGGAATGTATCCTTCTAACGTGGGATTGGCTGAAAACACTTTCGAAAACAAATTACTATTGGGTTGTCCAGTTTTGCTCATATGCAGTAGGGGGCGCTGTTGATACAAATTCCATCAGTACTACATGGACTCCATTGCACTAACCACGGATGCGCCCTGTTCACAGCTTTACCCGGACATTTAGCCCTGGTTCTTAACACTGAAGAGTTAACAGGTGTGCCAGGAGAAGAACGTGGCTTAGTCAAACCGTTTGAAGGATATCATTTTCTTGGTTGGCATCCTATCAACTCTTAACTAGTTCTCTTCCTACAGAAACTTTTTCACCTTTTTCAGTTCTTCCCATATAACATTGACTTTTCTCCTAAAGAGATTATTTGTTGTTCATCCTAAGGATTAATGTTTGGTGTCCTGAGAATCACCATATTGGAGAAATGTCAAGATGTCTGAAATGAGGAAACCCAAGTCCTACCCACCAACTAGAAGAAAATTTAGACAAAGTCAAGTTGAACCCAACTCTCCCAAGAGATGAACTTACTAGGGCTGCAAAGGTACTTGTCTGGAACAGCACTCTTGGGTTTCCCCATAAGCAATATAGTCATTTAGGGAAGAAAGCTGCCCCTATAGAAGTCCCAAAGTGGGGTGCATGAGAGTTTCCAAATGCCAAATATTGTAGGGATATTCACCCACTTAGAAATTGGGCCATAGATTTGCATTTCTGGAAGCTCCGAGCTTATAGAATAAGGGATGGATACAGGGTACCCTGGACCATGAATAAAAGATGCCCTCCAATCCTTCACCCTCTCTTAAGCAACAACCTTCCAAGGCTGACTGGGCTTCACCAGATCCTGCTTTGGCCATCTTGGGATGACCAAATTACCACGTGGGTGAAGAAAGTACCGAGAATTGCGGGGGCCATGAAGATACTTTGACCTTTTCTGGAGTCTAGGACCTTCACTGTCCTCGACGGTGCTTCTATTCTAGTTCTTCTAGCAGAGGAGGGCAGTGTTCCTGTGAAGTTCCCGTGCTCCCTGTGGCTCAAAGCCTTTGAAACTGGGGATCCTGGCTGAAGGCTGACTCAGTGTCTCAGGACCCAGCAAGCCCCTCAGCCCCTCAGCTCCTTCAGCCTCCCTCCACACAATGCAGTGGATGGAGGTGCCAGAGAGAGGCTGCGAAACAAAGGTGGCTTTCACCCAGAGCCAGCTGAGAGGTGCCGACTGTGGTGGCGGGGTCTGCAGCCCTGAAGCTGGGTGCCGTCCTGTGACTCTGAGCTCAAAAATGTGTGAAATTTCTTTTTGCTGGGTATTCTACATCAAGCGGAACCTGTTCTCAGAGAAACATTCCATTTCACAGACCCTAATGGCTTTCCTCTGTGCTGATGCATTAATGAGGCTCCGGCTCGTTCTAATCAGAAGGAAGCCATGCAGATAATTGCCTGAATTTTTAATTCAGGGTTATGATAGGGGAATCAAAGTCACACTGCAGTTGCTGAGGCTGCCTCTAGTTCCAGGCCATTGACTTTTGCAATTTTCTTTGATTTCCCCCTCCCTGTCTCTTTCTCCCCACTCCCTCTTTCTCTCTCTCTCTCTCTCTCTCTCTCTCAGGCTTGGTGGAGACCGACAGTAAGTTTCAGGTTGGGGTGGAGTAGAGAAATAGGGGCAGCCCTTGGGGTCTCCCACAGTCTTTCTTCCTCCTCCTCTTTTGCAACCCTTCCCCTCCCCCATGAAAGCGTGGATCCTGCCTGCACCTGTCACCCCAGGGCTGGTTCTGGGAGAGTGCCCTGCAACTGGCCTTCCCACTCAGGGTCTCTGTGCCCATAAGCAAGGACAGGAAATTTGCCCCAGGAGAGGATCTCCCTTGGCAATTTACTTCTCATTTCATCTCAGGTTTTAGGGCAAAGGAGAGAAATGATAAAGGGAAGGGAAAAAGAGATCAGGTGGCCAGAGCAGCTCAGCATCTTCCAATTCCTTGCAAAGGCAATTTGTTCTCCATTGTTGCTGAGACCAAGGGCAGGTGGGAAGTTGGAGGAACCTAAGCCTGAGGTCCTTCCTGAATTTTTTCCCCTGACATAATCATCACTGAGTGCTAGAACTTTAAAGAACTTACAGAACCCTGACAACTACAGGTGGTAGACAGAGGTAAATGCAAACTGGCTGTATGATAGGTCACTTACCCACAAATTAAAAAAAGGACCCAGAGGCTGGTACAGAAAGAGCTCCCTGACATTGGCCAGTTTGCCCAGAATGTCCAGGACCTTGGGCTGACACAGAATTTGCTAGGGTGAGAGTCGGCAGCCTTTATGGCTCAATTCCAACCAATAGTCACTTTCCAGGAGAGTGACTATTCTTGCAAGGGAAGTTTCTTCTCCCAGTATGCTCTAGTGCTGGCTATAGCAACACTATCGGCACACATTTACACTTTAAGCCAGCATTCAGCAGAGTGATTCTTTCCCTTCCAGATTGGTCTCCGAATCACTGGGCACCACACACATGGCATCTAAGAGCAAAATGTATCTCCACATCTCTGGCTGTGTATATCGGTTCAGGATTTTTACTTTTAAGAGACAGAAGATAATTTTCACTGGGACTGACATCTCCTGGGTGCCAAGGACGTTATATACTGTCATTCCATTTAACCATTACCAGTACGTTGTGAAGAAGAGATGACTGTCTCTACTTTCGAGATCAGGAAACTTGGGTTCACCAAAAAAGAACAGAAATTTTACTGCCACCTGCACCTCACCTTCCAGGGGAAGTTTTGTTATGTGGAATCCAGAAATCCCTTTAAAGGTGCATTTTCAGGGCTTAGCAATGCTACTGATAATGCAGTCTTTCCAATTGCAGGTTACAGCTTTCAGAAATCAAAAGAGGCAGTTACCTTTATTATGCTGGTGGAATTTGACCTCCACTGGGCTTTTGTTTCCTCAATAAAACATGGCCTCATATCTGAATAGCCCCCCTCTCCCAAGAATGCCAAAGCAACCTCACAAACTCTGCAGTCATCCACACACTGACTCCTTAAGAACATCCCCAGCAGAACTATCACTTGACCCAGCAATCCCATGACT
This sequence comes from Homo sapiens, assembly GCF_000001405.40. Taxonomy (NCBI): domain Eukaryota; kingdom Metazoa; phylum Chordata; class Mammalia; order Primates; family Hominidae; genus Homo; species Homo sapiens. The sequence continues at coordinate 2,027,617 of NT_187614.1, read as the reverse complement.
GGGTATCTACCCAGAGGAAAATAAATCGTTCTACCAAAAATACCATAATAGCAAAGACACGGAGTCACCTAGATGCCCATCCACGGTGGATTGGATGAAGCAAATGTGGTACATATACACCATAGAATACTATGCAGCAATAAAAAAGAATGAAATCACATCCTTTGCGGCAACATGGATGTAGCTGGAGGCCATTATCTCAAAGGAATTAATGCAGGAACAGAAAACCAAATACTACATGTTCTCACTTATAAGTGGGAGCTGACCACTGGGTACATACAGACACAAAGATGAGAACAGCAGACACTGGGGACTCCAAAAGGGGAGAGGGAGGGAGGAGGGCAAGGGCCGAAAAACTACCTATTGGGTACTATGCTCACTACTTGGGTGATAGGATCATTGATACCCCAAACCTCGTTGTCGTACAATATACCCAGACAACAAACCTGCACATGTACCCCTGAATCTAAAATAAAAGTTGAAATTATTAAAAAAAAAAAGCAGTCCATCTCTTCTACAACAGTGGACCTCATCATGGTGCTAGACTATTTTATGATAGCACAGAATATCTCTGGGGATTTTTGCGAATCTCTGTTGAACTTTTAAAGCAAAATCAGTTATCATTTCTTTTTTTTTTTTTCATTTTTATTTTCATAAGAGACGGAGTCTTACTTTGTTATCCAGGTTGGTCTTGAACCCTGGGCTCAAGTGATTCTTTTGTCTCAGCTTCCAAAAGTGCTGGGATTACAGGCATGAGCCACTACTCCCAGCCAGGTTTCTATGTCTTTTAATTTTTTTTTTTTAAAAAGCATGTGCTTTGGGATGCCTTTAGGCAGAGTTAGGGCCTCATTTATTCAATCAATCAGCCTATATTTAATGAGCACCAACTATGCACCAGATTGTTCCAAGCACTGAGTCCTGCCCTCCGAGGGGAACATCACAGTTTAGTGGGGTAGATGAATGCAGGCTGAGGGATGTGGCAGAGGGAAACACAATCTGCTATGAACGTTGAAAGGAAATCCTGAAATCAAGCTAACAACATGTGTAAACTCCAACAAAATTGAGAGTAACAGCGAGTGCCCTTGTTCCTGAGCCCAGAACATAGATCCATTCAGGGATGAAAAACCCCATTCTAAACTTTGGTCCCCTCCCATCTCAAAAGCCAACTTTCTCTTAGCTCCCTGGAGACCCGGTCTGCTCCCCAGGTCCTGTGCATTCCAGCTTCAGCCCTGTGAACTTGGAGTTAATGATTAAACCACGTGGTAGTGCCATGGCTGGAGGCCGAGGCTTCCTTGGGGTGAGCTGGATGGCTCAGCCCTGGAAACTGCCAAGTTCCTGGCTCAGCTCCAGCCAGGGATGGGCCGGAGACAGATCCAGCCCCCACACCCACATGCAGCTCATTTTCAAAGTTGGCTGCAGTCTCAACAACCTCTAGTCACAGAATCCCCTGCTACAAACCTAAGGCACTGTGGTATAGTGGAAAATCCAATGTAAAAGGAAACGCAAGTCTTGGTGCAAATTCTGATCCTACTACTAATTCACTGGGTGACCTTGGGGTAGTCTCCTCACCTTTTCTGGGCTTCAAGTTTCTCATCCATAATGGAACAATGTCGGACCAGAACGTGCCATGTTCTCTTACAATTCTGTGCATTTGCACGTGCTGTTACATTTGCCTGGTACACCCTTCCTACCCCTTTTGTCTTCTCACTCATCCTCCAAAGTGCAGCTGAGGGGTCACCATCTTCAGAAAGCTTTCCCTGACCCTCTCCCAACAGGCTAAGCTAGATGCCCCTTCTTTTAGTCCCATAGCACTCTGTATTTCCTTTATCATAACACTTAGCCTACTGTTTTTACAGGCATATTTTGGAGATATCGTGGGTTCAGTTCCAGACCACTGCAATAAAGCAAATATGGCAACACAGTGGGTCACACAAATGTTTTGGTTTCCCAGTGCATCGAAGAGTTGTGGTCACACTATACTGTAGTCTATTAAGTGTACCATAGCATCACATCTTTTAAAAAGTACATACCTTAATTTTAAAATACTTTGTTGCTAAAAAAAAAAATGGTAGCAATCATCTGAGCCCTCAGTGAGTAGTAATCTTTTCGCAAGTAGAGGGTCTTGCTTCACTGTTGATGGATGCTGACTGATCAGGGTGGTGGTTGCTGAAGATTGAGGTTGCCGTGGCAATTAAAAAAAAATAAGACAATGAAGTTTGTGACATAGATGGACTTTTCTTTTTACAAAAGACTTCTCTGTAGCATGCAGTGCTTTTTGGTAGCATTTTGTCCACAATAGAAGTTCTTTCAAAATTGGAGTCAGTTCTCTCAAATCCTGCCACCACTTTATCAACTACGTTTATGTGATATTCTCAATCCTTTGTTGTCATTTCAACAACGTTCACGGCATCTTCACCAGGAGTGGATTCCATCTCAAAAAACTACTTTCTTTGCTCATCTGTAAGAACCAACTCCTCATCTGTCAAAGTTATATCATGAGAATCCAGGAATATGACACAAAGGTGGAATAGACATTAATTTTGTGCATTCTTTGGGACCCATGCACACGTATGTTTATTGCGGCACTATTCACAATAGCAAAGACTTGGAACCAACCCAAATGTCCAACAATGATAGACTGGATTAAGAAAATGTGGCACATATACACCATGGAATACTATGCAGCCATAAAAAATGATGAGTTCATGTCCTTTGTAGGGACATGGATGAAGCTGGAAAACATCATTCTCAGCAAACTATCTCACGGACAAAAAACCAAACACCGCATGTTCTCACTCATAGGTGGGAATTGAACAATGAGAACACTTGGACACAGGAAGGGGAACATCACACACCGGGGCCTGTCATGGGGTTGGGGGATGGGGGAGGGATAGCATTAGGAGATATACGTAATGTTAAATGACGAGTTAATTGGTGCAGCACACCAACATGGCACATGTATACATATGTAACAAACCTGCACATTGTGCACATGCACCCTAAAACTTAAAGTATAATTTAAAAAAAAAAGAAAGGAAAAAAAACCCCTCCCCTCCAAAAACTTGTGCTTTCTTTGGTAATTTTTTTTTGTTTTTTGTAACTACAAAGCTTTGCTACAATTTTATGCATTTCATTCAAGTCAGTGATGTGTGTTTGTATAATTTCCACAACATAATTGTTGATCATAAAAATGTAACATCATAATTACATTTCTAACTAGAATTAGTATGTCTAGTTTTGTATCTTTATGCTATATTTTTTATTTTATTTTATTTTAAGTTCCGTAATACATGTGCAGGATGTGCAGGTTTGTTGCATACATAAATGTGTGCCATGGTGGTTTGCTACACCTATCAAACCATCACCTAAGTATTAAGCCCTGCATGCATTAGCTATTTTTCCTGATTCTCTCCCTCCCCCACCCCCGAACAGGCCCCAGTGTGTGTTGTTCCCCTTCCTATGTCCATGTGTTCTCACTGTTCACCTCCAACTTATAAGTGGAAATATGCAGTGTTTGGTTTTTCGTTCCTGTGTTAGTTTGCTGAGGATAATGGCTTCCGGCTCCATCCATGCCACTGCAAAGGACATGATCTCATTCCTTCTTATGGCTGCATGATATTCCATGGTGTATATGTACCACATTTTCTTTATCCGGTCTACCACTGGGTTGGTTACACATCTTTGCTATTGTGAATAGTGCTGCAATGGACATATGTGTGCATGTATCTTTGTAATCGAATGATTTATATTCGTTTGGGTACATACCAAGTAATGGGATTGCTGGGTCAAACGGCATTTCTGGTTCTAGGTCTTTGAGGAATTGCCATACTGTCTTCCACAATGGTTGAACTAATTTACATTTCCACCAACAGTGTAAAAGTGTTCCTATTTCTCCACAGCCTCACCAGCATCTACTGTTTCTTGACTTTTTAATAATCGCCATTCTGGCTGGCGTGAGATGGTATCTCACTGTGGTTTTGATTTGCATTTCTCTAATGATCAGTAATGTTGACCCTTTATTTTTATGTTTGTTGGCCATATAAATGCCTTCTTTTGGGAAGTGTCTGTTCATGTCCTTTGCTCACTTGTTAATGGGGTTGTTTTTTTCTTGTAAACTTAAGTTTCTTGTAGATTCGGAATATTAGACCTTTGTCAAATGGATAGATTGCAAAAATTTTCTCCCATTCTATAGGTTGTCTGTTCACTCTGATGATAGTTTCTTTTGCTATGCAGAAGCCCTTTAGTTTAATTAGATCCCATTTGTCAATTTTTGCTTAGACTCCCACACAATAATAGTGGGAGACCTTAACACCTCACTGCCAATATTAGACAGATCATCAAGACAGAAAATTAACAAAATATTCAGGACTTGAACTCAGCTCTGATCAAGTGGACCTGACAGATATCTACAGAACTCTTCACCCAAAAGCAACAGAATATACATTCTTGGCACCACATGGCACTTACTATAAAATCGATCACATAGTTGGAAGTAAAACACTCCTCAGCAAATGCAAGAGAGCTGAAATCATAACAAACAGTCTCTCAGACCACAGCACAATCAAATTAGAACTGAAGATTAAGAAGCTCACTCAAAACCACACAACTACATGGAAATTGAACAGCCTGCTCCTGAATGATACCCGGGTAAATAATGAAATTAAGGCAGAAATCAAGAAGTTCTTTGAAACCAACGAGAACAAAGAGATAACATGCCAGAATCTCTGGGATGCAGCTAAAGCAGTGTTAACAGAGAAATTTATAGCACTAAATGCTATAACACAAAAAGGTAGAAAGATCTCAAATTGACAATCTAACATCACAGCTAAAAGAACTAGAGAGCCAAGAGCAAACAAACCCCAAAGCTGGCAGAAGACAAGAAATAACCAAGATCAGAGCAGAACTGAAGGAGATAGAGATATAAAAAAACCCTTCAAAAAATCTACAAATCTAGGAGCTGATTTTTTGAGGGAAAAAAAAAAAAACCTGCTAGCTAGACTAATAAAGAAGAAAAGAGAGAAGAATCAAATAGACACAAAAAAAAATGATAGAGGGGATATCACCACTGACCCCACAGAAATACAACCATCAGATAATATTAAGAACACCACTATGCAAATAAACTAGAAAATCTACAAGAAATGGATAAGTTCCTGGACACATACACTCTCCCAAGACTGAACCAGGAAGAAGTTGAATCCCTGAATAGACCAATAACAAGTTCTGAAATTGAGGCAATAATTAATAGACTACCAACCAAAAAAAGCCCAGGACCAGACGGATTTACAGCTGAATTCTACCAGAGGTACAAAGAGGAGCTGGTACCATTTCTTCTGAAACTATTCCAAACAATTGAAAAGGAGGGACTCCTCTCAAACTTATTTTATGAGGCCAGTGCCATTCTGATACCAAAACCTGGCAGAGATACAACAAAAAAAGAAAACTTCAGGCCAATATCCCTCATAAACATTGATGCAAAAATCCTCAATAAAATACTGGCAAGCCGAATCCAGCAGCACATCAAAAAGTTTATCCACCACGATCAAGTCAGCTTCATCCCTAGGATGCAAGGCTGGTTCAACATATGCAAATCAATAAACATAATTCATCACATAAACAGAACTAAAGACAAAAACCACATGATTATCTCAATAGATACAGAAAAGGCCTTCCATAAAATTCAACATCCCTTAGTGTTAAAAACTCTCAATAAGCTACGTATTGATGGGACATACATCAAGACAATAAGAACCATTTATGACAAACCCACAGCCAATATCATACTGAATGGGCAAAAGTTGGAAGCATTCTCCTTGAAAACCAGCACAAGACAAGGATGCCCTCTCTCACCCTCCTATTCAACATAGTATTGGGAGTTCTAGCCAGGGCAATCAGGCAAAAGAAAGAAAGAAAGCGTATTTGAATAGGAAAAGAGGAAGTCAAACTGTCTCTGTTCACAGATGACATGATCCTATATCTAGAAAACCCCATCTTCTTAGCCCAAAAGCTCTCAAGCTGATAAGCAACTTCAGTGAAATCTTAGGATAAAAAATCAATGTGCAAAAATCACAAGCATGCCTATACACCAAGAATAAACAAGCAGAGAGCCAAATCATGAAAGAACTCTCATTCACAATTGCTACAAAGAGAATAAAATACTTAAGAATGCAATTAACAAGGGAAGTGAAGGACCTCTTCAAGGAGAACTACAAACCACTGCTCAAGGAAATCACAGAGGACACAAAGAAATGGAAAAACATTCTATGCTCATGGATAGGCAGAATCAATATCGTGAAAATGGCCATACTGCCCAAAGTAATTTATAGATTCAATGCTATTCCCATTAAATGACCATTGACATTCTTCACAGAATTAGAAAAAAAAAAAACTACCTTTTATGCTGCATTTTAACACTTTGTATTACTTAGGTTATTTTGTTTTGGTTAAAAAGGCTCAAGTAGAAAAAGCAATCCAATCCGTATTAAGACAATGTAAAAACTGTAAATAAAATGTGTACAGAGAATTGTCTTTTAGGCAACTAGATTTGTCCTTTTATTTCTCCATCTCTATAGAAACAATTCGTACCTCTTATTGCAAGGTACAATTGCAAGGCAGTCTCTATTGTGTCTTCTTTTGCGGTGTCTTCCATGTGAACAGCATAAGCTTGGAGCACCAGTTTGATTATTATGTTTATTACAATTTGTAATAAATTGAGAAGATAGTATCATATATATTGAGAAGATAGTATCATATATATCATGAGATTGCAGCAATTCAGTCGCATCTTCAGGCTCCACTGTTTTTTTAGAAGCAGGGAGGAGGGAACAGGCTCCATTTCTAATTCTGGTTCTCTTGCTATTTTCACCACATCTGCAGTGACTTCCCCCACTGAAGTCATGCATAAGGGTTGGAATCAACTTCTTCCAAATTCTTGTTAATGTTGATATCTTGACCCTGACCTATGAATCATAAATGTTCTTAATGACATCTAGAACGATGAATCCTTTCCAGAAGGTTTTCAATTTACTTTGCCCAGATCCATCAGAGAAACCACTATCTATGGCTGTATAGCCTTATGAATGTATTTCTTAAATAATAAGATTTGAGAGTCAAAATTACTCCTTGATCCACAGACTACAGAATGGATGTTGTATTAGCAGGCATGAAAACAACATTCATCTCCTCGTACATCTCCATTAGCGTTATTGGGTAACCAGGTGCGTTGTCAATGAGCAGTAATATTTTGAAAGGGATCTTTTTTTCTGAGCAGTAGTTTTCAACAGTGGGCTTAAAATATTCAGTAAACCATGCTGTAAACAGATGTCCTGTCATCAGGCTTTGTTATTCCATTTCTAGAGCACAAGCAGAGTAGGGTTAGCATATTTCTTAAAAGTCCTAGGACTTTTGAAACAGTCAGTGAGCTCGAATGCTCATGCCTGTAATCCCAGCACTTTGGGAGGCCAAGGTGGGTGGATCATGAGGTCTGGAGTTCAAGACCAGCCTGGCCAAGGTGGTGAAACCCCGTCTCTACTAAGAACTACAAAAAATTACCCGGGCGTGGTGGCAGGGGCCTGTAATCCCAGCTACTCAGGAGCCTGAGGCAGGAGAATTGCTTGAACCTGGGTGGCAGAGGTTGCAGTGAGCCGAGATTGCACCGCTACACTCCAGCCTGGGCAACAGAGTGAGACTCTGTCACAAAAAAAAAAAAAGAAAGAAAGAAAAAAAAATAGTCAATGAGCATTGGCTTCAACTTAAAGTCACCAACTCCATTAGCCTCTAACAAGAGAGTCAGCCTGTCCTTTGAAGCTTTGAGGCCAGGTATTGACTTCTTTCTAGCTATGAAAGTCCCAGGTAGCATCTTCTTCTAATAGAAGGCTGCTTGGTCTACACCGAAAATCTGTTGCTTAGTGTAGCCGCCTTCCTCAGCGATCTTAGCTAAATATCCTGGATAACTTGCTTCAGCTTCTACATCAGCACTTACTGCTTCTCTTGCACTTTTATGTTATAGAGATGATTTCTTTCCTTAAATCTCAGCAACCAACCTCTGCTAGCTTAAAAGAAAATATTTTGCAGCCTCCTCACCTCTCTCTGCCTTCATAAATTTGAAGAGAATAAGGGCCTTTCTCTGGCCCTGGCTAAGTCTTTGGCTTAAGGGAATATAGTGGCTGGTTTGATTCTCTATTGCCATCACCCAAGCTTTCTGCATATCAGCAATAAAGCTGTTTCCCTTTCTAATCATGCATGTGTCCACTGGAGTAGCACTTTCCATTTCCTTCAAGAACTTTTCTTTGCCTTCACAACTCAGCTATCTGTTTGGTGCAAGAGGCCTAGCTTTCAGTCTAGCTCGGCTTTCACATGCCTTCCTCACTAAGCTTAAGCGTTTCTAGCTTTTGATTTAAAAAGAGAGATGTGCAACTCTTCCTTTCACTTGAACACTTTGAGGCCACTGCAGGGATTATTAGTTGGCCTGATTTCAATATATTGTGTCCCAGGGAATAGGGTGGCCCGAGGAGTGGGAGAGAGATGGGGGGACACCTGGTCGGTGGAGGAATCAGAACACACATATTTATCGATTAAGTTTGCTATCCTATATGGTGAGGTTTGTGGTGCCCCAAAACAATGACAATAGTTAACATCAAAGATCACCGATCACAGATCAACATAATATATATAATAATATGAAAAAGTTAGAAATATTGCAAGCATTACCAAAATGTGACCCTGAGACAAAAAATGAGCATATGCTGTTGGAAAATTGGCACCAATAGCATTGCTCAATGCAGGGTTGCCAAAAACCGTGCATTTGTTTAAAAAAAAAATGACTCAGTATACAAGAAGCACAATAGAATGAGGTATTGCTTTGCTTAGCCTCATTCTCAGCCCTGCCCCACCCACTACTGGACTATAAGCTTTTGAAGACAGAAGCTTTTGTTTATCTATTTTTGTATTGGGCACAGCATAGTACCTGGCATCAAGCGCGTGTTCAGAAATTTTAAGTTTCCTCCAATTAGAATCATTATGGTTAATGATATTTGTGAATTTACTTCTACCATTTTATTTTGTGTTTTCTTTTTATCTTTACTTCTTTTCTCCTCTTTTTATTTTTATTTTTTGCATTCTACCAATTGACCACATTATTCTTCTTCGTTGGTTTGAAAATTTTACATTCCATTTCTACTCTTTTAGTGGGAACCCTTAAATTTTTCATATAAATACTTGTCCTAATTAGTCTAAAGTTAGTCAATATCTCTAATGACTTTTCCCAAAATATAAAACCTTAGGACACTTTAATTTGCCCTTGTCAAATGTCTACTGTGTCCTAGTAATTTAGTTTCATCTTATTTTTAAACCCACCAAAATTACTCTTTTAACAAATTTTTATAGTCCAGGTATAGTGGTGCATGCCTATAATCCCAGCACTTAGAGAGGCCGAGGTGGGAGGATTGCTTGAGCCCAGGATTTTGAGACCAGCCTGGGCAACATAGGGAGACCCCATCTCTACAAAAGATAAAAAAATAAGCCAGGCTTGGTGGCCCATGCCGCTTGTCCCAGCTACTCAAGAGGCTGAAGTACGAGCACATCCCTACATATACATCTTGGGTGCCTGGGGTTCTGGGTTTTTTTTTTTTTTTTTTTTTTTTTGAGACAGAGTCTCTCTCTGTTGCCCAGTCTGGAGTGCAGTGGCACGATCTCGGCTCACTGCAACCTCTGCCTCCTGGATTCAAGTGATTCTCTTGCCTCAGCCTCCTGAGTAGCTGGGATTACAGGCATCCGCCACCACACCCAGCTAACTTTTATATTTTTAGTAGAGATGAGGTTTCGCCATGTTGGCCAGCCTGGTCTCGAACTCCTGACCTCAGGTGATCAGCCTGCTTCAGCCTTTCAAACTGCTGGGATTACAGGCGTGAGCCACTGTGCCCAGCATGTGCCCGTTCTGCATTTCTAACAAGCTCCCAGATAATGCCAGTGCTGCTGGTCCATGGACCACGTTTGACCAGCAAGGGTCCAATACAACCAGACACTGTGTTATGAACATTGGCAATGTGGGGGTTGGAGATGGTGAGTTTAAAAAGAACAACAAAGTTTTAGAAAGGAACACCCAGACTCTCAAAGCTCAGCTTTAGTGACTACAGGAAAATACACTACAGTTATGGTGGAGGGTTGCCTGTTCATACATATTATTCTAGGTGCACAGGAAAAGGAAGAACAAATTATTTCCCTGTGTGAACCACAGAAAAGGACCCCCCTGATATATTTCTTTGCATTCCAGCCACTTCCCTCCTTAGTGACTAATGCCAACATTTTTTTTCCTGAGTTCTGAAGCAAAACTACGCCAAGGCCACCTCCTTAAGTCACACCTCCTTATGGGCAGGGGGAACCCCATCTTCTTATGTACCCACAAATGCCACTGCAGCATAACTACATCAGGTCATTTCATCAGATTACATTGCACAGATGTCAGCCTATCTGGTCCCTCTGAGCCCACCTGCTTGGAGAAACCATCCCAGAAACGTTGAGAATTCCTGAATTGTTGGTATGGCGTTGAAAGACGGAGAAATTGCAATGATAGGGGCTGGCCATCTGCCTATAAATTTTCATACCTGTAGCTTGTGTTGTTCTAGAGAGCGCCTTCACTACACTTCTCTGATGCCACCAACCTGCTGTTTTTATTTTTAAAGAGAAAAAAAAAACCCTATTCCAGTAATAATCTCATCTACATTTAATTATATTGCCCTGGGCACTTTTCTTTCACTGGCAATGAATGTGGCCCGTAAAGTGTCTAGGGCCCTCAGGCCATAGTCACTTCCTGCAAGAGAAACTGAGATGGGATCCCCCGAGCCTGCTTAGAGCTGAGTGGTGCCCAGGGTCTGCACTGCTCCCCAGTGTCATGGGCACACCAAAACTGACCCCGAACTCCCCAAAGAGTTCTTTGAAATAGGCTAGGAAAGAGAGCAAAAATGAAGAAGGACATTCTCTGAAGGGGCCACTCAAATTCTGTTGCTCTCCAATTCTGTATATTCAATTTTTTTTTTTTTTTTTTTTTTTTTTGAGACAGAGTCTCCCTCTGTCGCCCAGGCTGCAGTGCAGTGGCACGATCTCGGCTCACTGCAAGCTCCGCCTCCCGGGTTCATGCCATTCTCCCTCCTCAGCCTCCCGAGTAGCTGCGACTACAGGCACCCGCCACCACACCCGGCTAATTTTGTTTTTGTATTTTTAGTAGAGACGGGGTTTCACCGCATTAGCCAGGATGGTCTTGATCTCCTGACCTCCTGATCCACCCACCTCGGCCTCCCAAAGTGTTGGGATTACAGGCGTGAGCCACCGCGCCGGGCCCAATCCTTACTTTCTTGAAGATTGACAAGGAGAAAGCAGCTAAACTTAGTGGAGTTCTACAAAATCCACAGGCCCTAAATGCACAGTGGAAGCAGAGCAGTGGCCGGCACAGCAGAGCTACAGTAACCCTCAACCTTAGCATGGGGTGGGGGTACTTTCAGAGAAGGAGGGACCTCAACAGTTGCCTAAATCAACCCTTTGGTTTCCAGGGAAACCAAGGTCCAGCAAGGAGAAGAGAGGACTGGCCTGCAAATATCCATAGGGTATTTTTAATGCATTTAAAATACAACAATGGGCAGGGCACGGTGGCTCACACCTGTAATCCCAGCACTTTGGGAGGCCAAGGTGGGCAGATCACCTGAGGTCAGGAGCTCGAGACCAGCCTGACCAACATGGCGAAACCCTGTCTCTACTAAAAAATACAAAAATTAGCCGGGCATGGTGGCAGGTACCAGTAATCCCAGCCACTCGGGAGGGTGAGGCAGGAGAATCGCTTGAACCAGGGAGGCAGAGGTTGCAGTGAGCCAAGATTGTGCCACTGCACCCCAGCCTGAGCAATAGAGCAAGACTCCTTATCAAAAAATAATAATTAATTTAATTAAATACAGAAATTTTTTATTAAGTCCCCTTGGCGTATTGTCACAGAGAACTTCAGGACTGGTTTTTGAAAGCTCAAAAGCTGTAAACCATCAGGCACCAGGAACATGGCCGCCACAGCAGTGAGTCTCACTGTGGAAGGCATAGGAATTTGGGGAATAAGCAGCGATTTTCCCCCAAATTACACTGTGAGGTAATGAGAGAATCAGTCCCCGAATCCAGATCAAACAATTCTCAACACAGTGCTCTCTCCACCCCACTCAAGAGATGTGTTAGAAAACATAAAATATAAATGAAAAGATCATAGCACTGATATGGTTTTAAACCAGAAATAAATTTAGGAAGAATCCTGTTTTAATATCAAATACTTGAGCCCTGAAGGAATATATGCGTTAACAAACTCACAGATGGTAAATATCTGCCTTTTGCTGGTCTGCAACTATGCCCAGCCTAATTTCTATTACTTCCTACTGTCTTCAAATTTCTGGCTTCCAACATCAAAATTCCACAAACTGCAGCCTCTTGGTTCCTAAAGAACCTACTTATTACTGACCTGAGTTACTAACGTCACTAGTTGCACACCTACTTTTGCTACTAGCTTTGGATCAAATACTAATTACATTGCCAATGATTATGTGAATTCGTATCAGCTTTCTAGAAGGCAAATTGGCAATACATGTCAAAAGCCACAAAAATGTCTATACTCTTGGGCTAAAAATCCCACTCCTGGAACTTTTCCTCAGAAGAGAAGTCAAAAAAAGAACAGACATTATAAAAGATACCCATCATGGCGTCATCGAGAACTGTCCAACAATAAGGTCAACAACAGCACATCTCTAAGAACAGCTACCATTGGCTGAAGAAATTCTCTGCCAGGCCTTTACATGCTTTACTTCTAAACCTCACAGTAACCCTGCCACGTCTGTGTGACCTCCCACTTCACAGATGAGAAAATAGGCTCAAAGCACAAAGCAGTAACTGAGCCAAGGTCATTTGAGTAGTAAGTGTCAGAAGCAAGGCTTGAACCCAAGGCTTTGTGACTCTGATACCTCTGCCTGTTCCATTCACCCCTGGGATTGCTTGCAACCAAGATGCTGGAGCACTGAGTCCCAGGAACAAGCCATGATGCAGTAGCTTCCGTGATAAGCAGGAAGAAGAAGCAGCAGTGTCGAAAAAGCCTTCCTGGGCCGGGCATGGTGGCTCAGGCCTGTAATCCCAGCACTATGGGAGGCTAAGGCAGGCGGATCACCTGAGGCCAGGAGTTTGAGACCAGCCTGGCCAACATGACGAAACTCTGTCTCTACTAAAAATACAAAACTTAGCTGAGCATGGTGGCACACACCTGTAATCCCAGCTACTTGGGAGGCTGAGGCAGGAGAATCGCTTGAACCAGGGAGGCAGAGGTTGCAGTGAGCCAAGATGGTACCACTGCACTCCAGCCTGGGCAATGGAGCAAGACTCCATCTCAAAAAAAAAAAAAAAAACAAAAAAAAAACCCTTCCTGAAATAACATTCAGGGAAAGAGAAGGAGATTAAATTAAATTAAACCTATAGTATAATTATAATTTTTATTAAAATATGTATAGCATTTAAAAGTGATCACTTTTAAATGGAAATAATTGGGCTAGCATTTGGTCGTGGGGAATGGGTGGTGCTTTATTCTATTTATAGTTCCTTAAATGGTGTTATGCTAATGTCTTAACAGCAAGTCTTAAAAAAATTAATAATAAAGACTGACTTGACCACTGTCTGAAGCTTAATAAAAGCATGTGAGTGTTTTTCTCTCTCTCCTACCTTTGGGTGAGTTCTCCACCCTGCCAGTTCTCTCTCGGTTTCATGATGCTTGCACCTTGCTGAAACCACAACTTCCCTCCAGAGTGTTGCTGAGTACCCAGGAGAGAGTCACTGGTAGGCCTTTTTCAGTAGAGGTGAGAGGACGTTGGAATAATGACATCACTATTCAAATGGCGAAGGAGAAAGGGAGAGCACCAAACAAACTCACACACCAAGGAGAAAACCAGTGGGCTTTTATGGCTCTGTTTATGGGAAGTGCCTCACCAACTGAAAGGTCAGGAGCTGACGTGTCCAACGGCACTGGAGCATTACATGAAATTGCAAAAGTAGAACCTTATAAAAATTCATAAGTTCATGAAACACCCTCTTGACTATATCAGTTAGGGGTACAGTGCCCAGGATTCTGTCAGGCTCCAGAAAAAGTGAAACATTAGCAGCCACATCCTGAGCACCCCAGCATTGTCTTAGAACAATGTCCTCAGCATTGTTCTAGGTCCTTCTCCTAGTGAAAAATATGCATTGGGTGCTTACTGTATGCCTGTGCTTTGTGGAGCTCCTCCTGTGTTAACTGTTTTCATCCCCATGTACAATCCTATAATAGACATTATCAGCTTGCAGGTGAGAAAATCAAGGCTTAAACCTACAGTACGATTATAATTTTCATTAAAATGTGTATAGCAGCTAAAACATGATTACAGAGGGAAATAGTTGGACTGGCATTTTTGAATGGGGTTAAAACAAAAAAACTTGCCCAGCTGAGATTCAAGTCCAGGTCTGCCTGACACCAGTTGCTGCACTCTGCAGCCTCTCACAACACCACACCACCCAAAGTCTGTTTCAGCCTCTCAACACCCTGTGTGGCTCTAGGCACTGTCCCCTTTATATGGAGAACATGGCCCTCTGCCTGCATGATCAGAACTGAGTGAGAGTTCACCAGGCTTCCTGCCTTCTCAGTAAAAGAAAAGTGTTCCATGATGGAAAGAATGTGGCCTTTGGCACTAGATGAATCCAGGTTTGCATCCTGACTTCTGCATTCAGTAACTTTAGTAAGTCACCGAACGTCTCTGAGTCTTCATTTTCTCATCTGCAGCATGGAAGCCCGCCTCTCAGTGATGAGGACTGGAGTCCAGCACAGAGCCTGGTTAGAGTAGGAGTGTTTCCATGTGGTTATCCATTGATTGTGGAGGAGCCGCTAAGGTCCAGCTCTCCCCACGCCAGTGAAGCTGCTGTGAGACAATCATTGGTTATTAGAAGTGCTCTCTAAATAGTGAAGGATGAGCAAGAGGTTCAGTGGCCCCTCAGTGAAAAAAACTAATTACCCAGGATGTTTCTCCAGCTGCTACCTTTGCCATTTCCTTCCGCTCCTTCCAACTGATGCCACCAGAATTTGCCCAATTCTTCCACCAGTGGGATGTCTCTATCTTTTGATAAGACTATCCATTCCCCAATCTCCTAAGATGTTTATCTTCATCTTCATTGTGCCTAGTCATTGATTTTCTTGTTTTATCCCCCTTTCCAAGCTCACCAGATGCTCTGTGCCTCAACTGTTCCACACTGCTCTTTGCATGTCCTGTAGTTGGCACACAGAAAATTCTAGTAGGGTGTATGACACAAGGGCAGTGACCACATCCCCAGGTCCAAGCACCATGCCTACCATATAGGAGGTGTTCAATAAATGTGTGATATGTGGGTGAATGAAGGAAGGAATGAATCATTAACAAGTTGTATGTATGGCCTGAGTGGAGAGTGAGTTATCCAACAGTAGGTTCTTGCAGAGGACCTATTGTTGGCTGTGAGCAGAGACTCACAAGACAGGTCAGCCAGGCTCCCTGGGAGGCAGGGCGGATTACGTGCAGCCTTTCTGCTACATGTTTCATATGTATCAAGCCTGTCCAACCCATGGCCCATGGGCCACATGTGGCCTGGGACAGCTTTGAATGCAGACCAGCACAAATTTGTAAATTTTCTTAAAACATTATTTTTTTTAGCTCATCAGCTATCGTTAGTGTTAGTGTATTTTATATGTGGCCCAAAACAATTTTTATTCCAATGTGGCCCAGGCAAGTCAAAAGATTGGACATCCCGATATATATCATCTCATTTAATTCTCAAAAGAACCCTAGCCTTGCAAGGGGAAACCCCATCTTACAAAGAAGACTCACTCGCCTGGTTACCCAGCAAGGTGAGGAGTCTAACCTGGGTCTCTCTGACTCCAAAGCCAGTGTCGCTTCCTCACGCTGGGGGTTAAGTGCATGGGCTCTGATGCCAGACAATTTGGGTTCATATCCTGATTTGCCTCTTACTAGCAGAGGGAGCTATGACAATTCAAAGGACTCCCAAGTCATGATTATCTTTTTTTTTTTGAGACGGTGTCTCGCTCTGTCACCCAGGCTGGAGTGGCACGATCTCGGCTCACTACAAACTCCGCCTCCCAGGCTCACTCCATTCTCCTGCCTCAGCCTCCTGAGTTAGCTGGGACTACAGGCACCCACCACCACGCCCAGCTAATTTTTTTGTATTTTTAGTAGAGACGGAGTTTCACTGCACTAGCCAGGATGGTCTCGATCTCCTGACCTCGTGATCCGCCCGCCTCGGCCTCCCAAAGTGCTGGGATTACAGGTGTGAGCCACCATGCCCAGCCCCCAAGTCCTGATTATCTTATCTGTAAAATGAGGATAATTATATTTCCTACTTCAAGAGTTGCTGTAAGAATTACATGAGATAATATAAGAAAAAGATCATGAGCCAAGCGCACAGTAAGTCTTCAGTAGCAGCAGTAACAGCAGCAACAATAGCAATAGTAGTAGTGGTGGTGGTAGTGGTACTAGGAATGGTATGAACAGTGGTAGGAGTGGCAGTGGTAGGGGTGGGATTCATAATGGCAGGAGTGTAATTAATAGTAATCATAGTGGCCAAGTGCTGTGGTTCACACCTGTAATCCCAGCACTTTGGAAGGCCAAGGCAGGAGGATTGCTTGAGGGCAGGAGTTCAAGACCCCATTTCTGGAAAAAATTTTTAAAAATTGGTCAAGTGTGCTGGCATGCACCTGTAGTCCCAGCTATTTGGGGGCTGAGACAGGAGGATTACTTGAGCCCAGGAGTTCAAGGCTGCAGTGAGCTATTATTGCACCACTGCATTCCAGCCCGGGCAACACAGCGAGACACCAACTCTTAAAAAAAAAAAATAGTGGTATATTGGTGGTGGTGGTATTAATAGTGGTAGTGGTAGTAGTAGTAGCAGTATTAATAGTGGTAATCATGGTAATAGTAGTGGCATTAGTGGTGGTTGTAGTGATAGTAACACTAGTGGTGGTGGTGGTAGTGGCAATAGTAGTGGTATTAATGGTGGTAGGCGTGACCATAGCACTAGTCATGTAGTGGTAGTAATGGTGGTATTAATAGAGGTTGTAATGGTTGTTGTAGTAGTGATATTAACCGTGATAGAAGTGGTGGTAGCAGTAGTAATGGTAGTGGTTGCAGAGTAGGGTATTAGTCGTGGTGGCAGGAATTGAGTGGTGGTAGTAAGTAGTGGCAGTACCGGGGTGATTTTAATGTTGACGTGTCCTGAAGGCATGGTGGAATTTGAGGATGTCAAGTGGGCTTGTTAAATTAAGGTACTTCCACTCTGGGAGACGGGGTGAGTATAGCAGTGGGAGAGGGATGCAACGTAAACCTGTATTCTGGGCACCCAGTTGTCCTTACGAGCAGGAGAGCTGTAATTCCCAGGCACAGCCACAAGGCGGGGGCAATGATTTGGCATTCATGACATCGGAACACGCCTAGGGAAAAATAACTGGCTCAGGAGCTGGGAGCACCCTGAGGACCCTAGGAGACTCCCGGGAGATGAAGGAGAGTTGGTTGGCTGAGCTTCAGAAACAGTTTGATCCTTGGGGTTTAAGACAGACATCAGCAGAGCAGGGTCAGCCACAGGAAAGCAGGAAGGGAAAGTGCAAAATGGGACGAGAGCAACAGGGGTGACCCCAAAACTGTGGTTCTCAACTTGTTTCCACCTGAGTGACAACATTGGGACAGGGTGTGTGTGTGGCCCTCACTTCCAGGGGTGGGTGGACGCAAATGGGACACAGATGACGAGCAGTTCCCCTTTCTTTCTCACTCATCAGGACCCTCTATTATGTGGTGGGTGTCCGAGAGTTTGAGGACCACTGATCTGGACCAGAACATGGTGGCCAGAGGACGCAGAGAGAAAGTTTAAAAGGTACAGTCATCTTTCAAGGAGCTACCTACACACAGAGGACTAGAGTGGCTGAGGGTGGGCTGTGGGTGTCAATGCTAAAAACATGGCTTTAGGGTTAGGGTTTATAAAAGGGGCCCAGATTCCAATTCTGGCTCTACACTTTTAGCTACATGACCTTTGACAAGGAGATAATATTAGTACTGGTAGGTTTGTTGTCCAGAGTAAATGAGATGATATCTTTAAAGAGCTTAGCATGTGCCTGGTAGTAACTACAGTTAACTGCTCAAAAAAGGGCAGCTATGATTATTACTATCATTATTGTTACATGGGCGTGATGATGGAGAGAGATTGCTTTTAAATCCTCTCTCTACAATCCCATCAATGTTACACGGTCTTATACAGGAGCTGTCCTGTATTTTGCTCAAGGTGTGTTATGTGTAATAGAACTGGCTTCCCAATGAGATTTCAAGGCCCCCCAGGGTAAAGCTATATGTCTCTTGACTTTTGGACAATTCCAATTATAACTCTGGACATAGAGTAGTTGGGTGATCAATATACTTGTCCATTGGTCTGTTGTAAAATTGGTAGCCTGTAAATTTTCCGGCATGGCACCTAACAAAGCAATGCAATCATTATTTGCTAAAGCACCCGCTGTATGCTGAGAACAGTGGGATAGTCTAATTTGGGGAGATTATCCTATGCATCCCTGTCTTCTCATTGCTAAGCTATGACTCTGGGGGAGTCCACTGAATCTCTCCTCTTCCCTCCACTCTGACCAAACTGACCCCATTTTTCTGGGCAGAAACACTGGCATGGAACAGAAGAGACAGTGCTAGAAACTAACTTGGTTCCGTGAATTTAGGCCTTTGTTTTTCAAGTTCACAAGACCATTTCCTGAGGGACTAGACAAAATCGATATAAAGTTGCTGTGACACTGAAGGAAAGGAAGAGAGAAAGAACCGAAAGTCCTGCTTAAATAAACTCAAGGGAAGCCAATGGGGTAAAGGTCCACATTAAATATCTTCTCTGGTCTCCTTGGCCTCGTTGCTCTTCTGCCTTATGGGTCTGTTTCCTCCTGTGGAACATAAGGGTACAAAAGCAGTGGGTTGCCAAGGTCATTTAAGGACCCTGGACATAGCTGTATGTGGAGACTCACGGTGACAGAATTCTGGCTGCTTTTTAGTCACTAACACCCTGTGTGGCCAGGGCCCCGGAGTCACTCATCCTCTCTGCACCTCAGCTTCCCCAAGTGCAGGTGACCTCCAAGTTTGCCCTGGCTGACCTTTAAAGGCCATCCCAGCCGGGACACCAATGCTAACGTTCTGCCCAGTTCTGCCTGCCCTGCTCTCACCCCTGACCCAACACTGTTTGGGGTTTGAGTGGTGGGTGAGTTTCACTTCTTTTTCTTTGTCTCGATGGCAGGTAACTTTCGTGATGACATACTCCTGCAAAGATGGCGTGGGACATAATTCTCATGGATGGAGGTGAACATGACTGTCCCTTGATACAAGGGGTAGAATTGATTGGGTTGCTGTTGTCCTTTGAGAATCACCACCCGACTCTATGTGGCTGTTTCTTCAATTGCAAAATGAGAGAGCATGTTTCCTTTTTAATCAGCAATATTACCCTTAAGGAAACCTTGAAGGGCAGTTCTATTATTAAATATCTCAAGCACAAACTTTGATAAATGGCTTCTTTTTTTGCAAATTACAAATTGAATAGCCTTCTCTCCTCCTGTGCTCCTGCACTCTCTTCAACCCCGAACTACAGGGGCTCTTTCAAGGGCAGTTACCCCTTTGAGATGGGGAAAGAGGTGCCATTAATATGAACTTTCTCCCTCATCCTGGTTCACCCTCCATTTCATTGCTGGCTGAAGGCCTCCTGTACAACCAGACACATTTGAATAATTAATACTCAGTAAGTTGAATGGTTGACCTTCAACAGCTCTATGGCTCCTGAAACCGAGAATGTTGTCTGTGAAGGCAGGGTCTTATGAAAAGGTCCAGGATGGTGCCTGAGGGAGGCTCCCTCATTAAACTCAAAGAATGTGGGATGAGAGCAGAAGCTGGCATGACTGCAGCCTCACCCAAGCCTCTGTGGAGAGCATCTTAGGTAGGAACTGGGCTTAAGTGAGAGTCAGTGATAAATGAGTGGCCATACCACATCTCAGAAGACTGAACATGTGACTGAGATAAAAATGATCCGGTCTGCAGATCAGGAAGAGATGAGGCCCTAAGACCTGTCAGGGGACAGGGAATGAATGTCCTTCATTCATCCACTCAAAAAACAGGTATTGGGTCCGGGCACGGTGGCTCATGCCTGTAATCCCAGCACTTTGGGAGGCCGAGGTGGGCGAATCACCTGAGGTCAGGAGTTCAAGACCAGCCTGGCCAACATGGCGAAACTCTCTCTACTAAAATACCAAAAAATTAGCCAGGCATGGTGGCGCATGCCTGTAGCTACCTGGGAGGCTGAGGCAGGAGAATCACTTGAACCTAGAAGGCAGGGGTTCCAGTGAGGTGAGATGGTGCCACTGCACTTCAGCCTGGGTAACAGAGCGAGACTCTGTCTCAAAACAAACAAACAAAAAAACCATGTATTGAGAGCTACAAAGTGCCAGGCATTGTTGTAGACACTAGGGTTATATTAGTGAACAAACCAGAACCTCCCCTCCCAAAAGAGAAACCCTGCCTTTGTGGGGCTTACATTCTAGTTGGGGAGATACATGACAAATAAAACGAACTTGTTCAATGCATCGTTTGCCAGACGGTGATAAGTGCTTAGAAGGAGAAAGGAGGCAGAGCGTGGGGCTGGAGAACATTGGGTAGGAGATGAGCTGCAGTTTTAATAAAGGTGGGCAAGGGAAGCCTCCCCAAGGAGATGGCAAATTAGCACACATTTGTGGGAGCTGAGGAGTGGGCTCTGCAGCCATCTGGGGAAGAGGGTCCCAGGGCAGGAAAACTGCAAGTGCAAAGGCCCTGGGGCAGAAATGTGTCCTGATGTGTTCCAGAAAGAGCCAGGAGGCCCCATGGGGGGAGTCAAGTCCGTCTCATAGGGCTTTTGCTCCCAGTGAGACCGGAAGCCATTCGAGCGTTTATCAACAGAGAAAGACATGATGTGGCTTCTGACTTAACAGGATTCCTCCGGCTACTGTGTGGAGAAGAGATTGTAGGGAGCAAGGGAAGATGCAGAGGGACCAAATAAGATGACAGGAAAGATGCCTGGTGTGACTGAAAGGAGAATGGTGGAGGAGCCAAGAAGTGGTCAGATCCTGGGTTTATGTTGAAGGAAGTTTGGCAGATTTGCTGAAGGAGTAGATACAGGTGTAAGAGAAAAGGACAAGTCATTGGTTCTTGTTTTGGGGCCTGAGCAGCTAGAAAGATGAAATTCCCATGTATAGAACTGAGAGAGATTGCAAGAGAGTTGAGCAAGAAAATAGGAAGCAGCATATGAACAATGCAGGGAGGGGACGTGTGGCATGCCTGCCCCACCTAGGAGAGTTCAAGGAATCTTACAAAACCGTGTCAGCTGGGGCACGCTGCACAAGCGGTGCTGCAGGGTAAGAGAACATTTTCTTGAGTCAGAGCACCTGGCTTCATTCAGGTCCCTCGTCTGCCAGTCTCTAGTGAAGGGATTTGGGACACATCATTTAAGCAACCTGTGCTTCAGTCTACTTATCTTCAAAATCCCGGAGTGTGTGTGTGTGTGTGTGTGTGTGTGTGTGTGTGTGTGAGAGAGAGAGAGAAAGAGAGAATATATATATAGCTTCTTAAAATGCAAAACATGGCCGAGTACAGTGGCTCATGCCTGTAATCCCAGCACTTTAGGAGGCCGAGGTGGGCAGATCATGAGGTCAGGAGATCGAGACCATCCTGGCTAACATGGTGAAACCCCGTCTCTACTAAAAATACAAAAAACTAGCCATGCGTGGTGGCAGGCGCCTGTAGTCCCAGCTACTCAGGAGGCTGAGGCAGGAGAATGGCTTGAACCAGGGAGGCGGAGCTTGCAGTGAGCCAAGATTGCGCCACCGCACTCCAGCCTGGGGGACAGAGTGAGAATCCATCTCAAAGCAAAAAACAAACCAAAAAAATGCAAAACATTAAACCCAGAGGCAGAGGTACAGTGAAAGGAGATTAGACTTTGGAATCGAAAGAGCTGCAGCCCCTTCTTAGCTACATGATGTTAGACAAGTTTCTTTTTTTTGGAGACGGAGTCTCACTCTGTCACCCAGGCTAGAGTGCAGTGGCGTGATCTCAGCGCACTGCAACCTCTGCCTCCTGGGTTCACGCGATTCTCCTGCCTCAGCCTCCTGAGTAGCTGGGATTACAGGCGTATGCCACTGTGCCCATCTAATTTTTGTTGTTGTTGGTTCTTTTTTTTAGTAGAGACGGGGTTTTGCCATGTTGCCCAGGCTGGTCTCAAACTTCTGACCTCGGGTGATCCTCCTGCTTCAGCCTCCCAAAGTGCTGGGATTACAAGCATGAACCACCATGCCCGGCCAATGTTGGGCAGGTTTTTTAATCTCTCAAAGTCTTGGTTTCCTCATGTGTAAAACGGAGATAGCACTGCCTACCTTACAAGATTGTCATGAGGGTTTCAGAGATAAGGCTTTTAACATCTAGCAGAGAGCTAGGTACATAGTAGGAGCCCGATATAGCTGTTATTACACATAAAATAACAGTTATTATAGGTGTATCTATTTGTGTGTTGGCCACCTGGGTGGCCCCAAAGCCCGGCAACATAGATGATATTATTTTATCTCGTGATGTAACATCGATAAATGATTTATTATGTATTTGCCTGTGGCCACATATACTCTGTGAGATTATGAGCTTCCAAGAAACTCCTAGGAGCTGAGAAATAATAAAAGAGGCTTAAATATCCAATCAAACTTTCTTGAGACAAGGGATCTCATTTTATATTTTTTTCTTTGTATCTTTTACTGCAGACCTGGTTCAATGACTACACTTAAAAGTTATTTAATAGGTAGATAGGATCAAAGAAAGGGAGCTTAGACATTCTTTTACTTAACCACTTTCATTTAAACCTGAGAAAACCAGAGCCCCGAGAGGGCCAGTGACTTGGCAGAGTGATCCAGCAAGTGAGTAGCTGATGTAGGGCTGGTATGAAGCTCGCCTGCCTCTTAGATCGATGGCTTTCCACTCTACTTCTCATCGCTGTGGAATGAACGAAACCAGGCGTGGTGAAATCAAGATCCTTTATTGACTTGGACCCTCTTTGATGGGCTCATCCAGTCTGACAAAGATTCAGAAGATTTCCTTGTAATTCCTTGTAATGACAATAGGATAAAGCACGGGTTCTTGAATGGTTCCTTGAGCTTCTTGGATTTCTCTGGGGCCTGCAGTGTTTGCACTGGTCTAGACATTTTCCACCAAACCTCCCAGCAAATATTTGAAGGCCTTGATACAATGCCATACAAATAAACATATCTAAAGCTCTCCCGCGTAAACAGCCTGAAGTCCTCAGTCAGTCAGCCGTGATCGCAGAAAAAAAAAACAAAACAAAACCAAAACTTGGCTCCTAGAAACAGTTCCTAAAAGGAAAACCTCAAAGACGACCTAAGAAGTAACACATTTTTGTTGTGGTTAAAGTCACAATTGTTATTTATACCATTCATTGACAGCTGGGAGAGGTGTGTGTGTGTGTGTGTGTGTGTGTGTGTGTGTGTGTGTGTGTATTTTAACAGCTTTTCAAAGATACAGAAGAAATTCCCTTAGCAAATGTGATTTTTTAAAAGTAACCTTTAAACTTTAAAAGATCCTGTGCCTCTTGTTCTGTTCCAAGTGTTGCACGTATAACATTTAAATTTTAATAAGAGGTAGGGAAAAGACTTTGGAGTTAGATCAAATGGAGAAAAAAATTACTATGGAATTTTGACGTGGTTCATATAATAAGTTTCTTGTCATTGTCAGAGAAAAAAAGCAAGCACTATCTCCTCACATATTAACAGTCTGGCAGTAGCACTAAAGATTTGTATAGGGAAATGCACATGAAATCTCAGGAACAGTAGTTAAGAGTTTATGACCAAAGAAGCGACAGCCAGACACCACAGATCAGAAAGTCCCAGGCCATCACCTAGCCGGACTACCTACTTGTCCCCACCCACTGCTTCCAACCTCCACAGTCTTCATAATTACTTCTGCACTACCTCCCAACCTTGTAAATTAACAATCTTATTTCCTAAAGCCTTCTACTTTATTTATCCCCAGTAATCACAGGTTAATCAGATAAACTACCCTGTGGTCATCAATAAGCAAGTCCTTTAGCAAAAGCAAGTAACAAAATAACCTAAATGTATTATTGATAATCATAGCAACTAACTTTTCTGTTGCTTTATGAAAATACTGTGCATTATCTAATTTAATCTTCATTCAAACTATGAATTTGCACTTGTATTATCTCCATTTTTACCATGTAGAACCTAAATTCTAACTAGTACTCTATTCTAGTTTAAATACATAAAGGATCTTTAGCAATAATTGATAGAATTTGAGAATTATAAAAGTCTCTAAGAGATCATATAATCTTAATGTAGCGTATTGCATGTTTATTCTTGTCACTAATATTTGATTGGCAGTAATTCCTAAGCCGTAAATAGGACCATACTACAAAAATGTTTGAAACTTTTTTCAGTTAATATATTGAGATATCATTAAATAAATAAGAATTAGAAAGTGTCAGCAACAGTTGAGATTAAAGAAACTTGCACTTTCTCATTTTGCTTTAATTTTTTACAATGATTGTATATTATCAAGAACTAAAAAAAAAAGTTATTTCCATTTTTAAAAGTTAAAAAGGATTGCAGTGCTTTATAGCAGAACATTGACACAAACGCATTGATATAAAGTTCAGTCATTCATAGGGAGGGGAACATCACACACCAGGGCCTGTCGGTGGGTAGGGGGCAAGGGGAGGGAGAGAATTAGGACAAATACCTAATGCATGCAGAGCTTAAAACCTAGAGGGCGAGTTGATAGGTGCAGCAAACCACCATGGCACATGTATACCTATGTAACAAACCTGCACGTTCTGCACGTTGTATCCCAGAACTTAAAGTAAATTTTTTTTAAAAGTTCAGTTATTTACACCAACCTAGAGCTTTGTGGTTTGCAAAGTACTTTTGCATGCACATTCCACTTTAATCTTCACAATAACCCTACAAGATATACAATTTTCTGGGGAAGGAAACTGAGGCTGGGCATGGTGGCTGATGCCTGTAATCCCAACACTTTTGGAGGCTGAAGCAAGTGGATTGCTTGACCTCAAGAGTTTGAGACCAGTGTGGGCAATATGGTGAAACCCTGCCTGTACAAAAAGTACAAAAATTAGCCAGGCATGGTGGCTCATGCCTGTAGTCCCAGCTACTTGGGGGCTGAGGTGAGAGGATTGCTTCAGCCCAGGAGGGGGAGGTTGCAGTGAGCCAAGATTGTACTACTGCACTCCAGCCTGGGTGAGAGAGTAAGACTCTGTCTCAAAAAAAAAAAAAAAAAAAAAAAAAAAAGAGTGTATAGTGTGTGTGACTCAAGGTTATATATATATATCCTTAAGGTAGAACTTGAACTCAGACCTCTGGACCCCATGTGCTGCACATATTCCATGACCCCAAGACCTTCCTATAATCACTTATCCATGTATCCCGGGTCCTAAATGCTTTCTGGATTCTGTTCTGTCACCTGTACCTAGAAGTTTATATTATGAGTTTTCACTTCCAGGATCTACTATTTTGAAAAGGATATCCACCGTGTAACAGCTGCTTCTCATCACTGGAAAGAACAGAATAATGCTGTTGCTGCAGCTGCTGCTGCTGCTGCCGCCGCTGCTGCTCCTGCTTTTTTCAGTCTCACTCTGTTGCCCAGGCTGGAGTGAAGTGGTACGATCTCAGCTCACTGCAGCCTCAACCTCCCAGGCTCAAGCGATCCTCCTGCTTATAGCCTCCTGAGTAGCTGGGACTATAGGTGTGCACCACCACACCAGGCTAATTTTTTTTTTATTTTTTGTAGAGAAGGGGTTCTCACTTGTTGCCTAGGCTGATCTTGAACTCCTCGGCTCAAGTGATCCACCTGCCTCGGCCTCCCAAAGTGCTGGGATTATAGGCGTGAGCCACCTCACCTGGCCAATAACTCTTCTTAACTAGACCCTTCGGGGAAGATGATACCTGCATCCTAGGCATGAACATAGCGCCTGCTAAGAGGTTCTCCCTTTCGCTCTCCTCTTCTTGCTACAGACGTCCTTGAGCCCTGACTGCACACAGAGCCCACGTTATGGAAGAAACTTCCAGAAGCACATAACCAGTCAGCCCTGACTGTATGTTTCCTATGTGCCAGCGTGTTCCATTGTTTTCTTCATTAAGTCTCAGCAATAATATTATCCCACCTTTCAGATGAGAAAACTGAGCTTTAGAGAAATTAAATCACTAGTGAATGGTCATAGTGAGTAAGGGGAGGAATGGAAATTCCAGTCAGCCTTCTGTTCCCACCACCCACATTCTTAAGTTCTCCTTTTGGCTCCCTTTGAGGAGTGTACAAGGGGGAAAGGGAGAAGAAGGAATCAATGATCTGTTTTGGTGTTTTTTTTTGTTTTGTTTTGTTTTGTTTGAGACGGAGTCTCACTCTGTTGCCCAGGCTGGGGTGCAATGGCGCGATCTTGGCTCACTGCAAGCTCCACCTCCTGGGTTCACACTATTCTCCCGCCTCAGCCTCCCGAGTAGCTGGGACTACAGGTGCGCACCACCATACCCAGCTAATTTTTTTGTATTTTTTTAGTAGAGACGGGGTTTCACCATGTTAGCCAGGATGGTCTCAATCTCCTGACCTTGTGATCTGCCCGCCTCGGCCTCCCAAAGTGCTGGGATTACAGGCATGAGCCACCACACCCGGCCCTGTTTTGGCTTTTAATAGCATATATGCATGTGTGCATGCACGTGTGTGTGTACATCTGTGCAAGAGGGCAAAACAGTACAAAGGAAACAAATAAACTGAATAGCAATTGCCTAGATAAAGAGAGGAGATTGAGAATAAATCTCAAGGAGGAGAGGTGACAAACAGGTGAGAAAGCAGACTTTCTCTTTTTGCTTTAGTAAGTTTTGATTATTGGAATTTATCATAATGTCTATTTGATCTTTTTAAATTATGATAAATACACATAGCATAACATCTACTGTCTTGACCATTTTAAGTGTACAGTTCAATAGTATTTTAAGCACATTGTTATTATTGGGCAATTATCAGCACCATCCGGCTCCATAACCTTCATCTTGCAAAACTGAAACTCTGTACCCGTTAAACAATAACTCCCCATCCCTCACCTCCCAGCCCCTGAAAACCACCATTCTACTTTCAGTCTCTATTAATTTGGCTACTCTAGATATCTCATATAAGTGGAATCATACAGTTTTTGTCTTTGCGTGTCTGGCTTATTTCAGTAGCGTAACGTTCTCAAGGTTCATCCCTGTTGAGATATGTGTCAGAATTTCCTTCCTTCTTTTTTTTTTTTTTTCTGAGATGGAGGCGTAAGCCACCACGCCTGGCCAGAATTTCCTTCCTACTTAAGGCTTAATAATTTTCCATTGTATGTATACGTATATACATGTATATATAAAATGTATATATGTATGTATATATGTTGTATACATGCTATATATGTATACATATAATGGAAAATTATTGTGTCTATTGAGAGATGAATGAATAAACAAATACCTATATATATATAAAATCTCTTAATAGACAGTTGAAGCTGGGCACAGTGGCTCATGCCTGTAATCCCAGCACTTTGGGAGGCGGAGGTGGGCGGATCACTTGAGGTCAGGAGTTCAAGACCGCCTGCACAACATGGTGAAACCTTGTCTCTACTAAAAGTACAAAAATTAGCCGGGTGTGGTGGTGGGCGCCTGTAATCCCAGCTACTCAGGAGGCTGAGGCAGGAGAATCGCTTGAACCTGGGACGCGGAGGCTGCAGTGAGCCAAGATTGCGCCATTGCACCTCAGCCTGGGTGACAAGAGTGAAACTCCGTCTCAAAAAAAAAAAAAAGAAAAGACATTTGAGTTTCTTCCACCTTTTGGCTAGTGTGAATAATTCTGCTATGAACATGGGTGTATAAATATCTCTTCAAGACCCTGCTTTCAATTCTTTGGGGCATATACCCAGAAATAGAATTGCTAGATTATATGGTGATATTTATCAGTTTTGTAATTCAAAAACTAAAAGCCTTTTTAAAAGGTGAATGCTCACATAGATTACAATAATATTCAATAACAAGACAGGGAAGACAGTAATGAAAATGACAGGCATAAGGGTCACTGCAGTTGTCATGGGCTGTGAGCTTCCTGGGGGCAGGGGCCAGCTTCACGGCTTTATACCCCACCCCACCACCCCATGCCCGATACATGCCTGTCTTCTTTAGGTGCTCAATATGTTTAAACTCAGTCCCATTGCCCTAAAGCAATGACTTCACCAGAGTAGCTAGGCAAGTGATAAATCTTCCCAAAGGAAACCAAAGGCCTGCATGGAGGCAGTGCCCTGGTGACAATGGAGGACCGGTCTTGACACCTGTTCACTCACTGTATGACCTTGGGCCCTTAAGTTCTGGGGCCTCAGTCTCCTTGGTTCCATGAAGATCCTGTCCACCTTGCATTGTCACAGAATTATCGTGAAAATTCACCATTTATTCCTTCAACAAATTGCATGCCTCCTGGTGCAGGGCTAGATCAAATTTGAAAGTAAAAAATTTCATTCAAGAAACATTGCTTGTGTTTTTATGTTTGTATTATTTGCATAGCATTTTTTCATTATTTTATTTTGTATTCCTTGATCCATTCTACACTGAAGTGCCTTGTCTCATTCCTTTGTTTTTAATGCAAGAGTCTAAAAAGAAAAAGAGCTCAGGGTTCTTTAAGAGCTTGGAACATGACTTTCTTCTGATGGCCCCATAAACCAGATTATCTCCCATGCTCTACAGGCGAGAACTCCTGGATCAGGAACTTCTGGGAAACTGTGCATTCCTCTGCTCTCTGAAAAACCTGTCAGCTCTTCTACTCCATAATGGTCATCTCCAGCTGCAAGGAGAAGTTAATGAGTTGTGCAGGACAGTGATGGGAAAAGGTCAGCCTCCACATCACTCCTGACACCACTGCCAAGTGAGGGCCACGAAGGGGAACTGGCCATCGGGTAAGAGAGCTGGACCAGAAAGCAATCTCCATTGCATTAGCTGGTGGTTCTGAATGTGTGGAAAGAGGCCAAGGTCCAGCCTATGGACTGTGACGGAACATTCTTACAACACTGAGAGGTCTGAGCAAAGGCCGGGCAGACAGCACAGGCACTGCCTCTGTCCAGTGGCGTCTTGGGGGTATTTTTTCCTTACTTTTTGCCTTTCTCTCTCCCTCTCCCTCCCTCTCTCCCTCTCTCCTTCTCTCTCTCTCTCCCTCCCTTTCTTCCTTTCTCTCTCCCTTTCTCTCTCTCTCCCTTTCTTACCTTCCTTCTTTTCTTTTCTTTCTTCATTTCTTTCTTTTTCTTTCCTTCTCTCCTTCTCTTTTATCTTGCTTTCTTTTTTAAAAAAAGAAAGCTTATTTCTTTTATTTCTTTTCTTCATTATCCCCCTTTTCTTTTCTTCCTTTCTGCCTTTCTCTCTCCTCCTGTACCTCAATCTCCCTTATTCTTTTCCAAATCGTAAAAAAGTCCTGAGAGGTGTCTGTCTAGTGACCTCTAGGCAAGTTTCTTCTTATCCAAAAATAAAATAGTATTTAGTACTTTTCTACCTTAGAACAGGGGTCCCCAAGAGGGGGAAGCACAAACTGATATATTGAGGGTACAGGATGAAAATCTTGGGTCTTATTTTTTTTTTATTTTTGAGTCGGAGTTTCTTTCTTGTTGCCCAGGCTGGAGTGCAATGGTGCGGTCTCAGCTCACTGAAACCTCCGCCTCCTGGGTTCAAGCAATTCTCCTGCCTCAGCCACCCAAGTAGCTGGGATTACAGGTGCCTGCCACTACACCCAGCTATTATTTATTTATTTTTTGGTATTGTTAGCAGAGATGTGGTTTCACCATTTTGGCCAGGCTGGTCTCAAACTCCTGACCTCAGGTGATCCGCCCGCCTCAGCCTCCCAAGTACTGGGATTACAGGCGTGAACCACCATGCCCAGCCTTATTTTTATATTTATGTTAACTCCATACTTTTTATTCTTGTGTTAGTCTTATAATGAGCATAAAATATTAGTATGGTAGCACATGTAGTAAGTTAATTAATTAATTCATACAAATAGTGGAAATGAGGTGTTCAAACTTTTTTTAATTGAGAGGAGTAACTTGGGAAAAATATTTTCACACAAATGTTTTAAAGAAAAGCCCTTTAAAAACTTAGCAACACTTCATTCAACTCATTCCTACTTATAGTCAGTGTCTTTGCAGCTCAGAAGGGATTTCTGGGCATGCATAGGGCCTGTATGGTAGGGTGGGTGGAGCACACCAACATCCCAAGAAGTCTGAGTTGATTTCCAGCCACACGTCACTTTTGAACCTCCTTCCCCAGGAAGATCCCTCACCTACAACAGAGTCCCGCACACTGCCTTTTCACTGTCCCCTGCCCTTTCATTGTTCTCAATCATACATCCTCTTGTGATACACCACGGATTGACTTGCTGCCTGTCCCTGGCTCTTGCTGGCAGGTGAGCTCTGGGAGGACAGGGGCTTTGTCTGTTTCATTCACGGCTGCATCACCAGTACCCAGAATAGGGCCTGACACAGACACATACTTGTTGAACAAACAAACCAACTGCTGCAAAGGTCTGAGTTACAAACCCAAACGAGCTTGAGAACTCTCTGTTACAAACATAATTTTCTAATTCTGGTGGAATTAAAATTCTACTGAATTTTCTCTCTTCTTGATCATTAGTTTTCTGAAGGCTAATTTCACAGCAATTATGATGCTTAATTACATGGAGTTACAACACTTTCTGGCCGGGCACAGTGGCTCACGCCTGCAATCCCAACACTTTGGGAGGCCAAGGCGGGCGGATCATGAGGTCAGGAGTTCGAGACCAGCCTGGCCAACATGGTGAAACCCTGTCTCTACTAAAAATGCAAATATTAGCTAGGCGTGGTGGCATTCACGTGTAGTCCCAGCTACTTGGGAGGCTGAGGCAGAAGAATCACTTGAACCTGGGAGGCGGAGGTTTCAGTGAGCCAAGATCATGCCACTGCACTCCAGCCTGGGCAACAGAGGGAGACTCTATCTCAAAAAAAACAAAACAAAACAAAAAAACTTTCTAACTCCCTGGCCACACTGAACTCCTTGAGAATAGAAATTGTATCTTTAGGCTGGGAGCAGTGGCTCACGCCTGTAATCCCAACACTTTGGGAGGCCGAGGTGGGTGGATCACCTGAGGTCAGGAGTTTGAGACCAGCCTGACTAACATGGAGAAACCCTGTCTCTACTAAAAATACAAAATTAGCCAGGCGTGATGGCACATGCCTGTAATCCCAGCTACTCAGGAGGCTGAGTCAGGAGAATCGCTTGAACCCGGGAGGCAGAGGTTGCGGTGAGCCAAGACTGCGCCATTGTACTCCAGTGAGGGCAACAAGAGCAAAACTCCGTCTCAAA
Organism: Homo sapiens; assembly: GCF_000001405.40. Taxonomy (NCBI): domain Eukaryota; kingdom Metazoa; phylum Chordata; class Mammalia; order Primates; family Hominidae; genus Homo; species Homo sapiens. The sequence continues at coordinate 1,996,083 of NT_187614.1, read as the reverse complement.
AGAAAAGAAAAGAAAAGAAATTTATAGTAAATTCTGAATGGATGTTTGTTGAATGAATAAATGAATGTAATCTGGGCCTTGGACATGCAGAAAGGTAGACACAGAACAGAGCAAAAGACGTTGTTGCTTACAGAGCACCTGCTGCATACAGTGCACTGTTCTAAGCACAACTGAGCAACACAGAAGACTTAGACAGTTTATTTCCTGGTGAAGCATGTGGCTCACGCCTGTAATTCCAGCACTTTGGGAGGCTGAGGCAGGTGGATCACTTGAGGTCAGGAGTGCAAGACCAGCCTGGCCAATATGGTGAAACCCTGTCTCTACTAAAAACACAAAAATTAGCCAGGTATGGTAGCACATGCCTGTAATCTCAGCTACTCAGGAGGCTGAAGCAGAAGAATTACTTGAACCCAGGAGGTGGAGGTTGCTGTGAGCCAAGATCGTGCCACTGCACTCCTGCCTGGGCAACAAGAGCAAGACTCCCTCTCAAAAAAAAAAAAAAAAGTGTATTTCCTGTGCTTTAGGGATTTACAATCCACTTAGGAAAGATACAACAATCATGTAACGCCTCAAGAACGGCTGTAAATGGTTTTAGACTTCCAACAAACACACACACACACAAAACAATAGGTTAAAATATGATAAAGTAAGTTCATCAGCTTGTCTGCCAGTACAGTCAGTGAATTACTATGCCCCATCACCACCTTAGGTCCTGGTGCTAAGGATCTGAGATTGACAAAAATTCAACCCTGTCTTTGAGGAACTTCTGGTCTAGACACGTAATGAGGTCATTTCCACAACCTGAGCAAAGAGCCAGGACAGAAATCAGCACAGAGGGCGTGGGAACAGAAAGGAAGTATACAAAATCCCATGTTTCTCAACCTCAGCCCCATGGACATTTTTTTTTTTTAATTTTTAAAAATAGAGATGGGGTCTCACTATGTTGCTCAGGCTGGTCTCGAACTCCTGGGCTCAAGAGATCCTCCCGCCTCAGCCTCCCGAAGTGCTAGGATTATAGGCATGAGCCACCTCGCCCAGCCCCATGGACATTTTAGACCAGATAATTCTTTGTTGTGGGAGGCTGTCCCGTGCACTGTGGTATGTTTAGCGACATCCCTGGCCTCTACCTACTAGATGCCAGTAGCACCCCCCTCAGCCATGACAACTAAAAACGTCTCTAGACATTAGGACCAACTACATAATTTGCAAGGCCCAGTGCAAAAAGAAAGTGTGGGACCCTTCGTTCATAAAGCAGAGGGAAAGTGCCATTGAAGATACTCAGATACAAAGTGTTTTCATTCCCTAGGGATAGGCACACTAGCAGGGTGAGTGCAAACCCTTGTAGGTGTCTGGTGACCCCACCCCATGACTCAGCATATACACACATGCAACCCACCAGCTGCCATGTCCCCGCTCTGACCAGCCACTGGGCCATGCATCTGCCCTTCCGAGGGCATGGAAGTCAAACCAGGTCTCCCTTCCCACAACTCGCTGCCCCAGCCCATGGCAGATGGACATCCCCCAAGGGCATTACAACCATGGCACAAGGACACCCTTGGTCCAGAGGTGGGTAAAAAGCATGCTCCCCATGTAGCCTATTGCCTAATGCTCCATGGCACTGCCAGCCTGGGTCAGGGATGGCCACTGCCATGCTCCACCCTGAGATGTCGTGCCGCAAAAGCACACTATCTCAACCTCTCCATGCCCACATGAAGACCCCCTAAGGACAGAGAGGGCAGCGGTGGTTGCTGAGTGGGAGTAGGAAGAGAGAGGCCTGGCCAGGCCAGGGGCATCAGTGGATGGAGAGCTGGGACCTGAAACCCATGCCAGAAAGGCAAGGAGGCAGCAGAAGCGGGGACCACATGAACTGAGACTAAGCCCCTGGCATACGCTCTATTGTCCCATCAGCTTCATCTACACAACACAAAGTCAAAGATAAAACTATTAAGAATTTCAAGATGGCAACTACAGTGCATTAAACCCCAAGCACACTCATGAAGCTGACCCTACCAGACATTACCAAAGCCCCCTAGGAGTTAAAACCATGCTCAAGTGAGAACCACTGAGTAATAACTCAACCTAGGGTCAGGTGGGGCTTCTCAAAGGACTCGAGCTCTCAGCTGATCCCAGAAGGTTAAGGGGTGGGGTAGGGGGGATGATTAGAAGGAACAGCGCTAGTCGGGAAAGCTTCCAGCGGCTCATGAATTTTAAACCACATTCTCAGGGAAGTTGCAAAGTCTGGTTTGCCTGGAAGGAGCTCTTCCAGGTGGAGGAAGCGGCAGGTGAACAGGTATAGGAATGGAAATTAGCAAGGAGCTATAGGGGCTAATAGGGAGAATGGTTTGGCATGGGAAGTGTGGGGAGAGGGTGAGTAAGATAGGGGTCTTTTAACCTTACATAGATTATATCTGAACTTTCCTGTTGCCCCACTGTGGCTTCTGGTGAGTTGCTGAACTTCTAGGCCTCCACCTGCATGTGGTGTGGGGCTGTGACTCACTCTTCCTAAGGCCCTGGTGCGTGAAAGCCGAGGGGCACCCATCAGCAACCTTGGAGAGGCTCCTTCCACGGAGACCCTCATCTCCGCCCTGGTTTCTTCCCCTCTGTGCTGCCCCACAACACCTTCACTCACCTCCTGTGGACAAAGGCTCACTGGAGGGTCTCCATCAATGAACCCACTGGGACCGCTTCTCTCTAAGTGTGTCACCTTGGGCAGTCATCATCAAATAAGAGCTATTGGGAGCTTATTGACAGCCTCTCTTCTAATTACTTTATATATGCATTGACCATTTACTCTTTACAACCTCCCTGTTAGGTAAATGCTATCTCCATCCCCGTTTTAAAGGTGGGAATGGTGAGCCCCACAGAGGTTTAGTAAGTTGCCCATGTACAGTTAGTGAGCTGTGAGTCCAAAATCTGAATCCTGGCAATTTGGCTACAGTCTTCATATTGAACCATTTCACTCAGTTTTGTAAAATGGAGATAATAAGAGTAACCTCAGGCCAGGCACGGTGGTTCATGTCTGAAATCCCAGCAGTTTGAGAGGTGGAGGCAGGAAGATCACTGAGGTCAGGAGTGCGAGACCAGCCTGGCCAACATGGTGAAACCTTGTCTCTACTAAAAATACAAAAATTAGCCGGGTATGGTGGCACATGCCTGTAATCCCAGCTACTCGGGAGGCTGAGGCACAAGAATCGCTTGAACCCGGAAGGTGGAGTTCGCAGTGCACCAAGATCATGCCACTACACTCCAGCCTGGGTGACAGAATGAGGTTCCATCTCAAAAACAAAACAAAACAAAACAAACAAAAAACCAGTAACCTCAGATAATCTTAAGGATCAGATGACATTACACTGTAAATCTTCGCACAGTGATAGAGGTACACAGTAAGTAGTCACTACTATTGTTATTGTTGTTACAAGCATTCTTTTTTAAAAAAAAGCAAATTAAATAATGGCTCATATGCCATTGAAAACTTTGAGATGCCTCATTGGCTAAGGAGAGAGGATGAGACCCCCAGGCCTGGCATTCAGTGTTTGCCCATGACCAGCCCTGTCCTTACTTTCCAGTGTCATCGTTAGCAAGATTCCTCCGTGGTCCAGGCAGCCCAGCTTGCCCTCCTCCCCCGTCGCCTCATTACCTGCTTTCATGCTTGGCTCGGCTCTTCTTTCTGCCTGAAATGTTCTCTGGCTTCTCCTTGATGTCAAAATTCTATGTACTCTTCAAGGGCCCTGAGCCCCGACGGAATTTTGTTGGTTCCCCTATTATTATTGACATTTGCTTCTATTTATTAATTGTGCCAGGGGGTTTACATATACTATCTGGCCTGCAAATTTCTACACTGTCCTCCTTTTTACAGATAAAGAAACTGAAGTTCAGAGTGTCAGCTTACCCAAGGTCACATCTGAAAAGCAGCAGAGACAGGTTTCAACCCAGATTGGGCTGACTCCAAGCCCCATGCTGATTCCCTGTGGCACCTGCCTCTCGGCTGGTACAGAAAACCAGGGAAAGCTGTATTTGAATCTCAACCCAATCTGAGCAAGAACAAGCTCTGTGCAACTCCAACAGTTTAAGCATCAGTTAGGAACACTAAAAATAATAATAATAATACTGTCTCATGGGCAGTTACGAGGAGCAAATGAGATGCTTTGTGTAAAGCAATCAGCACAGTGCTATGATGAAGCCTGCTCCACTCTGTCTAGCAATAGAGGTGTGTGTCCGTGTCTGTCCCTCCCTCTGGATAACCAACTCCTTTAGAGCAGGAAGTGAATCTGGTTGCTCCAGCAGTGCCAGACACTGACTGCATGCCCAGCACATAGCGGATGCTCCATAAATGTTTGCTGCATTGACTCAGCAGCCCTGCATGGCTCTTCACCCCCAGGCCTGGAAACAGGGCATAGTCATCAGAGCACAAAAGGATACCTCGGTCATCCCTTAGTGTGAGGCTGAGTGGTAACTCTCATGCCCAAGGCACAGGTCATGGACAGCACTCCCGACCAGACACAGTAGGGTGAGTGGAGGCAGAGTCCACCTCGCTCCTGCTCTGCAACCAGGACCTCTAGAATCAGAGAAGACTCATCGTTGGGGAGAAACAGGATAACATCAAGTGGGCAGGGGCTGTTGACTCACAGATCGAACTCTTTCCTGGAACCTTTACCAGAGAGGAAGGAAAAAGCCTTTGCCTCACTCAAGCATGGCATCAGGAGCAGAAACTGAGGTGTCTTATTGTATCTTCCTCTTAGGCCTGGTCCCTCTTCCTGGGCTGTGCTTTGTGCTGATCTTGTCATTATACAAACCCAATGTCGTGGAGAAAACACTGGGTTCTAGATGCGGAAGTCTCAGGTGGTGATTCTGGCACCTTTTGGGGGTCGTTTTTCCTCGGGCCTCAGTTTCCTCATCTGTGAAATGTGGGTAGTAGTGCCTGCCTTGCCTTCTTTGCAGGACTCTTTTGAAGATCAAATGAAAGAGGAAATCTCTTTGCACACCATAAAATACTGTATAAATAGCGTAGTTCTTTATGTGCCAGGTATCTCCTTTGACAGGGAAGACTGATCTCTCTCACCCTGTCCCCTGTCTCCTTTCTCCCTCTCTCTCTCCCTCTCTAAAGCAATCACAAGATTTCTCCCTGTGCTGAGACTTTCCAGGGTGCTTCTGTGTGTGCCCCCACCTGTTTCGGGGCTCGGAAGGTGTCAAAGTGTCACAAACGAGGCACTTAACATGGGATCTGGGGGTCCTCCGTGCGAGTCCGGGGTTCTGCTCCTTAACCTTTTGTGGGTCCTTGGGCCAATCCTTACCCTCTTGGAGCCTCCATTTCCTCATCATTAAAGCAGGGATGGAGGATATTGCCTACTTCATAGGTCTGTGAGGGAGGAAAAAGGAGAGAGTGTAGCTAGGGCACCTCAATAACACTTATTTATTTAAATATTAATCTGAAAACAGGTTCCAGAAAATTCTAGTAAAGATTATTGCTTTTTTTCCGAAACACCGCAGCCTAGCCATGATCACTTATTCAGTAAACATTTATGGAACACCTGCTGTGTGCCGGGCCCACCATTTACTCCATAAACACTCATGGGGCACCTTCTGTGTGCTGGGCCAACCGCCAATCTCATTTTTCACGGATGTTGTGGTAAAGAAAGAGAAGTAGGTGGTTGCTCTGGAGCGAAGGCTCTCTATGGTAGGTGTAGTATTTATTAGTTTAATATCATACTAGGTTGCCGGTTTTTAATTTAATCTTTTACAAGCTACTGGGAATACCCTATTTCTAAAAAATGACCTAGCAGAAGGATGTGGGTTGTTGAATCAAAATGAGAGAGAAATCTTCTTTACCTTTAGGAGTTTCCCTGGCAATGATCACCTAATAGCAGCATGTCTGGGAAATAAAAGCTCAGAGCCGAAAGGGATTTCTGGAAAGGAAGCTGATAGTGGGGATTGGTGGGATCTGGAATCTTCCTGTATCCATTTGTTATTTCCTCACAGTGCTCCCCAGAGTGCTCCACGCAGAGTAGACACTCGGTAGTGTTTGTTAGTGAACTCAGGCCAGAAACTCTGCATTTCGAAGGAAGGGAGGGAGGACATGAGGGAGCCTCTGAGCCGTGTGCTGTGATCAAGCAAGTACTTCATGTGTTCCCAGCTCGTGCCAACCCCACACAAGGTGTTTTTCTGTGTTCCTTTAATTCTTCCAACAACCTTATAAGGTATGAATTCCATTATCACTGTTTACCTTTGGTGATAATATAAGTCTGAAAGAAATTTAGTAACTTGCCCAAAGTTATGGCTACACACTCCCAGAAAGCAGGTGGCCCATCTGACTCCAGAACTGATTCTCCCAGGGTCCTGTGCTCTTGGGAAAGTCATTTATCCTCCCTGAATTTGCCTCCTTATCCCAAAGAGGAAGACGTGAAAGGGGATGATTTTAAGGTCCCTTTTGGATCTGTGGACTTCTAGTGGCCTAAGTGCTTTATCCACGGGTTGACAAACTGACACGTGGGCCAAATGCAGCCAGCTACTTGTTTTTGTAAATAAGTTTCATTGGAACACAGCCACACATATTCATTTATGTATTGTCGATAAGAGCAGAGTTGAGTAGTTGTAACAGAGACCATCTGGCCCACAAAACCTAAAATATTTACTATTTTGCCCTTTATAGAAAAAGTTTGCTGACTCCTGGAATATACTAAGCTATAGACCTTAATGATGATTAACTACAATGATGAATAGGAAAAAATCTGGAGGACCGAACATCAACTGTAAACTGTTGACGGGGGTAAGAATATTATTTACACTGCTTTGGTTTTTTGTTTGTTTGTTTGTTTTTCAGATGGAGTCTTGCTCTGTCGCCCAGGCTGGAGTGCAGTGGCACAATCTCGGCTCACTGCAACCTCTGCCTCCGGGGTTCACACCAGTCTCCTGTCTCAGCCTCCCGAGTTGCTGGGACTACAGGCGCCCGCCACCACACCTGGCTAATTTTGTATTTTTAGTAGAGACGGGGTTTCACTGTGTTAGCCAGGATGGTCTCGATCTCCTGACTTTGTGATCTACCTGCCTCGGCCTCCCAAAGTGCTGGGATTACAGGCATGAGCCACCACGCCCGGCCCCACACTGTTTACATTTTATACTTGGAGTAATTTATTTAATTTACTTTATACTAATTTATAACTTACATATGGCAACATGCACAGATCCCACATGTATAGCCTGGTGATGGATCCACCATCCCAATCAAAATATAGAACCATTTCTAGCACCCCAGAAACCTCCAGCACCACGGATTTGTTTTTCCACTTTTTAACTTTATATAAATGGAATCACACAGTATATACTCTTTCGTGTCTGGTGAAAGTAGTTATTTATTTATTTAGAGAATGGGGTCTCATTCTGTCACCCAGGCTGAAGTGCAGTGACACGATCATAGTTCAATGGAACCTCAGACTCCTGGGTTCAAGCGATCCTCCCACCTCAGCCTCCTGAGTAGCCAGGACTATAAGCATGCACTACCATGCCTGGCTAATTTTTTTATTTTTTATTTTTGTAGAGACAGGGTCTCACTATTTTGCTTGAACTCCTGGGCTCAAGCTATCCTCCCACCTCGGCCTCCAAAAGAACTATCACAGGTGTGAGCCACCACACCTGGCAAGTATTTAGTTTTAACAGTATTGTCCAGAGGCAATCACATGTTCGTTTACTCAGTAAGCATTTTCTTGAGCATCTACCATGCACCAGCACTTCTCCAGGCACTGAGGAGTAAGACATGAGAAGATGCCTGCCCCTCATAGGGTTTGCTCTCTGTGGTATATTTTTTCGTGGCTAGTCAAGGCTTCATGTCCACTACTACACAGAGGTCTGGCCTGAGCTCTTGGCCCATCTGCCCGAAGGCCTGCAAGTAGACACCCTAATAATTTAAGACCTTTTAGGAATTTCAAATTATAAAAAAAGTTGGAGGACCTAAATGGTTATCCAGACCAATAGCCATTTTTCAAAGGTAGAATCAGAGACCCAGAGAAGGTGCTCACCAAAACTTTTGGGGAGATGAATCACCCAGAAAGAGGTTTTGTAGCCAGAAGAAGAACCTCAGGCTCTTTCCAGACCCTGATGTCTAGAATGTTCTCCAGGTTGCAACACTGCTCTCTAACAAGAAGGCCCCTGACCTCCTGCAGAACAGGTTAGGATGGTATTTATGTTTTACTCTAGAGATGATTTTATTTTGAGGCCTTCTAGATACTCTGTGAACCAATGAGAGAGGCTGGGAGAGTGGAGTGGCAGGGGTGGAAATGACCAGAATCTCTTCTGTAAACAAAGAAGTGCAACCGTGAAAAGTAGGGGAAAGATTGCATGCACAAATCAGAAAAGAAATATCGCTTGTGCTGCTAAGTTCCAGGGGAGATGAGTTCACAGAAGCCACATTTGCCAATCTGTGGAATGACCAGCATGGTGCTCAGAACACCTTCATAGAATGATGAGTCAACTGGATTTCAACTTATTTTATACCAGGGATTGCACGTCCTATAAAAAACAAGAACAACAAACCTTGGGATATGAACTGCAAATTCATCTAATTTGAGCAGATGAAACTGATATGGTCTCTTCAAATTCAGTAGCTCTTAAAAACATGCTGGGACTATAAGAGCCTAAAGACATCAGTTGCCTCAGTTCTCAGCATGTTATCAAGATGTGCCTCTTCTTTCTAAATACGTGAGAGCCCACCATATTCTAGGAACCTGTGGTTACTAACTCACCTAATCTTCACACCGGCACAGTAGAGTGTCATTATCATTTTGCACTGAGGAAACTAAGGATCAGAAAGATTATGTAACATGCCAAAAGTCACACAGCAGGTGAAGCAGATCTTGGGTTCAAGTTTAGTTCTGTTTGACTACTCCAAACCCTGCCCTCTATTCTCTGCTGGGTATCCTCCACCTCTCCCCCACAGAATCCCTCTTTCAACTTCTCATCCCTCAAAACAATGACAGCTAGAGACCCTCCTCTTTCATCCTAAAACCCTGCTCAAAAGTTCTGAGCCCCAACCTCAACCCTTCCATTAATTTGCTGAGGTGGCTACAAGCAACCTGAGACTCTCCCATATCTTATTTTTCCATCTTTAAAATGGAGTTATTATATCAGTCCATCACGACTTTATTCTGTGTGAAGCATAAACAGATGTTATTTCAATCCTACTCCGTCTTCCTCTATTTGGGGGAAGTTTAACTGAAGAGTTTTACAAGATAGCTCACTTAACATTATGAACTGCATTCTGAAAGACTATCTGCTGGTCTACTTTACACAGCTCTTTTTAAACTTCCATATGAAGGGACTGGTGAATCTGTTTGAAGATCTATAGTACAGAACAATTACTTGATAAGCGCTTATATTGCACAAAGTGGCATATTACAAGGTAGGACTAGGAAGGAGCATTACAGGAAGTTGCTAGATATGAATAGCCAGATTACCTGGAAAACATACCTGGACACTCATAGGAAGTTTGTCCTATCCTCTGTGTGAAATTGCCTGCACATTCACATAGTTAGCTGGGGTGTGGGGAAGAATGGGTTTGCTGACACCTGAATTTTGAGAGAGAATGAGGCTTGGGAATCAGATGGGGCACACAGCAGCTGCAACTGCCAATCAAAGTTTTGTTGTTACAACAGAAGTGATTGCTGTTTTTTAAATGGGTTTTCCCAGCTTAACACAGAAACTGATCTTCATTACACTTGATGCTTCTATCCTGATAGCGAGTGAGAGACAGACGAAGAGATTGTTCTTCAGGGACATTTACTCTGAACACTTCATTATCCTTCTTGAGGCAAGCTGGGTAGGCAGAGAATGTTCTTCCATTGGGCAGAATTATGAGAAGCAAAGATTTGCACCTATTACAACAAACTAGAGGGAAAGAAGGTGAAATGAAAAGCCAACATTTTCATGAAGTTATGACTCCCTGTGGCACCCTGAGGAGTAATGGGTGTCTGGAGGCTGAAGGATGGAGAGGTTCCTGAATTTGGGATTTGCTTGTCTCCGGGAAAGAGGGACTGAGATCAGTGTAAACTTTCCTCAGGCTACACGCACACAACCATCCCGCTTCCTTCTGGCTCTCAGCACAAGTGGCCCAGGCACCTGTAGCAGACCCTGTATTTAAGAGGCATCCTAGCTCCTTAACAGCCTGACTTGATAAATTACACCATCAGCCCTTGCACACCTAGGAGATTAGATCCTGCCCCTAGGCAGATGAGAGCTGCTAGACTCTTCCTCCTCCTGCTGAAATTCCTCTCTATCCCTAACCTAACCTTACTTCCTCCTAGATATCTTTCAAGGGTGGGAGAGGAAGGAAAATGTGCTTAGAAACTCCTTTGCAATTTTTCTGCTGATTCTGAAACCCTAGTCCCCCAATCCCTCCAACCCCAGCACTGTATCACCAATTCTGAATACCCTAAGTTTCCAGAGTAACTCAGTTTTACTACTGGGAACTGGCTTCCCGTCTTCTCAGACCAGAAAGTGTTGAACTTTATTATTAGACCAAGCGGTTGCACAAGTGGCCTCAGTCAATATACACAACCCCCAAAAAAAGGTTATCAGTGGTATCCTCTTTTTGCAGATGAGGAAACTGAGGCTCCCAGAAGGGAAGCGTTATGCTCCTCCCCAGAAGCTTTAGGTCTGTGTGTGGTGGAAGCAAAGAAGCCCCTTTCCCTGTTCTTCTACAGGTCAGGTCCTAGCTTGCAGGTTTGGGCGCGCTTCCGCCGCCCTCCCCTCCTGCCCGTCACCAGGGGGGAAGCAGGTGAAACTCCAATAGTGCTGCAAGGCCTATGGCTTCCTACCTGGCCCAGGCCAGAGTGGGAAAAAAAACATCTTTCCCTCAGTAGCTCTGTCGACACCTTCTGTACTAGGAGTGCAAGACTTCTGCCACTGCTGCAGTGACCTCGTCTACAGAGCTCGTCCCCGGCCCAGGGAACCACAGATGTTCTGGAACTACGAATAAACCAGAAATGAGTGGGCCGGGGGGACCCTCGGCTGCAAGTGTCCACCCAGCTGCAGGTCAAGCTTTGCTTTCACTGCCTCACCATCCTAGTGCCTCACCATCCTAGTGCCTCACCATCCTAGTGCCTCACCATTCTGCCTCACCATCCTCCCCCAAGGTGGAGGCGCCTTGACATCCGGGTTTAAACAGGAGAGTGAGGAGCCCCAGGGGTCCAGCTCCCCAGTGGCGTGGCCAGGCTGGGCGCCGGTGCAGCCCAGCTGCTGGGGGAGCTTCACTTTGGCTACTCCCTCTACCCATAAAGTAGTCTCTTTCCAAGAGTTCTCCCGGACTCCTTCACCCTCGCCTACGCTCTCTGGCGGGCAGTTCTGCAAACCCAAACCGCCAGACCAGGCCAGGGAGGTTCTGGGGCCTGGAGGTAGTAACCGAGGTAGAAATAAATGGAGTCCCTCCAGGGCATGCTCACCACACCTAACGCTGCCTCACCTCCCCCGTGGCCTCGGCGCCCCTTCCTAAGTGGTCAGTTTCTCTTCCGCCCTGCGGGCTCTCCTGGCCCACCACCTGCGTCGGCCGGGACGCATCCAGGGTCTCTACTCTTCGCTTCCTCCTGCGTCCCCTTCTTCCACGAGCACCCCAGCTTCCTCTGGCTCTCACCTGAACCCCGAAGCGTAGTGTCTTCTCTCTGGACTAAAGCGGAACTGAGAACCGGTGGAAAAGCCCCGCGCCTAGGCTGCAAGGCACTGGCTTAACAAGTCCAAAGGTTAGGTGAAGTTTGGCTGATAAGCAGAACCAGTAAAAGAAGGTCTCTAGCCCCCCAGCGTGAGTACAATGGACCCTGGCAAAGCCCCGCTCCCGGCCCAGGTCTTCTGCTCTCCAGGTCTGCCCCTCCGGCTCTCCCTCTCTCCGGGTTTCCCCCTCCCCACCATCATTTGCATCCAGCCGAAAGCTGGGCCCTTCCCACTAATTTGCATATCTTATATGGCCTAATGGTGGCGATCATGGCAAGTTAGAAGTTTTCTGACTCCTTTCGGAGGAGCCTCCGGGACCCCGGGGAGTAACAGGTGTCTGGAGGCTGAAGGGTGGAGGGGTTCCTGGATTTGGGGTTTGCTTGTGAAACTCCCCTCCACCCTCCTCTCTCGCACCCACCCACCCCCTCACCCCCTTCTTTTTCCGTCCTTGGAAAATGGTGTCCAAGCTCACGTCGCTCCAGCAAGAACTCCTGAGCGCCCTGCTGAGCTCCGGGGTCACCAAGGAGGTGCTGGTTCAGGCCTTGGAGGAGTTGCTGCCATCCCCGAACTTCGGGGTGAAGCTGGAGACGCTGCCCCTGTCCCCTGGCAGCGGGGCCGAGCCCGACACCAAGCCGGTCTTCCATACTCTCACCAACGGCCACGCCAAGGGCCGCTTGTCCGGCGACGAGGGCTCCGAGGACGGCGACGACTATGACACACCTCCCATCCTCAAGGAGCTGCAGGCGCTCAACACCGAGGAGGCGGCGGAGCAGCGGGCGGAGGTGGACCGGATGCTCAGGTAGGCGCAGAGCGAGGTGGAGGGGACCCACCCGAACCCCTGGAGCCCCGGCCCCGGGCCTGAGTGACACTGCGCCCGACCACACTCGCCAAGCCCGTTTCCCACCAGAGAAGTCCCCCGGGGGGCGCTCTGCTTCTCTCCCAACACCCGGACCCTTCCCAATCCCTTAGCGGGACGACCCTGCGGCCCACCGGGCTTCTTCTCCCCAGGCCCAGGCCAGCGTCCGAGACCCAAGGGCTTTTCCCCGCGGGGCTGGGGCTGGGCCGGGGAGAACTGGAGCTGTGGAGCCCTTTGCCGGGAGGTTTGCCCACGCGACTGAAGGTGCGAGTGGGTGCAGTGAAACCGCTGCGACTTCCCGGGAGCAGAGCCTCGCGCCGCTGCAAGCCCCAGGCCGCGCATTTTTCCTGCGCGCTGCCTCGGGTCTGGAAAGCCGCATGTCGGCCTCGGACACATTGACCTGCATGATGACCTGCAGTTCTTTGCCGAAGGACAGGCGGCATCCGGAGCCGGGATCTGGGAGGCGAGTTCCCTGGTGGGCACTCTTGTTAGCCGCGCCCATGCAAGGCCCGGAATTATCCGGGATCCCCAACGCGGGTTTAGATTTGCAAAGGGCATGTTCCATGCAGGGTCCGGGTGGACACGCGCGGGGCCAAAGAAACGAAGCGCGGTGGTGTGGGGGCGAACGCGTCTCAGACCTCAGTTCGCAGAGGATCTGGTCTCAGTCTGAGAAAGGAGGGCGTTTCCAGACCTCGCTGCCCACCCCCGGCCTCTCCCCGGGAGTTCAGGCCGGCTGGCAGTGTATCCCCAGGGCCGGGATCGTTTGTGGGTCCTCCCCGACCGCCCTAGACTTTGACAGCTGGTTACTAATTATCTAAGGAGCCGAGCGGTTCCCTGAGACAGCACGTCGCTCCCGGGCCACTCCGCTTTAGGACAGAGCCCATCGCGTGGCTTCGGACACTGAAGCGCCGCGATTTCGGGGCTGAGCCTTGGCCGCACGTCCGCAGCGGCGGTTTGGGGTGGGATATGACCTTGCATTTGAATTTGTGCTCCGAGGGCCTGGCGGTTTGCCCTCTAGCCAAAACAATCAGGGGAACTTGTAGATTTTTTTTCCCCAAACACACTTTGGTATAATTCATAGGTTTGAGGTTCTTCCCTCGTCGCTCTCCCGCCCGGAGGTGATTTCTCCCCTACCGGGAGAGAACTCCTGCAAGAGAGTTCCGCGAGGCGGAAGGTGTGAGTCGCGGAGGCTAAGAGGGGTCGAGAGAGTGGCCCCTAGGAGCGGCTGGGGCGCCAGGGCTGCCGGGGAGGTCGCTCAGGACCTGGCGGATGAACCAGGCTCCCACCGCCGGCCACCGGGGGCCACAGGGCCTAGGCCCTCCCACCCGGCCGCAGGCGCCCGCTTTCTAGCGCGGCGCTGGAAGGACCTGGGGCGCCCCTCCGCACCCAGCCCCGCGCCGGGCTGGCCGCAGCTGAGACGTAACATAAACTGCAGCACGTGGAGTTGGGGTGTTATTAATTTATTTCTATAAATCATCAACAGAAAGATACACAAAGAGCCGTGATTAGGTTGAAAAGAGAGGCGGGTTATTCATTGGTGAAGTTGTAAACGCGGCTTAGAGGGGGGAAGGAGATCAAAACGCGGGCGCGGGGCTGCTCGCCGCTCCCAGCGCGCACCCAGCCAGGCGCCCCGTGCGGCCCCGCGGCCTCACCGCTCTGGCGCGGGACGCGGGCTCTGTGAGCGCCCGAGCCGCCCGCGGAGCCCCCGGGTCGCCGACACCCGCAGGCCCGGCCGGCGGAGAGCCAGGCCCGGCCCAGGGTCCTTAGACCCCAGCCCCGCTCTTCCCTCCCCAAAGCCCCAGGCCCCAGCAGGGCAGGGAGAGGGACTGGGGAGCCGGAGACCCTCGCCGAGTTGGAGACGCGGGACAGACCTGGAGGCTTTTTTCTCCCGTCCCGAGCGGGTGCTGCCTTTCCTCCCCCGCTCCCGGGAGCGCCGGACTTGATTAAAGTAATTTTTCAAGAAATCGCTAGCGGTTCCTAGGTCACTGCACAGGGGGCTCCCAAGCCTCGGGCACACGCACTCCCTTCTTTTGCCCACCGTGTTCCCTTAAGACGAAAAGCAAAGAGAAAGAAAAGTCGCGTTTTGGAGTTCCTGGAGTTCTAGTAAACCTCCTGGAAGAGAAAGGCAGGGGAGGAAGGTCGGGACTGCGCGCTTCCCGGTCCCCGGCTCCCGGCCGGAGCTGGCCTTTCTCGCGGCCTCGAGGCAGGTGCGCCGGGGGCGTCTAGAAAGTGGGCTGCATTCTAAGAAGCCGAAGTTGGGCTCCTTAACGAACGCGCTGCGGACTGCGCTGGAGTCCAGGCTTCTCTGCTCGTGGGCAGCAAAGTCATTGTTTGAGAAGGAGCGTGCGGGACGGACCCTGCGGGCGCCGCGGCCGGCGTTTGACACCTGCGCTTGGGACACAATGGCCGCAGGCCCTCTTCGGGACCGGTGCCTTTCTCCGTGTTAGGGAACCTCTGAACCTGAGCTGTGTTTTCAAACAAACAAACAAAAATAACCAGCTCTCCCGGCTCTTCCCGGTGAACACACGTGAATTTTGGGGTCAGAGGGCTGTGAAGGTATAACTGCGCCATCTTACTCCTCACTCTTTTAAGTCGGACTTAAAAGGTTTTGCCATTATTTATAAGGTTCTTGGGGGCTTTTTTTAAACCCTCCCCAATTGTTGGGCTAATTCACTGTTTCCACAGAATCATTCCCACTTAGAACAGTACCCTATTTTTCTAGGTTTCTTAGGCATACAAAATGAACACAGGTAAAGGCATTTAAACAAAAGAAAAATAGCCGAAGAATTTGCTAAAGCAATATTCACTTTTAAAATGCAATTTTTCCCCTAAGGTTCGAGGCGTCTTGTTCGTAGCCGTTGAAAGTATTTTTCCATCCTAAAAATATCTGTGGAAATATTGACCAGAAATAAACTTTTAAATGATCTGTGATGTTTACAAGGATATGTCTAAAACGTTTATTACATTATTTTCCTCTTAATGTGAATTCTCCACGTTTGAAACTGTAACTCGTTTTCTCATTTTTTGTTCTTCTTGTTACTTCCTCATATTGTGTACTTGGAAATTACCTTTGTAAATACTTGAGAAATTCGTTCTTATATATAATTAATATAAAAAGTTTGCATTTCTCAAAAACATCTCTATCAAAGCCTGTGTTCTCACGAGTTTAATATCAAAGTCTTAATAAAATAATCACAACTACCCAAATGCTTATAAAATATGTTCGATTACTGGATTTTTATTCATTAAACAGAATTAATTTTATTTGACATATTTAAAGGCGCCATTTAGAAATAAAATTGCTTATTATGTTGCAATACTGTATCTATTTCAGCCTCTACACCGTTTTCTTTTTTGTTTCACCTGAAACTAGTTTTCCCTTCCGTTTTTTTTCTTGTTCTATCAAGCTAATATATATATCAACATACAGTAATGGGGTGCTGGTTTTTGTAAGTTAAATATGTACCTGCATTAAATAAATAGTAAACATGTATATATTGCTTCTTTAGTACTTTTGTTCTGTGCTGCACACTATTTTAATTTCTAGTTTTAAATTATATCTCTCTTTTCAAAGCATCTGTTCAATAAGCAAGAAAAGATATTGGCAAAGTTGAAACCATTCTAGACAAATAAAATTCAAAGGTGCTAAAACTAGCAGTTTACACACCTGTGTTTATGAGAAATGAAAAGTATAACCATGTTCTTATTCAGTATTTAAAATTTATGAGAAACATAATACAGGAAAACAAGCATCTAAAATTGTTAATGTCCGAAATTGAAGTTATTTGTCCCCATTAGCCCAGTAGATTTTGTCTGGAAGGTGGAGCTGTGGATTTTTTTTTTTTTTAACTACTTGCCTCACCTCAGTGGTGTGATCCTCCCGTCCCAAGGAGATACAACATTGTATTTTGGAAAACTTTTCTAAAACTCTGAAAATTATTTACTATTTGGCTAAGACATCCTCCTTGCTTCTTAGAAGGTGAACACATACATTTCACCCCTGTTTTATAAGAAATGGAGATACCCATTCAAAAGGAAAATAATGTAGGAGAGGTTGAAGCTAAAATTGGGCAAATTCAGAAACTGATGCTATCCCTACTTCATTGTAGGATCAGGGAGTCCAGCCCCAAGCTAAAGGCATCCCCACTTTCCAGTGGGCCTCCTGCCTTTTAAATCTCCCACATTGCAGGAAAATGGAGGAAAGCAAAATAAAATGGCCAGGCGCGGTGGCTCACGTCTGTAATCCCAGCACTTTGGGAGGCCGAGGCAGATGGATCACCTAAGGTCAGGAGTGTGAGCCCAGCCTGGCCAACATGGTGAAACCCCATCTCTACTAAAAATAAAAAATTTAGCTGGGTGTGGTGCTGGGCATCTATAATCCCAGTTACTCTGGAGGCTGAGGCAGGAGAATCGCTTGAACCCAGGATCCTGGTGGAGGTTGCAGTGAGCCAAGATGCCGTTGCACTCCAGCCTGGGTGACAAGAGCAAAACTCCACATCAAAAAAAATAATAATAAATAAATAAATTAATTAATTAAATAAAACAAGAGCTTTTCTTTTTGCTTAATAAGAGAGAGTGGTGGTGGTGCTTTTTTATTCCTGAAGATGGGAAGTCCTCTTTTGCCCACTAACCTCGGAAGAAAGGGATGAGGTGTACCGTACAGGGGCAGTCACCTTCTCCTCTGTTTAGCTTCCATTTTGGCCTCATGTCTACCCCAAAGTTGTAGCTTAGATGGGGGGAAAATTCAGAATTTTGCATAGACCATAGGTAGCACCCCCTAGAAAAAGAATGTTTCTCCCCAGATGTCTCCCACTAGTACCCTAACCATCTGCTTGTCTGTCTAGTGAGGACCCTTGGAGGGCTGCTAAAATGATCAAGGGTTACATGCAGCAACACAACATCCCCCAGAGGGAGGTGGTCGATGTCACCGGCCTGAACCAGTCGCACCTCTCCCAGCATCTCAACAAGGGCACCCCTATGAAGACCCAGAAGCGTGCCGCTCTGTACACCTGGTACGTCAGAAAGCAACGAGAGATCCTCCGACGTAAGTGTTTTCATCCTGCCTCTGCCTCAACCTGAAGTGACCTTTGCCCTCTCACCCCATTGGCTGCCTCAGTTTCCCTTTCATCGACAAGGCCTTGTGAGCACTTGGCAGATATGAGGAAGGTGGCAAGTAGATTTGGCCTTGGTGGTTGCTGTACAATGGATTGGCTTCTGTCATGTTCTTCAGTCACAGCCCCCTTGCTACCCAGCCAGTTGCTCTGAGGAGCCTGTCAGTGTATGCAGCATACCTTAAACTTTTTGGCCCCTCCTTCCACCTCCTTCTCTTTGAAACCAAGTAGGTGACAGAGTGAAATGTCTTCCCTGAGAGAAAACCCAGCATCTCCCCTTGATACGTGACCATCAGTCAATTTCCAAAGAAGACATTTCGTTGCAGTCAATAATATTGATTACTATTACTGTTAATTTCCTCCTCTCTGGAAAAAGCATCAACAATAGAATGCATTTGTATAGAGAGATATATTCAGAACTTCACCCTGTTCTTGGAGGATAGTGGGAGGGATTGAATCCTGAGGCAATTTAAGGTGTTTACCCACATTTACCAACACTGGTAGAGTGTGGGGACCTCAGCTGGTGGCCCTGCTCATGAAGAAGCTATTTCTGGCTAAGGCAGGGCACAGGAAAAGCATCTGCATTTGGAACTCTGACCCATCAATTCTTGTCATCCCCATTCCCATCCCAAAGTTTTTTTTCTGTCCCAAGATTTCTCCCACCCAATAATTCTAAAAGGTTTTTGTTTTGAAGTACGTCTAGAGAAGTTTGAACTGCCTATGAATAACAAGAGTAGGAATGACATACTGTCTGTATTTTAGGAAAGTATTCTTTGACATTACACTTTCATTACTTTGATCCAATCCTTTTCCTGGAAAATTTGTATCGGTTTTCACTCTCCCCACACACTATCCTCTGGCTTTATCTAGGCTTCTCTGTCTTTATCAAGATGTTAATTTCCACCACTATCTGGGTTTCTGGGTTGGGTTTTTTCCCTGTTGCTTTTTAAAATGACTCTTGTCTTCTGTTACACACTGCTCTGAAGTGATTGTTTCAGTATTTATTGTCTCAATGTCCCTGGGCTGGTGAAAGGAATGGTTTTAGGTGTTCATTTCATATTGTGGTGTTTGTGCTTTTGTTGGGAGCATTACATGAATAGATTGGAAGAAGCAACATGAGAGCTGTTTGCTGCTTAGAGCGAGAGACCTTTCCAAGAATGGGTTGGCCCCCCATACTTGGTGACTAGCTCTTTAAGAATTTGTGTTCCTGACATGAAGCAACTCTCTGTAGTTCCTGGAAAGCCTAAAAAAATTCTCAGGAGCCATTGTCTCCAAAGACCCAACAACGCTTGGGCCCTGCCCAATTTAAGCTTTATGCAGCATCTCCAGTCTGTGCTGCCTCTCTGTATTCAATGAGAATTTCTTCAGAAAGGAGAAGGAGGCAGGAAAGGCAGACTGGAAACTTCTCAAAAGACAGAGGTCCAGAAAGTTTCTCAAGATGCTGAGGAAGGGACGTTTTACAAATACAACAGCCTCTTCAAGAGATTGTTGTTATTGTTATTTTTGTTTTATTTATTTATTTATTTATTTAACTTTTTGAGACGGGGTCTCGCTCTGCCACCCAGACTGGAGTGCAGTGGCGCGATCTCGGCTCACTGCAAGCTCCGCCTCCCGGGTTCACGCCATTCTCCTGCTTCAGCCTCCCAAGTAGCTGGGACTGCAGGTGCCCGCCACCACACCTGGCTAATTTTTTTTTTTTTTTGGTATTTTTAGTAGAGACGGGGTTTCACTATGTTGGCCAGGCTGGTCTTGATCTCCTGACCTCGTGATCCGCCGCCTCAGCCTCCCAAAGTGCTGGGATTACAGGGGTGAGCCACCGCACCCAGTTGTTATTTTTGTTTTAAAGTCACACGAGACATAAAAGCTTAAGAAACATTCCTTCCTTCTGTAACTATTATACAGGCACCTACTATGTGCCAAACACTACGCTAAGCTATGGAATACATAGGTTCTTTTCTCCAGGGACTTACCTGCCATCCAGTGAAGAAGTGGAGATGTTTGAGTAAATAATGACATTCACTTTCTAAGAGCTGTTATAAAGATATACACAAGGGGCAGCAGAGGAATTGCTAAATTGCCTGGAGACATCATGGGAGGCTTCCTAGAAGAGGTGACATTCAAATCATGTCTTGAAGGATGAATGTAAGACATGCAAGCATGATATAAGAATTAGGAAGTAAGAGAAATAAAAGAGGGACACAAGTGAATGGGGTGAGGAGAAGGAGGAAGAGGGGAGAGAATAAAAAATGATACATGATTACAAATTTCCTGGAAAAACTAAAAATAACAAATGGTAATATTCATGGGCCCCTCTACACACACAGAACCTCCTTGTCCAAGCAGCCCCCAAGCCTATAAAGAGGCTACTGAAGCCAACTTCTCCAAGATAATTTTCATGGGCAATGAACATTTTCTTCCCCAACCCCAATTAATCTGAAGGGAAGTAGAGAAGAGTTGTTGGTGGCTAGAGGGAGCAAATGTGGGAGTCTAGTTCTTCAAAAATTGGGAGAGGCTAGAGCCAAGCCCCTGATGTCAGTGGAACCCGAATGGTTCTGAGCACCTACAGGCAAACCCACCTGGCTGATTTGAGGACACACTGAGTTCTGAACACTGTTCAGCCTGCTACCTCCTCAAAGGGCAGGTGAGAGACTGAGGCAGCCCTCACACTGGGGAGCAGCTGCGAGAGTGTCTCACACCCACCAGACACAAAGCTTCAGGAATCGGTTTTGTCACCTCCACACAAGTCAGATATGAAGCGTTTGCGGGGTACGTGGCTTGGGTTTTGTTTTTAGTGAGAGGTGATGCACAGGCTGGTAGTTAGGAGCCTGCAAGCCTGCAGGCTGGGCTCATGTCCAGGCTCCTGCCCCAAGTCCACATGACTTTGGGCAAGTCACTTCACCAGTCTGAACCTCAGTTTCTTCATCTGTAAAATGGAGGTGGCTATACTTCTCACATGGAGCGGTCGTAAGAATTAGATGAAGGAATATATTTAGAGGATTTGGCACAATACCTCACCACAGAAAAGGTTCAATAAATGTGAACCGTTATTGTGTCTGTTCACATTAAATGAAAAAATCTCACATTGCTCCCAGGCCCTTGGGATGATCCACACTGGCTTTCGCCATTGGTGACTCTACTGGTGCCACACAGGGCCCACGGGGAGGAGGGAAGACACTGTGACAGACCTCACTGAGCAGGGGACATCTCCTTCTCCCCCTTGGATTTCCCCTCAAGTAACTGCATTTAGAGAGCTGCTGTGAAGTCAAATACCATAGAGGGGCTAAAGCACTTTGAAAAGTATAATCAGGTGGGGCATGGTGGCTCACGCCTGTAACCCCAATGCTTTGGGAGGCTGAGGTGGCGGGAAGACTGCTTGAGGCCAGGAGTCTGAGACCAGCTTGGGCAACATAGCGAGACCCCGTCTCTACAAAAATAATTTTTTTTAATTAGTCAGATGTGGTGGCCTGCACATCCGTAGTCCCAGCTACTTGGGAGGCTAAGGCGAGAGGATGGCTTGAGCCCAGGAGGTCAAGGCTGCAGTGAGCTATGATCGTACTACTGCATTCCAGCCTGGGTCACAGAGCAAGACCTTGTTTGAAAAAAAGAAAAAGTATAACCCCCAAAGGAATTTGGGCCAACATCACTATCATCCTGACTAGGGGTAGATATTCTAAAAGACTAGTTAGTGTCCCTAAGCTTTCAGTCAGTCTCATTCCACAGCTGGGGAGACTAAATGATGAGGGAATTAAGCTGGGGCCCCACATGATCCCACTAGCAGTGACTTCCTGCTAGTACATTTGACAGGGACTCTCTCAGGTCTATAGTGGCATTGTTGGGCACCACTGAAAACAGAGCCCTAAGGTGGCCTAAGAATCCTCCAAGGTGAATGGGCCGAAATCAAAGGCCCCAGTGACACCATCAGTCCACAGTTAAACAAAGCCCAACACCACCTGCAGTTGGGATTGCAAGTCTTGGCGGGCTAGGGGCCCTAACCATTCCTCCCGATGGAGCAAAATGGAAATGAGCCTAAGACAGGTGGTAAGTTCCCTGCTGCTGGAGGCATATAGCCTGGAGGGCCACTTGGTGTGGGGTTGTAGAGGGGATTCAAACGTTAAGTAGTAGCCTGACTTGAACCTTGAGGATTTTGGATCCAGTTGTCCAAAGGAACAGGAAGGATGGCATGTAAATGATGGCACATCATTTACATCACAAAGGGAGGTGGTAGCCTTCCACTTTCTGTGACCTGTGGGAGTAATTACAGGAACTGAGAAAGAAAGTCATCAAGGTCGGGCACGGTGGCTCACACCTGTAATCCCTGCACTTTGGGAGGCTGAGGCAGGTGGATCACCTGAGGTCGGGAGTTTGAGACCAGCCTGCCCAACATGATGAAACCCCATCTCTACTAAAAATACAAAAAATTAGCTGGGCATGGTGCCGCACACCTATAATCCCAGCTACTCAGGAGGCTGAGGCAGGAGAATTGTTTGAACCCGGGAGGCGGAGATTGTAGTGAGCCGAGATCACACCACTGTACTCCAGCCTGGGCAACAAGAGGCAAACTCTGTCTCAAAAAAAAAAAAAAAAAGATATTAAGATCCAGAACATAGGGACCCAGAGCTAGGAGATGAATGTATTACGTGTCTTTGCTCAGCAGAGTGCTTAGCCTCCATGTTTATTCATCTTTAAAATGGAATTAATCACTCCTGATGAGCCCTGCTTCATGCAGATGTGAAGACGAGGACAGCAAAGCTTTCTTCTTCGGTAATGTAGATATCAAATCTCATTAAACCATGTGGGCTAAGGCATCACCTCTGGGCCGAGCTGCTGGTTCTCATTCATTCCACAAAAATCTCCTGATGGTCACAGTATGCCTGGACTCAAGGAATTGGACAGACAGGGAGCATCATTTCCAGCTAATTAAACACTACTCCCAGACAGGTCCTGTGTTTGTAGTCTTTGAAATTATTTTGAGATCTAAAGCACATTTTCTTTTTCCAATACAAAGCTCCAGTTATATTTATTTCAAAGCATGTTCCAAAAGGTTTGGGGTTTTTCTAAAAACCTGACTTTATAATGTAGATACCTAGGATATAGGAAGAGGGAGGAGAGGTGGGGAGTGCTATCTACAGCCTCTGAATATTTTGTGCAAGTGTAAATTGTACCTTTGAGCAGTTCTCCCCTGGATGTGAGACTTGATTGAGCTCACCCACTTGACATCAAATACAGGAGTTCAGGATGCAGAGTGTTGCTTCATCTCTGAAGGCCAGTGAGCCAAAGGGGAAAAAATAATAATTTTCTTAAAACTATAGCTGGCTATGTTTGAGCTCCTTCAAAGAAAGGAAAAGGGTGGCTTTGCTGGAGCAACTGAGGTGGGCAGTAAGGGCCTGTGCTGAGGGCTCCCCATCTCCAGCTCCACATGCAGTGAGAGAAGGTTGCAAAGCTTAGTTAGACGAGGGGAATAAAGGTGTCTTCGTCCGTTGTCTGTCTGTCTGTCTGTCTGCTGAGTGAAGGCTACAGACCCTATCAAATCTACTCCTTTCTCTTTTCAGAATTCAACCAGACAGTCCAGAGTTCTGGAAATATGACAGACAAAAGCAGTCAGGATCAGCTGCTGTTTCTCTTTCCAGAGTTCAGTCAACAGAGCCATGGGCCTGGGCAGTCCGATGATGCCTGCTCTGAGCCCACCAACAAGAAGATGCGCCGCAACCGGTTCAAATGGGGGCCCGCGTCCCAGCAAATCTTGTACCAGGCCTACGATCGGCAAAAGAACCCCAGCAAGGAAGAGAGAGAGGCCTTAGTGGAGGAATGCAACAGGTAACACCACCAGAAGCTCACCTGGGCAGGTGGGCAAGTACACAGACCCAGGAACCCTCCCCTCGGTCCTGGGATATTGAGACACTAGTTATACAGATAAGTGTGGCTAAATCAGAGCTTCTCAAAGTATGTTCCACAGAACCCCAATATCAATTCATTAATCAGTAAGTCTGAGAATCAGCATATGGATACTTCCCCTTAGAGAGTCACAACATATATTAAAGGTTCCGAGAAGCCCTGCAGTCAAGAAACCCACTTAGCTTTGTTGAATTGGTTGTTAACTATGGAATCTTCGGTAGAGTACAAACAACCCCATGAATTATTCTTCCAGGGAAGATACTCTGGAGAATGCTAATTTAAAATATGATACTTGGGAAGCGAAATTGTGTGTTTGACCTCCCTGCAGGCCAGGGTAAAACTTTCCCTTAGCCACAGACTCTAGATCTGGCCTCTACCAATTGTCAGACATGCAGTGGTCCAAAAGGAAACTTGGCAGGAGAGTAAGAATTGGTCAGATCTGTTCAGTCTACTCTGCCCCCGCTGACTCAACAGAGTTCTTTTTACTTGTTAACTACCAGCCAGGCACGGTGGCTCACACTTATAATCCCAGCACTTTGGGAGGCCGAGGCGGGAGGATTGCTTGAGCCCAGGAGTTTGAGACCAGCCTGGGCAACATGGTGAAACCCTATCTCTATTTAAAAAAAAAAACAAAAAAACAAAAAAACAACTCTGTGTTATTTTAAGTATTTATTTTTAAAATGTGGTCTTGCTATGTTGCCCAGCAGATCTTGAACTGGGCTTAAGCGATCCTCCTGCCTTGGCCTCCTAAATAGCTGGGATTACAGGCTCTAGCCACAGGGCCCAGCTATTTTTTTTTTAAACGATTGGAAAGCCTTGGGAAATCTTTTTACTTCATTCCTGCCCTGTTCTCCCTGACTCCAGTATTGACTTTCTAAAACTTCAGCTCTTTGGTCTGGCCAAGGCCTGTGTGCGCTTTCTCTGTCTCTGGGCTGGGCTGGCCTTGGCTGTGGGAAGAATGCAGCCAGGGAGGTCAGGCTGGGAAGCAGGGAGGCCTGTATTGCCACTGAGTCCTCAGGCTGTGCTCCATACCCCGACTAATGAGATGCCTTGCAGCACCCAGTAGTGTCTAAGAATCTCTCGCACCTGGTTTTGAGGTTTCACCAGCCCTGATAAAGCTAGAGACTGGCCATCTCAATGCACCCTGCTTTGTACCCCACCCAGCCTGCCTTTTGGAGGGGATAAAGCATCTTGCTTCCTGGCACTCTTTCAGGGAGTTCAAGCCCCAAAAGACCAGAAATCCTCTCGAAGTGCTTTGAAGCCACTCAAGACAGAGCCAGCGAAGGGCTTTGCCTTTTATGTGGTGGGAAGAATGGCTAAATAAGGAAGCCCCATCTGGACCTTCCCCTGGACTGCCTGTCCCCGGCTTGCTCTCTTCTCCTCGAGAGCCACACCAGAGCCTAAGCCCCTGACTCCCAGGGCGGCATAGCCTGCTCTGTCCCTGCGTTCAGGCCCACTTCAGCCATCTTCATCAGATCACTCCATGGATTGGCCTTTTCTCTGCATAGGCCTCTCCTCCCCAGCCTTCCATTCTGCCCACGGCCCCTTCATACTCCCAACCAAGACTGCTGTGATTGTGTGTTTTTGGCCAAGCACCAACAAGTCCCCCCGCCCCCCCTCACTCACCATCTCCCCTCCATCCATTCCCAGGGCAGAATGTTTGCAGCGAGGGGTGTCCCCCTCCAAAGCCCACGGCCTGGGCTCCAACTTGGTCACTGAGGTCCGTGTCTACAACTGGTTTGCAAACCGCAGGAAGGAGGAGGCATTCCGGCAAAAGCTGGCCATGGACGCCTATAGCTCCAACCAGACTCACAGCCTGAACCCTCTGCTCTCCCACGGCTCCCCCCACCACCAGCCCAGCTCCTCTCCTCCAAACAAGCTGTCAGGTAAGCAAAGGTTGGGCCTCACTGCCTCGGCAACCCAACCATCCTGGTTCTTGCCACGGATCTTATCTGGTTTAAGGGTTTTCAGAGGAGCAAACGCTTTTGAGATGATCCTAGGGCCGCTCTCTCATTGCCAGAATATACTCCCCTGGAAATAATGTGTGGCTCTGATCAGTTTCCTCCAACTCCTGGTTCAGCCATTGCCCTGTGAGGGCTCACTCGGCTTCCAGGGAGCCCTTTACCCTATTTGTCTCCTTCCCTCTTCTTCTCCCTGTGTGGCTGCTGACTCAGCGGTCATTCTACACTGAGGAGGCTGCCTTATGGGTGGGCCAGATCCAAACCGCAGGCAAACGGGTCGTGATGGCGTGGCAACCCTCACTGTGTTGGAGGATGGCACTCCGGCCACCTCCTCCATCTCTGGCCATATCCTGCCCCTCGCTCGGTCCGGCTGCCTCAGGAGAAGCTCAGTAGCCTTTGGGGACGGCCACTCTGTTGGTGGCCTCTGCTTGTTGGCTTCCGTGTGTCATCAGGGTTGGTGGGGGTCAGTCACTTGAAATCTTTGCAGCAATGAGTTGGGAAAAACTGACCGAGTACCTGCTCCATCATGCTTGATTGAGTGCTCCTGTGTGCTGGGCCCTGGCCTGGATTAGAATGCCTCTGCTGTGGGCTTTGGGTTTGTCAGGATGGAATCCTACAGCCTCCTCGGGGGAAAGCACACCTCATGCTGAGCGCTGTGTTAGGCACAGGCTGGGATGGAGCACTTCTTCTGGTCCTTCATTCTTCTGGCAAAGCTGGCTTCCTAGAATGGATGTGCTCACTGGGGTCTGTGTGGTGCCCATGAGGACAAAGTGTAGCAGCCTCCTGCCTGCTCCAAGAAAAGGGCTTGCGAAAGGAAAGCCAAACACTGTTTCTAACTCAGGGGTGATTCTGAAACCTGTTGGCTCCCCTCACCTGTCGGTTGCCCTTCTGATGAGAAAGGCCTGAGGGCTGGGGGCTGACCCAAGTGTTGAGGGGACCAAAGCCACCAAGACAGGCTCGGAGCCATCAGCTGGGTGGTGTACAAGCATTTGTTCCATGCCTGCTGTGCCCTCCCATAGCACTGCCTCTTCCAGGGCCTCTGGGAGCCTGACAGTGCCCAGCATGAAGGTGGGGCCAGTGCTGGGGGTTTCTGTAGGTCCCACTCCCACAGAGGAGAGAGGCTCAGCCACACAGGAAGAAAGTCTTGGTTACTTAAGAGGCAGAGAAGCCCCTAGGCAAAGACTGGCCTGATTGCAGAGTAACTTCGCCCCTTTAGGGAAATTCAAAGCAGGGTTCTGAGGGTTGTGGCAAATGGCACATGGCTGGCACTGAGCAGTACCAGTGTGCTTGCCCACCACAGCGATCCACGGAGCTGAAGCTGGGAGCTACAGGGGGCGTGGTTGGGGCAAGGGGCATTACTGGGAAGACAATGGCCATTGTGTTGGGACCTGTGATCTCCACACCAAAGTCAGGGAGCCTGGAAGCCAAACAAAGGCCCAGCAGCCTTCTGACAAGCAAGGGCTGTGCTGAGGTCACCACGGGGTCGTTGGTTTAGGCATCCTGTGTGCTGACAGGAGACCCAGAGAGCTAGGGCTGGAGGGACAGGGAGCAGGGCAGAAAACACAGCCTGTGTACTCCTCTGACTGGAGTCTAGGAAGGGCGTGTCCCATGGGAAGTGGATACTCTGGGGTGCCCCTGAAGTCTGGATCTTTCTAAAAATCTTGTAATGTTAGAATTTGGAGGGAATTTGAAGAAAGGAACTGAGGCCCAGAAAGAGGCAGTGATTTGCCAAAGTGACACAGAGCAATGGTAGCAAAACAAGGACTAGAGCTCAGGCCTGCTGGTTCCCACTCCATACTTTCCCACAGCACTACGATGTGTTGAATGCTTACCAAGTCCTGGGAATATGCTAGTGATGTACGAGCTGCGCGTCCTGCCCTCTGGGAGGTTACTGTCTGGTAGGAAGGATATCGGGTCACTGTCGAGTCCCCAGAACCAGCTGCAGATGGAGGTTTTGTTTGGGGGCTTTGTGGATCTTTCTGCGGTGTAATAGATCCTATTACTGTTTCTGGAGCAACAGTTATGGGACACTGAATATTATCAGTGGCTGCCTTTCTTCTGTCTTTTTTTTTTTTTTTTTTTTTTGAGAGACAGGGTCTACCTCTGTCACCCGAGCTAGAGTGCAGTGGTGCAGTCTTGGCTCACTACAGCCTCGAACTCCTGGTCTCAAGCAGTCCTCCTGTCTTAGCCTCCCAAAGTGCTGGGATTACAGTTGTGAGATTGTGCCCAGCCCTTCTGCTTTAATTTTCACTCTGGGCTCCTCAACATGGTCCTTGTCCCAAGCCCAGGGACTGGCTTCTCTTTCTCTGAGTGTAGTTATGTATCTGGGTTCTAACCAGTAAGGTTATAACTGTGGCTAATTCACATAACTTCTCTGAGTCTGAATTTCCTGCCTACAAAATGGAGAAATAGGACCTTCCACACAGGGTGCATGTGAGGATGAAAGGAGTGAATGTATAAAGACACCTTTCCCGATAACCCATACTACCCTCATTATGACTCTTAACATTAGAGAGGGCTAAACAAGGGCAGTGAGAAGACTGGCAGGCAGCAGAAATCATTTTCTTTTTGATCTCACACACCAGGGCATTCCCCCTAAGAGGCAGTGAGATGTAGCCTGGCCCTGGAACTAGAAACAGAGGTGGCTGCTGTGCTAGTGCCTGAGATGCACGATGCTGGGGTCAAAGACTTGTGTCCCCACCTCAGGCTGCCAGGATGGCGTGTGTGCCGTGACAGGGCTCCCGAGTCATGCACTCAGGCAGACAGCAGGCTGGAGCCCAGCATTCAGGGGTGGCTTCTGTCTGTAGAGCCGCATGGCACTCTTCCCACCTCAGTGCCCACAGCCAAGGTAGGGTCACTAACCAAGCCAGAAACGTAACTGTGTGCAGAATACCGAAAAAAAAAAAAAAAAAAAGGCCGGGTGCGGTGGCTCACGCCTGTAATCCCAGCACTTTGGGAGGCCGAGGCGGGCGGATCACGAAGTCAGGAGATCGAGGCCATCCTGGCTAACACAGTGAAACCCCGTCTGTACTAAAAATACAAAAAATTAGCCGGGTGTGGTGGCGGGTGCCTGTAGTCCCAGCTACTTGGGAGGCTGAGGCAGGAGAATGGCGTGAACCCAGGAGGCGGAGCTTGCAGGGAGCAGAGATCACGCCACTGCACTCTAGCCTGGGTGACAGAGCGAGACTCCGTCTCAAAAAAAAAAAAAACGCTCTGTGGGCTAGGTGTGGTGGCTCACACCTGAAATCCCAGAACTTTGGAAGGCCAAGGCAGGCAGATCACTTGAGGTCAGGAGTTTGAGACCAGCCTGACCAACATGGTGAAACCCCATCTCTACTAAAAACACAAAAATCAGCTGGGCGTGGTGGCAGGTGCCTGTAATCCCAGCGACTCCGGAGGCTGAGGCAGGAGAATCGCT
Organism: Homo sapiens; assembly: GCF_000001405.40. NCBI lineage: Eukaryota > Metazoa > Chordata > Mammalia > Primates > Hominidae > Homo > Homo sapiens. The sequence continues at coordinate 1,967,157 of NT_187614.1, read as the reverse complement.
TGAACCCGGGAGGCGGGAAGTGGAGGTTGCAGTGAGCCGAGATGGGCCACTCCACTCCACTCCAACCTGAGCAACAGAGCAAGACTCTGTCTTAAAAAAAAAACAACAAAAAAAACTCCATGTTGCTGAGGAGAGCCCAAAATCCACCGTCAGCACTAGCAACCCCAAAGACTGAGCTGGGGGGAACAAGGCCCGAATCCCTCCACACCCACTCTCCACGCTCTCCCCTCTCCAAACATCAGCACCTGAGCCAGGAGGGCTGGCAGCACCTTGGAGACGAAGCTTCCCCAGAACCCTCTTCCTAGAGAGGAAGAGCAGCCTTTCTCTAACAGCACCTTCCCTCCCAGCCATGCTTACCATGCTGTGGCCCACTTGCCCACGATGACCACGGTGTGACCCTAGTCCTGGAATGTCCGGCACAATAGGGGTGGCAGGAGGAGCACTCTGCCTCTGTCAGCGGCTGATTGGTTACAAGATGCCCTACAAACACACTGTCAGCAGAGTCAGCTGTTTCCAGCGTTGCCCCTCCTTGGCTTTACAATCACACACCAGCATGCAGCCAAGGGTTGTCATGGCTTTGTCTCCCTTATGCATGCTTAATTGACAATTAAGTTGGGGCTTTGAACCAGCCTGGCTGCCGCTGCTGGGCCTTCATCTTTCCAGGGAGTGTCACAGGGGCACCCTTTGTTTGCTCTTCTTGGGGGCCTGAAGTTACTGTAGCAGGCTGCAGGCAGCCATTTATCTTCAGCCTGGAAGGCCTTTATCCGCCCCCACCCCCTATTCCAGCTCTTGGCCAGCAGGAGCTGTCCCTGGTTATAGGCTCCATGACAGCCCATTCTGAAGCCATTGAGCAGGTCTGGAGTGATGGCCTCTACCTCCCTTCTGGAGATGAATCAAGAGAAAGGCCCCTAAAAGGTCAGAGGGCAGGGCGGCAGCAAGGAGAAGGACTGGTTGGAGCCTGGTGCTTGTATTGATTGGCTCGAGGAGGAGGAGGAGGAAGTTGGCGCGGGATGGAAACTTGGCTAGCCTTGGCCCAAGCTGTGGTATCTGCTGTGTGATCTGTGGCGACCTTGCTCCCTGTACCCTTTGCTCTAGTCGGCAGCAAGCTCACCTGGCCACTACCTTGAGGAGGAGAGGAGGGGTAAAAGGTCTTCATCAGCCTCCGCTCTCCCACGCATGATGTCCTCACTCTTGTGTCACCTTTGAGAGGGAAGGGGGGACTTATTCTCCTGGAAAGAAAGTGAGGCACAAAGAAAAAGAGAAGAGGCCCTGCCAGGAGGACTTTCAGGGGTCCCGAACCATAGCCCCTTCACCAAAGAGGAGACATTTATTTCTGTGGCTGCTGCTCCTCCCTTTCGCTGAACTCTATTCCTCCCTCTCCAAGCCCAGTGGACTTGACTTCCTTGATGTGGCTTAGAGCTTGAAAAACAGAGAATCCTGCCTCCTGCCTCTCGCTCATCCCCCTTCACAGCCCCTCCCAGGTTACCTGAGGGAATCTAACCCTGGGTCTCAGACCAGCCAAACTCTGGGCCAGGGTACCTATGTGAATGCTGTTGTTTTCCCTGGCACTGAATTCTGCAGGACACGAGGAAATCTCCAAAGTGTCCAGTGGCAAGGTAGTGACTCAACGAGAGGAATTCTAATGGCCAGTGTTGATGGAGCACTTCCTTGGTCCCAGGCCCTGGGCCGAGTTCCTCCATGCATCATCTTATGTGACCCACACAACAGCCCTGCAGAGTAGGAGCCATCTCTAGTGTCATCTTCATTTTACAATCAGGAGAAGTGAACTATTTAGAATGGAAGGCATGTGCCCAAGTTCATATTCTTAGTAAGTGGTGGGGAGAGGTTTTGAGCTGTTGCACACTGTCCATCTCTTTTTGCTTTATGCAGATGCTAAGAACTTTTCAGGCACTAAACCCAACACAGAGAGAGAGAGAGAGAAAGACACACACACACACACACACAGCCCCCAGCAGTTCCTTTTCCCACATTCCTACTGTTCCCCTCTAAATGACACTGAGGCTTTGGGAGATCATGGCCAAAGAGGTGGGGTAAGGGTGAGAGTCTCCCATTCTGGGTAGTTTACTACTTCCTCCCCAACCACTGCCCCTGACCAAGGTGGATTCTGTGCCCTGCCCAGGCAAGAAATCAAAGCCCCCTCTTTCATGACCCCATCCCCATTTGTGTGGGGATTTGAACTGCCCTTGCAGTCGGCACTGTCTGGACTACTAAATGCCTTAACAACTTAATGGGGCTTCTGAGACAGTGCAAGCACCTCAGCTCACCTCTGGGAGCTCCGCCCCCTCCCTGGGCAGCAGACAGCGGGAGGGGTTTATGAGGGTAGTTGTAAAAATATTCATCTCAGCAGCAAAGTTCCTCACGGTAAATAAGGCCCATTGTCCTTAAGTAGCAGATTATTTCAGTTCAGAAGAGAGACAAATCCTGCCTTGAAATGTCTGCTATTCTAGGAAACACATTCATACTGACTTGAGGTTTAGTGGCGGACATGGGTGGCTCCAGCATTCTCCTTCTTAGGGACTTTATCTGAGTGCCATTTTATCTCTTGAATTTGAAGGTCATTTTATCTTGTGGGTACCACCCCATCAGCTGCCACTGGGTTGGGGAAGACAATCAGGATATTAATGAGATTAAGAGGCCTAGCCTTCAGGGTGTTCTGCTGTCAGCCTCCCTCTGATAGGGGACCAGCCCTGGTCTGCATACAAAGAAACCAGGCTGCTGTGCTCGTGGGGCTCCAAGCCTCTGCACAAAGGGGCCAGGAGATACTGGAGTCCTATCACCAAAGGGTCATGCCTAATCCGCCTGAAGGATCCTTAGACGATTCAAGGACTCCTTGCCGCCTCCAGTGAGCTCTGAGGAGGAAGGAAGCTGCCTGCAAGCACACAGCCCTGGCCTGCAGCTTATGGGAGAAGTGCTCTTGGAAACTGTTGAAGGTTTGATGAGAAGCGACAGGAACTTGGAGAGAATTAGGTATTACAGGTGCAGAGAGAGGCAGAGATCTGTGCAAGGGCCTTTGAAGCTACCTGCTTAATGGAATGGAACAAGATCTGGCTTTATGCCTCTACCTATTTTTTAGGGGGAAGTATAAACACAAATGAAGAGGAGAGAGAGAAATATACATACATATATATGTATTATATATATATACACACACACACACACACACACACACACACGCATACATATAGAAGTTATATATATAAAAGGAATGCAGCCCACAAATAAAGTCAGATCAATTAGTCAGTCATGGTTATTATCCTAGCTATTCATAAATTCTCTAGAACAGGGATTGACAAACTTTTTCTGTAAAGAGCCAGATAGTAACTATTAAGTACTTTAAACTATTCAGTTGTAATTACTCAACTGTGCCTTTGTAGCACCAAAGCAGCCATAGACCATAGACATGGAAGTGAATGAACATCACTGTCTTCCAGTCAAACTTTATTTTATGGGGACTGAAATTTAAATTTCATATAATTTTCACATATCATCCTATAGTCTTTAATTGATTTTTTCTCAACTGTTTAAAAATGTAAAACCCATTCTTAGCTTGTGGGTCATACAAAAACAGGCTGCTTTGGCCAACAGACCAGTTTGCTGACCCCGCTGTAGGACAATAGTTCTCAAATGTGGCCACACTTTAGAATCACCCGAGGGAGTATTTAAAAATCCCAGTATCCAAGCTGCACCCTGGACCTGTCAGAACAGCTGGGGAGTGGGACTACATATCAGTAGTTAAAACTTTCTAAGTGATACCAATGTGTAGCTAAATTTGAGAACCAGTTCTAAGGTTCTCAAATTTAGCTTCTCAAATGTTAAAGTGCATGCCAATTCCCTGGGGTGGGGGGTGTTAGGATACAGATTCTCATTCTATAGGCCTGGGGTGAGGCCTGGGTTTCTGCATTTTCAACAAGTTCCCAGGTGCTGTTGAAGAGGATGGTCTGGGACACACTTTTGAGTACTGGAGTTGGATTAGCAACTAACTCCCCTTTGCCTCCCAACCTGTGTAATTTGCCTCACCATCACCAGCCTTGACATCTAATATGGGGAAATGCTCTTTTAAATCCAGCCGGCACAGTGACAAAATTACAGGCTATGGAGGCAGACCCAAATTCCAACCTTCACTTTGGCACTTACTGCTGTGTGACCTTGGGCAAGTCTCTGGAATCTCTGTGCTTGCCTCTTGAGGTGTGGAGACATCCACTCATGCAGATGCTGGAAGAATTAAATAAGATAATATATATGTAAAACACTCCAGACATACCAGATTCTCATAAATAGTAGCTGTTACCATTCCTTGCAGAGACTTGGGGGTTGTTTCTTTGTTTTTTTGTTTTTTTAGTTTTTTCCCTCTTTCCTTGTCCTTCTTGGAGGTTTCATTCAACCTTGATTTTTAAAGAATTTGAGTATCTCCAACTAGATATTCATCTTGGTGTTTGCAGCAAACTTAGGCTGGCTTGTTGCAGCACATTGGGTATGAGGCAATCTCCTGCTCTTCCTAGGACTTCTCTGTGACATCCACAAGGCATATTGAGTGCCGTAAGGCATTTAGTACAAATTCAGGAAACAGTGAGGGGAAGCTGGGAAGACCATGGATTGGTGGGGGCAGAGGGGAGGGTCATGACCATGTAGCAGGAGGTCAGGTTCATGATGTTCATGAAGTCGAGATGACCATGAATTTCCTGTAACTAACAGGGCATTTTTCTTTTTTCTTTTTCTTTTAATTTTTTTTTTTGAGACAGAGTCTCGCTATCTCCCAGGCTGGAGTGCAGTGGCGCGATCTCGGCTCACTGCAAGCTCCGCCTCCCGGGTTCACGCCATTCTCCGGCCTCAGCCTCCCGAGTAGCTGGGACTACAGGCGTCCACCACCACGCCCGGCTAATTTTTTGTATTTTTTTTTTTTTAGTAGAGACGGGGTTTCACCGTGTTAGCCAGGATGGTCTCCATCTCCTGACCTCGTGATCTGCCCGCCTCGGCCTCCCAAAGTGCTGGGATTACAGCCGTGAGCCACCGCGCCCGGCCATTTTTCTTTTTTAATTAAAGGAGGTGTGAGTACTCCTCTCATGTGTATTGCTTGTTAGTAATTAGCCCTGGGAACCTGCCAGGTAGAGGGGTGTGGGATGTTCCTGGTGGAGGCTGCATCTGGGAAGCTTAATGGCCCCCAAACTTCAGGCGAAGGAGCATTTAAGAAGGAGAAGGTGCACACAGCCCCACGGTGAGCAAAGGGAAACCTCAGAGCTCCTAAGGGCTGATTTTCTGGAAACCACTTCCCTCAACCTGTGAGCATGCGTCTGCTTCAGGTACCTTCCTGTTACCCTATGCTCCAACTTCAGCAGCCTCCGCAATAGCACACTTGCGTGAGTTCAGCCACTGAGGAATCAACTGGCAAGGGGGGACTCGATGCTTCCAATGCTTTTGGGAAGTCAAGAGTCAGTTTTCTCAGGACTTGTACTCTGCATGTTCTTCCTAAGTTGGAGAAACACCTTGCAGATGGTCTTTAGCATGTAGACTTTCCCAAGGGAAGCCTACCTGAGCCAAGGTGAGCTGGTTATGGCCAGTCCCTTCTCAGGACCGGATTCAGATGCGTGTGTCTGGGTAGCCAAGTATAGCACCCAAATCAGGCTTGGCTTGGGTTGTGGTTCTGTCACTATCCGGCAGTGTGACCTTAAGTTATTAGCTTCTCTGTCCCAATACCTATCCCCTTAGGGGTGCAATGAGGCTTAAATATGATCAGACACACCCAGTGCCAAGCACAGTGCCTGGCAAGGAAGGTTAGCTGCCATTACAGTATTATTGAATTGACTCAGAAACTTCAGGGTGTTGAGAGAACGGAAGAGCTTGGGTTCTCCCTGGGTTCTTGACAAGGGTCTTACCTTGTAGTTTCAATCGGGAAGGATTTCCCTTTCCATGAACCCTGCTTGTCATTTGAAACATCAGAAACAATGAACTAAGTATTGGCAAGATCTGTGGTTCTCAAATCTCTCTCCAGACCACATAAAAATCATCCAGGGAGCTCATTAAAAATAGACATGGCTCCCTCCACCCACGCACACCTTTGGAGTCAGAATTGAGAGATGAGGGGTTCACAGGCATAAGAACTTTCGACAAAAGCCCTAAGAGATTCACGTAGAGTCCCAGCTACTTGTGAGGCTAAGGTAGCAGGGTCACTTGAACCCAGGAGTTTGAGGCTGAAGTGAGCTATGGCAGTTGGGTTGTAGACAACAAGGAACACAGGCTGCTTATTTTTGTCTCCTTCTATAAAACACCTTGAGATAAATTAAGCACTTTGTGCCCATTGGCGCCACTGCAGTACAGCCCGGGTGACAGAGTGAGACCCTGTCTCTAAAAAAAAAAAAAAAAGAGAGAGAGATTTGGATGCATAGTCAGGGTTGACATTACTAGGCCAGATGGAGCAGGAGAGTTCTGAAGGGGTTGAAGGTAATCCTCATGGCCCCTTGCTGAAATGGGAAAAGAGAAGCAGCCGGGGTGAGGGGCCTTGGACTAGGATTCAGGAGATCAGAGCCACCAATGAGCAAGGGTGACCTTGGGTGAATCATTTAACTTCCTGGGAATTCTGGCAAATGAGGGTGTGGGATGAGGGCCTTTCCACTCTGACAGGCTATTATTTGAAGACTGTGTGTGGCATCCAGTCTTGGGGCCCAGGACTCCGCAGCTTGGAGTGCAGAGGGAGGCTTGCCATTGTGGTATTTTATTGTGAAACTCATCATTGTCTCTCTCTCCTTCTCTCCCTCACTCCCTCGCTCCTTCCCCGTTTCAGGAACTGTGTGCTGTTAGAAGCCTTCCACCTTTATTAGGGATCATTAGAGCTTTACGACACCAGCAGATTGGGTGGGGCCAGTCACAATAAACAGATTTATAATGGGTATAAACGAGACACCTATAACTGCTAGAGGTTAACACTTTGAGGGCTTCTGAATAGCAGCTGGCATGCCCATGCCTTCTGGCCCTGTCCACTGCAGGGTGCCTCTTCCTGCTTGGCACCCATTGGACTGGGTTGGCAGTGAAGTCTATGTGAGTTCTTGTTCAGCAAGAGTGGAAAACCCTTAAACAACATCTCCTATTTGTGTAACATCAGTTTGCACGATGGGCACAAAAGTGCTTAATTTATCTCAAGGTGTTTTATGGATGGAGACAGAAATGAGCGGCCGTTCTTCTTCATTGTCTACAACCCTACAGCCAGGGGAACTAGAGGGTTTGCATCCCTACCTGTAAACTTCAATCTCACCGTGAAGAAGAAGGTCCCCGAAGTCTCTGAACACCTTGCTCTGTATGTATGTATTCTGAGTGGCAGAATTGTGGGCTGTACCAACATCTGAGCCTGAGGTAGCTTTCTTCATCATTGTGTCTCCAGCCCATAGCCCTGTGCCTGGCACATGGTAGACACTCCATATATTTGTGAAATAAAGATATCTATTATAGAAGGCTTCCTGTCAAAGCATATGCAGAAACCCCCTGTTTTATAAATTTGGTATTCAGTTTAAGAATTAAACTGAGCCTAGGATTAGTTTTGTTTTATATAGCATATATGTGCTATATAATTATATATATATGTATATATAAAGGCATATTTTCTCTTCTCTAGAAACAGTGTCACCCAGCTTCAACCCTATTAACACTGCTTAAGTGTACAGTTCACAAATTAATGTCGACATTTAATGTTACCAGAAAGTTTTCAAAGAACGTATCATGAGTTTCTCCCTAATGTTCTACTAGTAAACTAGTCTACTCATTTAATTTAGTTCTACTAGTTACTTTAATGTTCTACTACTTTCATTCATTTTAAAATCTCTTACCAGGATCCCTAGGGCAAGAAAAGAGCAAGAACGTCTCCTCTTTTGTTTCCTTTGAGCAAAATGAGGTCTAGAAAAGGGACTGGACTACTGCAAATCAATTATCTGGACAGACAGAAACAAAACTGCCCTGCTCTGGGCAGCCATTAGGTCTCTGGTGGTGCTCCCTGAGCACTTGGCTGGTGCTCCTATCTCAGTGCCCAACACCTGGTGTTGCTTGGGACGAGCCTCCTTGGGCCTGCCGGTGATCGGCAGCTATCTGTCATGATGATGGTGATGATGATGGTGATAATGATACTGATGGAGATGCCCTCTGTGACAGTGATGAAGAGGCTGGGATCTGGCCAGGCAAATCCCTATCACAAGGCAGCTCTGACACTTGCCAGACCTCAAAGGATCTTCTCCCTGGGTATCATCTCCCAGTACGGTCTTTGTTATGAATAGGCTGTGGTGGAAAACCTCTCTTTTCTAAGGCAATTTTATTAGCCCTTCAGTCACAATACAGATGTCTGTTTATAGGACCTTACTTTTGTGTGGACACCCAGTGGCTCAGTCTGCTGATGGCTTTATAGCCTTTCTCCCTTTGCCCAGACCCACTGGGAGCATCACCATTCTCCTTGTCCACTAGGCCTAGAGGCCTTTGTTGCAGCCATATTATCTCTGCCTGCAAAGGCAGCTGCTCAGAAAATACCAGACCCCGGGAGCCAGACTGCAGAAGGGCACTCTGTGTCCCCACAGCCTTTAGGCCTAACGATGTCCACCATTAACCCTTCTTAGTTTTACTCTAGTTTCTTTGGAGAAAGGGGCATTTAAAAGTTATTCATGTTGCCACAGTAAATTCCCATTAATTGACTCTTCTCCTTATCCCCAAATCAACCCAGTAGCCCCCAAACTCGGTTCTTCAAATGTGAAACTGCCCAAGTCTATCAATACTGTTTCTTCAATTTTGATTGTATTTTAATCTCTCTCTCCTCTTCTCTTACTCCTCTTTCTTCCTCCTTAAAAAGAATGCTTGCCTCTCCTTGCCCATGGAAAAACAGGGAGGGGAGGCCAAAGCAGAAGGACTACTTGAGCCCAGGAGTTTGAGACTACCCTGGGCAACATAGACCCCCCCATCTCTTCAAAATAATAATAACAATAATAATAATAATATTAATAAATTAGCCAGGCATGGTGGCATGTGCCTGTAGTCTCAACTATTTTTGGGGGCTGAGGTGGGAGGATTCCTTGAGCCCAGGAGTTCAAGGCTGCAGTGAGCTGTGATTGCACCACCACAGTCCAGCCTGGGTGACAGAGCTAGAGCTTGCCTCAAAAAAGAAAAGAAAAACTGGGAGATTTAGAGGATAAATGGACATACTCCAGTCACTTCACCACCACTCAACTCAACAGTCTAAAGGTGAAAGTGATGTGGAGTCATCAGTCAGAGTTTAAGCATAGGTTATTCATTCATCATTTACTCCTTCAATAAATGTTTACTGAATGCTTAGCATGACTCTGCCAAGAAGAAAATGGAGAATACAGACAAGGTCCTGCCCTCATGGGGCTTACATTACAGTGAGGGATGCAGCCAAGGAACAAGTAAACAAACCTGCAAGATCATTTCAAGCTATTAGTGGGTCGTGATGGGGAGGCTCTACATATCTGGAGCCCATTTGGGGCTTAGGAGGAAGAGGGAGAAGGGTCAGCTTTGGAATACCACGGACTTGCTGGGAGACCCCCTAGCAAGGAGCGGTGCAAACAACCTTGTCCTCTCCGAACCTCAGTTTTCCACTCTGTCAAATGGGTGCTTGTGACACATTGAGAAGCAGATGGGTGTAACATACTCTCAGATGTGAGGACTGCCCAAGTTATCAAGTGCCAGGCTGGTTCCTTTTACCTACAGCAGCAATCTTCAGGCTGAAGTATTCATTGCAAACTGCCTGATGTTTGCCTGCAGAAACTGCCACTCTAGTAAGGATGAGGCGTGGTGGCCCAGGTAGACCTTGTGGGGGAGGACACACAGAGTTTCTGTTGGTCTTCTACCTCCCCACATGTGCAATTTTTTCAAGTGCACCATGCATGTTAGCTTCTGTTCTCAGCCAAGGTGCTTTTGATGAAAGATTTTTTTTTCTTTTCTTGGTTACATTTGCTTTGATTTTTTTTTTAAATAAGAAAACCAGTTTGTGGGCTTCCCTTAAGTATCACTCAACTTTTACTCCTTGAGTCAAGAATGTTTACTGTCCCTGCAGGCCTGTCTGTATTTCTCCTCTTATGAATTGAGCTCCTAACTAAGCCATGTTAGGTAGAAAGGGATCCGGAATTGAAACCAGCCCAGCATTTAAATTGCTTTCATCTTGCATCAGCTTTTTCTTCCACATTTGCAGATTTTTAATCTTCTAAACTCTTTGCAAACATGAATCTTTATCCTCTCAGAGGAGGAAATATTAATAAGAACTAGCAAAAGTCCAGTGCTACAAACAAGGAAACTGAGGCAGCAATGCTAACTCATTCGAAAGCTTTCATTTCTGGAGTTCTCAATTTCAAGCCAGGGAATTGTTCACATTCTTTTCTTCCAAATGGGCCTCTCAGAAGTTCACCAGACAGAATCATTTGTCTCTCTGCCTCTGTCCTTAAGAAAAGTAAAGTGTTTAGGGAGAAGGTAGAGTTATCAGGACACAGTACTGGGTCCATCAAGCCTGGCCCAGTCTCTCCCTGTCATCTCCCCAACATAATGATTTGGCTTCATAGAAAAGATGGCTGTGTCTACTCATAATTTATGAACAATGAACATAGTTATTACCTTTTGGAAGAGCTTTCTCCTTCGCATGCTCTCTCCTGCCTGAGTTTAAATTCCCAGTTTCTAGACCCAACAGGGCTGGGCTGCACTCTGCATGAGGTTAGAAACACAGGGGAAGAATGTGTGTGACAGAGCCCCAGCCAGTTGAGTAATGTTTACTCTGTTGGTGGCTGGGACGCTCACTTACGCTGGCAGAGGTCCACCAGCCGGAGGAACATTCCTGCATTATCAGGGATGGGAGGTTGGCTCTGAAATGTCAAGGGTGAAAGGCATCCCACCAGATTCTGGGTGCAGCTCATAGACTTCAGTGAAAGGAACCCCCAGGTTTCAGTGCCAAAAGCCACATCGTGGGCAAGCTGAGCCCCACATTGCCCAGGAATCCCCACTTCCCTCATTTCTTCTTACTAAAAGAACAATTCTGGTCCTGTTTTCTTTGTTGACATTGCTCTTCTGTTTACCCAGCAGAACCAGTGCATCTCTGACATTATTTTATTCATTCATTATTCTGGCTTGTGAAGAAGGAATATCTGTGTGCCCCTTTCACAGACAAAAATGCCAAGGCTCAAAAGTTAACTGACCCAGAATCATCAGAGAGTTATGGCAGAGAGAGAGAGAGAGAGAGAGAGAGAGAGAGAGATTGTTAAAGTGTCTAGAGGCTGGTGCCCAGTTGATCTCTGGAATCATGGAATTCCATGATTTTTTGAAGCTCTTAGAGCTGAATTAAATCGCCAGGGGCTCTATGAGCTGTAGCTCTAAGGCCCTGAAGCACAGGTTTCTGCAAAGTCTCTGGTGAATGGCACCCTGAGCAGCTCCTCTCTGGGGTCCTCCTGCAAGGCAGTCATGTTTGTCTTTGAACACACAGGCGCAGTAGGGTCTATATAACCTGACATATGCAGCCTAAAAATCACCAGAGTTTGCTAAGCCATGTGATAAGAACCACAGGGCTTACGGGAAAAACAGGATTAAAAACACAACACTTGAGGCCGGGCGCAGTGGCTCATGCCTTCAATCCCAGCACTTTGGGAGGCTGAGGCGGGCGGATCACTTGAGGTCAGGAGTTTGAGACCAGCCTGGCCAACACGGTGAAACTCTGTCTCTACCAAAAATACAAAAATTTAGCTGAGCGTGGTGGTGGGCGCCTGTAGTTCCAGCTACTCAGGAGGCTGAGGCAGGAGAATCACTTGAGCCCGGGAGGCGAAGGTTGCCGTGAGCCGAGATTACGCCACTGTACTCCAGACTAGGTGACAGAATGAGACTCTGTCTCTGAAATAAACTTTTTTAAAAAGCACAACACTTGAAAACTTCCTCAGCGACACATTTTGTTTGTTTTGAGATGGAGTCTTGTTCTGGTCACCCAGGCTGGAGTGCAGTGGCACGATCTCAGCTCACTGCAACCTCTGCCTCCCAGGTTCAAGCAATTCTCCTGCCTTAGCTTCCTGAGTAGTGGGGATTACACCACTATGCCTAGCTAATGCGTGTACCACCATACCCAGCTAATTTTTGTATGTTTAGTAGAGACAGGGTTTCACCATGTTGGCCAGGCTAGTCTCGAACTCCTGACCTCAAGTGATCCACCTGCCTCAGCCTCCCAAAGTGCTGGGATTACAGGCATGAGCCACCGTGCCCGGCCAACACATTTTTAAAAGATAAGAATCCAATAAAAAGATTACCACAGTTTTATACCCGTTAAATAGTTAAGAAATATATCAATGCTATACAATAGTAAATATGGCAAGTTTGCCTAGGGAAGTGGGCATCAGAAGTGCTGTGGGTTGTGAGTTACTGTGAAGCAGTGGAGAAAGGGTTATCTGACATGGGAAGGAAAAGATGTGACTCCATATTGCATGGATGTGTCTTACCAGTGCACACAGTGGACCGAGGCGGCTGGTGGATGTTTGAGGTGCGCATATGTACACACAGGAGCATTGTTAGTATTCTCCTATGTGGTTCCATTCAGCTGGATGCAGGCTTCTGAATTCACTAAGTGTTTTCCAAATGTGAAATTGACATTACACTCAAATTATCCCCAATATGTCTATATAATTGGAACAGATTTACACTTTCACTACAATAAATACACAACTGACTGTATTTTCTACTTCTGCTAGACGTGATGCTCCTTGTCTGGGGCATGGGTGCTCAAAGCTGCTGGGGTTTCATTCCTTCAGTCAATAAATATGCACAGTACCAGGCAGTCTGCTAGGCTATAAGGATGCAACAAGTAAAGACTCATCTCTTTCTTTAAGAGGCAGAGAAAAGTAAACATATCATCAGCGTGCATGCAGGGTGACTGACTCCTGCCGTAAGTCTCTGTCTAGTGCATGTAAAATACAAAGGAAGGAGCAGCCATCTCCCAGGATGAATCAAGAAGAGCTTCACAGGGGGGCGACATGTGACACGAGATGCTTTCCAGGCAGAGGAAACAGCAAAGGTGCAGAGGCAGGAGATGGTCAGGCCATTTGAGAAGTGCATTAAGATTGTGGTGAGAGATAATGCAAATAAAACAGACGAATCACAAAGGCCCAGTTCTGCCAGTCTCAGGTGTTGGGGCTTTTCTGGAAAGCAGTGAGGAGCCATCAGATGTTTCCAAGCAGAGCAGAGGCATGGTGTGACTTTGTTTTAGAAAGATATCCCAGGCTGCAGCAGTGTGAAAGGACCCTAGAGACGGTGCTGGCACAGGAAGGCAGAGCAAGGATGCTGGCTTCTTGGAACCATGCACCTGTGCCATGCCTTTGGCACTTCTGACCAGTCATATTGGATAGAAACCGAATGATCTGCGTCTGTATCCAGGAATAGCCCAACACCCATGATGCTGATGCCTAGGAATAGAGGAAAGTAGATGATCTACTCACCAGGGCCTCAGGGATGTCTCAACTCCACCTTGGATGGCTTTTGCTGCTGGACACAATTGCTGTGGTTCATAGAGCCAACAATGGGGATGGGGCCAGTGAGTGGCTTGAGCTAGGAAGTAAGTAGAAGGTGAATGGCTACCATCTGCCACTGTCATTTCTCCTATGGGTCCTCTGTGGCTATTAACCTGGCATCTTTGGTTAATCAATATTAAACCAGAGCCCTTGTCATATGTTCACTTTAAGAACTTGCATTGGTGAAGGAAGAAGGGAAGATGCTATTCCATTTCTTAATGCTTCCTAACACAGTGCCTGGCACATGGTAGGTGCTCAATAAAGTGGCACGACCTCAGCCTTCCTAAAAATGTCTTTTAAACAAGGACAGTGCCAAAGTAGGAGGAATTGACGTGTTTTCAGCAACTGTTATGTGCCCAGCATGATCTGGGTATTTGGACATCCATTAACTCATTCCGTTCTCTTCCCAATGACCTGACAGATGGATATTGTTAACAGTAAGGAACTGAAGCTCAGGGAGGTTAAGTAACTTCCCAAGATCACACAGGTCTTACAGGGTAGAGCCAAGATTTAAACCCAGGTCACCTGGCTCCAGAGCCTACACACTTTGCACTTATTTTTGTTCTCACTTCAAGTGCTCTTCTGAGTTTTTGAAATATAGGAGGACTGGCCTCTCCTTCCTCTAACAAGAGCACCTATTTTTGGTGTACACCTTGTGATGCGCCCCCACCCCGCCCCCTCATAAGATGGCTGGCTGATTACAGCCACCCTCTCAGGGGCCAGTGATTGCCACATGCTTGGTGAGAGGAGCATCGTGGGAACACCTGCAGGTGGATCTGGGGCTGATGAGCAGCCTTGTGCCTGGCTCCCATCACACTGCTGTGACAATGGCCCCCTCCCCACAGTGGGCCGTCCTCTGGCTTATAGATGAGGAAGCTGGTGCTCACCCAAGAAATTGATAGCAGAGCTGAGATTAAAACAGGGATCCCCCAGTTTCCAGCCGAGCCTCTATCACTTAACCAGGGGCTTTTAAAGGAACGTTCAAAGGTCTAGGCTCATCTGTCTTTTGACAGAGCAGCTCCACCGTTATATTTCTTATATAATAAAGTTTTGTTGGGGAGAAAACAAAGTATAAAAACCACAGCAGCCTTGGAATATGCTGCCTGGATTCTAACAAATGGCTCTTGAGTCTCTCCTGACATGCTCCCTTGTAAAGAAGCCTTTTGTTTCCTGCGGAAATCCTTGGTTAATTATTTTTAAATAAATAATTGCGTAGCCTTTGGTAGGGGAGAAGCCTCCTTGTGACCCATATTTGATCATCAGAGGGCTGGCCCTTTTCCATCAGCCAAATTAAATAGGCTAAATCCAGAGACTGTTTGACTTGAGACTGAATCGATGATGGGGACAGGCTGGGAGGTGAAAACACAACTGACTCCCAGCGTTATCAACACTCTCTCAGGAGCAGAGCCTCTCGGGGAGGTAAATAGCTGGTTAGGGAGTCAGAGAAAGCAGGAGAAAAACAGGGTGAAGTCCAGTTCCTCCAAAAGAACAGAGCAAGAGGGCAGCGGCTAGACCTCTCTCCCAGGTTGCTTCCAGGGCAAAGCATCAGTGGTTCTGCCAGGGTAGGATTCTTTGGAAACTGTTCTCTACGGAAAGATAATTCCATTCAGTGTTTAGAATCTGTCCTAAGCCATCTAGAATTCTAGGATCTTAGGGCAAATATCTTGGGGTCCATTCCTGTACCAGCTTCCTCCCCACAGCATCCCCACCCATAGTTGCCATTTATATGGCATTTTGCAAGAAACTGTATAGATGTTACCTCTAATCCAAAAAGAGTCCTGTTGAGGAGGCATTCTCTCCATTTTTCTAGAGGAAACAAAGGCACAGAGAGGGAAAGTAATTTTCCCATGATCACAGATCTATTAAGAGCAGCATCAGAATTTGAACCTGAGTTGGTTTCGCTGCAGAGTCCATAGTCTTCCCACTGCCCCTCCTTGATAGAAAATTCTTCCTGTTATTTATTTGAAATCTGCCTCCCTGTTTTCCATTGAACCTAGCTCTGCCTTCAGAGCTCATAAGGTTCAAATCTCTTTCTTCTTTCATGTAACAACACTTTGAACTGTTGGAAGCATCCTACTGGGAACTGGGTGGCAGACGTGAAGAAAGAAGGCCTCATTTAATCCAATGGGATGGCATCGATGGCAAACAGGAGACGTGGGGGCTGCAGATAGGTGCACAGGAGGACAGGGGCCTGGGCACCGGCTGTTGACTTGGGGAGCTGAACGCTGTTCCTCCTTTTAACTTCATGATTTCTGTCCTTCCCAAAAAATGTAGTGCCTTAAACCAATACACCAATGCCAGCGCCATCCCACTGTCACCACCACCCCCACTAGCAGCTCCTTGATTCAAAGAATGGGGAAAATGGCCAATAGAAAAGCTCATAGAGCAAGCGTCAAGCCACTACATACTCAGACAAGTTGCTCTTGAAGGTTAGAACCCAGCTTTAGCATTTGTTTTGTTCTTTTCCCCAGCCCTCTTAAGCTCTAGGTCATATCGGCCTTGGGTAAAGTCCTTAGGAAGATCCAAGGAAAACTGGCTTGGGGCTCATCTAGTCTCATCTTGGTAAGCTTCATCTTGGTGAATTAGAGGCAGATTATGACACTGATTATGGCAGTGCCTGGCCCCTGGGGGAACTTTGTGGTCTCCTCTGGAAGGTGGGGCTCTAGCTAGGGCAGGGGGTGGGTGGATGAAAGAGCAACAACAGAATCAGTGTACAGGGATGGTTCATCTTGGGAAACTGGGCAAAGGAAGACGTGCAGCTAAAGAGTTGGTCCACCTATCCAGATAATTCCATGCCTAGAGCATTTGGTCTCTGCAGGACAGGGTCCTCCAAACCTTTTTGTCAAATCCAAAGCAAAAAACAAGAACACTGTCTTTCTAAGCACTGAGCTTAGGGGTGAGATGCCCCATGTACCCCCAACCTTGTCCTTGACTGTTTCATGGGCACATCAAGCAGGATTTCCATCTGCAAACTGGACCCAGGCGTTCTTTTAGCTTCCTTCAGTTGCCTGATCTCTGTCCAGAACTTTTCTTTCCTGAGAGCAGACCTCCATTTTGGTTCCCGAGCAAGAGGGAGGGTCAGAGCAGCGAGGTTGTAAACATGTTTGGTTCTACCCTTCCCCTGCAGAGCAAACTCCAGTGGTTTACTAAACATCCACATCTGCCTGTGTGTGGTGCTGCCTGCCCCACCTCCCAGCAGACACACCTTTCCCTGTGCCCTGGAAGGCAGCCAAATGGGACCCCCAGCAAAGGAATGTGAGTTCTACAGCCTAGCTCCTAGACGCAGCTTCATCCCTGTCCTGCTCTGCCTGTGTCCGTGCCCCTGACCTCTTGGGCCTGGCCACAAAGGTGGTACACAGAGACTGATGCCTAAGCTACGGCTCTTTCAAGGGTCACTGGACAAGGGCTTCTTCTTCGTCACATGGGTCTACTTATACTTTGCAGCACCACGAGGGATGCCAGGGAAACATTTCTAAAAGGCATTTTAAAGAATAAAAAATACTCCAGCCAGTAACAGAAGGCTAGTCTCAACCCCCAAATCCTCAAAGAACTGTGCGGAAGCAATAACAAACAGAATCCATCCAGTCATTCATTTATTCATCAGAAGTTTACCGAGTGGCTATTCAGTGCCAAGGCACTGGGGATACATCAGTGAACAAAACAAACGAGATAAAAATTTCCTGCCCTCGTGGCGCTTACATTCTAGAATTAAATAGAGAACATGCCATATTTACCCTGGAGAAAAGCAGCCGATATTTCTTGTGGGTGGACAGGGGAGGAGAAAGCAACTTTATTTTCTTATTACCCACCCTTGAAAACAAGAGGTGCCGAGTCATTGTTCCAGGACCCTGGTGGCACTAATGTTCCCTACTGGGTTTGTGTTGTTTTGCAGGAGTGCGCTACAGCCAGCAGGGAAACAATGAGATCACTTCCTCCTCAACAATCAGTCACCATGGCAACAGCGCCATGGTGACCAGCCAGTCGGTTTTACAGCAAGTCTCCCCAGCCAGCCTGGACCCAGGCCACAATCTCCTCTCACCTGATGGTAAAATGGTGAGTACACCTGGGCCATTGTCGCTCTGGAGCTGATAAGATAAGAGGCAAAACAAACACAACTTCTCACAAGGCCTGCCTCAAACAATGAACCATTGTAGCCCCATAGGGGAAAATGAGGGCTGTCCAGAGTCGGAAAGGAGAGGTAGTGCTGGTGACCCAGCCTTTGGCGGGTAGAAGAGGTGTTCGGTTTGAACCCAGCCAATAAATCTGACAGAGTTCTGCTCTCTTTTTATTGATTGAATGCCTCATAAAGGAGCAAGCCCGGTGGGACACTGTTTGTTTTGGGGCTTGCCAATGACATTTGTGTTGATAAAATGTTCATTCATCCCTCCCCCCAAGGCCTCCAAAGCCAATTTTTTAACTTAGAGAGCACCTCACTTTGACACAAGCCCCCTCTTCCTCCTTACCATCCCCTTGGTACTGACAAGAAGAGTCATTAGCAAGTCAGGATGTAGTGGATAGGAGGCGATGGGGAGAAGCTTCTTGAACTGGAACAGTGAAAGACATGGGACACCATGACAGCGAAGATCACAGCACAAATGGTAGATGGGGTGGGGCGATGCTTAGGGAGGGAGAAACACCAACTTTGAAGTTACAATTGCCCAGGTTCAAATCCCAGCTCCAGCTCTTAATAGCTGTGTAGCCTGAGCAGGTTACTCGACTACTTATGATCTCTTCCTCATCTATAAAATGGGGGCGGTAACAATAGACTTGGTGGGGGCATGAGCGTGATAACATTTGAGAAATACTCTGCAGTGTTTGCCATAGAAAATAGTCAATAAATTGCAGTATTGTTGTTGTTGTCGTGTAAATGTCAATATCATTCTCATTAAATGAAGTTTTCTATATCCGTAACCACAGCCCCACACCCAGATGCAAGTTTAGCACACTTGGTGAAGAATGCACAATTTGAATTTGAATTTTCTACATCAAACTAGATTCTAGGCCAGGTGCAGTGGCTCATACCTGTAATTCCAGCACTTGGGGAGACTGAGGCAGGTGGATCACTTGAGGCCAGAAAGTTTGAGACCAGCCTGGACAACAGGGCGAAACACCATCTCTATTAAAAAAAAAATACAAAAATTAGCCAGGAATGGTGGCATGCACCTGTAATCCCAGCTACTCGGGAGGCTGAGGTGGGGAGCTCACTTGAGCCTGGGAGGCAGAGGTTGCAGTGAGCTCACACCACTGCACTCCAGCCTGGGCAACAGAGTGAGACTCGGGTGTCTCAAAAAATAATAATTAATAATAACAATAAAATAAATAAAACTAGGTTCTAATTAGGATTAGGTTCTGATCCTGTAGCAACACAAGTGCAGGAGAGAGTGGCTTATGGGAGAACAGGAGCATTACGACACTGGCAAGGGTAGAGAATGGAAAGCTCTATTCTTTGGGTCATGCTCTGTTTTTCAGGGGAGGGAGGAGCCGCAGATTCCCGACTTTCATGCTGAAGGTGGAGCTGCACACATTCCCAGAGTGGGGGCCAGGATGGGTGAGGGCAACAGGGTGCAGAGGCCATTTTAGATCTTGACGTGTGTGCTGTGTAGGCAACACAGAAACGGTGAGTCACAGGTGATCGAGTCCCTGGCTCCCTGGAGGAAAAACAAGTGTGGTTTCTGAGGGGAGCACTGACCCGGCCAATTCTGGTTTCAGAGGACCTGAGCTGCTTGCCCTGGTCGTGGTCTCTGCAAACAAAAATGAAAGGGCATTCCTGGGGGAGGCATTTTGCAGCCCTCTTCTCCTACTCCCACCTATCCCTTAAGAAAGATTCTTCTCCATGTGAAGAACCACTTGTGTCAGTTACCTGTGAGAGGCACAGACAAGTCTTTCTGACTTCTCAAGAGTGTCCCAAACAAGTTAGGGTTAAGGATTACCCAGGCTTCCATGGAGAAGGGTGCCTTACGGAAGAGGTCTTGACTTCTCAGTGTGGAAGAACCTTCCAGGTCTCAGCTCTTACTGCTTGAAGGTCCTTGGGGTTTCCTACTGAGCTCTGCCTCTCCTCCTTCTAAGAGGCAAGCTGCCTCACCCAGGCCAGGGCCGCTCTAAATGCAGCCTGTGGACACGCTTTTTGCTTCCTGTTCTGCTCAGCAGTGCTTTAACTGGGCAGTGTGTTACTGGATTGATGATTGACCAAGACTGCACACCTCAACGTTAGCAAACACCTGGAAGCTTGTTTGCAGGGCCTGGCTTTTCTCTTGTCTCCAACACCCTAGTGCATGTGCTGTGTCACTATCATCAGAGGTCCAAATTCAAGAGTCTGTTTTCTTGTTAATATAATAACATGTCCATCACGGATCTTGGTCCCCCAAGGCAAGAGTGGAGTATGGTTAAAAAGGAATGCAGGGAAGGGAACCAGTATGTGCAAGTCTTGGCTCGGTCATTCACCAGCAGTAGTGTGGACAAATTGCTTAACCTCAGTTTCTTCATCTGTAAAATGGGGGATAATGATGCCTACGTCATAGGGTTGGTGTGAAGATTGCTTGTAGCACTGTTGTTCTTTGGGTCAGCCCTGTTCTAGGAATGACAATCTCTGCATGCTGACTTTCAGTAGGACGTGCCTTGAAATCTTTCCCCAAGGACTGGTTTTGGAAATAAAGCCAATCCATTTGAACTCTCTGTTGTACTGTCTGCCCCTACCCACCCCCATGCCCAAATGTCACGCATTGACAAAAAACTGGCCAGGTTTAGGGTTGTAGTCTGTGCATGTCGAACCTTTAAAAAAAAAAAAAAGAGAGAGAACAAAGCAAAGCACATACTGGATACTTTCACAGTATCAAGCAGTATGTCCTAATGGTGAAAAGCTCAGGCTGTGGCGGTAGATAGCCTGCTTTCAACCCCAATTCTACCACTTGGGCACACTTCTTAACTTCTCTAAATTTCAGTATCCTTCTCTATGAAATAGGGATAATAATACCAACCTTATAGATTATAGGTATATAAAGAACCTAGCATAGTGAAGAGACCATAAATGACAGCATTAATGTAATTCAGGCTCTCCAAATTATCATGTAAGGATCACCACTGATACCCTTGGCAGTGCCCTAGCTTCCATCAGTCCAGGAGCCAAATAGAAAGTAATGGTTGTAGCCGGGCACAGTGGCTCACACGTGTAATTCCACTATTTTGGGAGGTGAGGAAAGATAATTGCTTGAGCCCAGGAGTTCAAGACCAGCTTGGGTAACACAGCAAGGCCCTGTCCCTACAAAAAATAAAAAAATTAGCTGGGCACGGTGGTGCATGCCTGTTGTCCCAGCTACTCCAGAGGTTGAGGTGACAAGATCGCTTAATTCCAGGAGTTCGAAGCTGCAGTGAGCTGTGATCATGCCACTGCACTCCAGCCTTGGCGATAGAGTAAGACCCTGTCTCAAAAAAAAAAAAAAAATTAAAAATAATAGTTGCATTTTAGAATGGGAAGTAACTTGATCAAGGTTGCCCAAACTTAGTAAGTGAATAAGATTTAAGCTCCAGCAAAACTGGATTTTAACTCTGGCTTTTTCACTTATGAGTCAAGTGACATAGAAATAGTCTCAACTCTTCTGAAGATCAGTTTCTTAATCTGTAATACAGGGACTGATAGTAATAATGCCTGCCCTACTTGTGTCATTATCTATTAAGGACAATCAGTGAAAGCACTTTACAAATCCTAAAGTCACACACATTTAAATTATTTTTATCATTGGCCTCCACACTTCTCTTATACCATTAACCAAATGCTGAAATGTCAGAGAAATTACTGTCACTTGGTTGACTTTCTCCAAAGGAACTACATTACCCAAGAGATTCAGTCTGAGGGCAGGCTACGGATTTTTTTTTTTTTTTTTTTTAATGACTGGTATTTTGAAAAACAAGTCCAGCAAACAGGCTGCTTCTCTCTTGTTTGATGTGGTCAGAATTCCTTCTTGGTCATGTGACCCCCTAACATTTCTTGATGCTTATTTTAAAAACACAAACAAACCTGTTTGGTTTTTGCTTTCTTTCTTTTTCAAATTAACCTTGGACACTATGGAGTTGACCGGAAGGGCAGGGTGGGAGATAGCATCTTACCTGGGTGCTGGTGGGAGAGCTATCGTCTGAAAAGCTCTGGGAAGTGAAAGATGGAAGAAGGAAAGTTGAGTTACTCAGACATCTGGTGCATCCTAACCCTAAAGCACCTCTCGGGGTTCCTGATGCTCTCAAGCACGCCTGGGTTCAGAATAAGAGGGGCCAGTCCTTTCTTCATAATAACTTTAAAAATTATTTTGAGGCTGGGCACAGTGGCTCACACCTGTAATCCCAGCACTTTGGGAGGCTGAGGTGGGCACATAACCTGAGGTCAGGAGTTCAAGACCAGCCTGGTCAACATAGTGAAATCCCGTCTCTACTAAAAATACAAAAATCAGCCAGGCGTGGTGGTAGGTGCCTGTGGTTCCATCCACTCGGGAGGCTGAGGCAGGAGAATTGCTTGAACCCACAAGGCGGAGGTTGCAGTGAGCAGAGATCATGCCACTGCACTCCAGCCTGGGCAACAGAGCTGGACTCCACCTCAAAAAAAGAAAAAAATTATTTTGAAACTATAAGTAGTAAACTAATGTATCATGGAAAAAGTGTAGGTGTGTTTAAAACTGATCGCGCCCTTATAATTACAATTAGAGTTAATGGGAAAACATTGGAAACATTTCTGATAACATCAGAAGCAAAATAAGCACATCTATTACAGCTGTTATTGTTTAATACTGTAAGTTCTAAGCAATATAATAGGACATGTAGACATATCAGTACTAGCAAGGAAAAGACCCTGTTACCATCAGATGCTTGTATTACAATTACATACTTGGAAAAAAATCAATGAGGAAAAGACACTAGTAGGATTCAGTGAAGTGGTCATGTACAAAGTAAATACACCAAAATCAGTAGCTTTCTCATACTAATCTGTCATTAAAATATAATGGTGATTACAATATAGGATCCTTGACCAAAAAAGAAAAAAAATTTTGTAATGTGTACTGGAGATGTGGAAAAAGTAGAGAAACCTTATAATGGCTAATCTCCCCCAACCCTTAGTAATTTCTGAAGCTGGCTAGTAACTCAGACAGTCAACAATAGATGCACCATGAGGGCAGGGATCACTGTCTGTTTTACTTACTGCTCTATCCCCAGCACCTAGAATAGTGTCTGTCCCACAGTAGACACTTAATAATTGTGTTTTTTTCTTTTTTTGTAGAGATGATTTCACCATGTTGCCCAGGCTGGTCTTGAACTCCTGAGCTCAGGCAGTCCTCCTGTCTTGGCTTCCCAAAGTGCTGGGATTACAGGGGTGAAGCACCATGCCCAGCCAATAATTGTTATTGAGTGAATGAAGGAATGAATTTGAGAACTAGTCATGCCAAGGAATCGCTAAGTCACATCGTGTTGGAAACTGCTCTTTGTGGTCCAAGTCCACCCATGTTTCTCTTGTTTTTTTCTCTCCATCAGATCTCAGTCTCAGGAGGAGGTTTGCCCCCAGTCAGCACCTTGACGAATATCCACAGCCTCTCCCACCATAATCCCCAGCAATCTCAAAACCTCATCATGACACCCCTCTCTGGAGTCATGGCAATTGCACAAAGTAAGTTCTATTCTTGGTTGGAAAACTTGGGGGCAGGGAGAAGAAGAATGGGAAGCAAATTAATGTGGTGAAAAATAACTGTAGGTCTCCTTCAAACTCACCCACGACTAGTAGATTTGGTTTAACTTCTTTAGTTTCTCATCTGTCTCCTTAAATCCAATATTTGGATTGTTTAGCCTAAAACAAGAGAAAATTGTGGAATGGATTTGGATCCTGGTCACAGTTTAGCAGCTGTGCATCCTGGGTCAAATCATTGAACCTTCAGGAGATTCAATGTCCTCATCTATAAAATAGGTTGTTAAAGTGATCAACTGACAGTGAATATGAACATGCTTATAAATCTCTAAAGCATGAATATGTATAACATCGTAGCTTACACTTTGTCTTGAGTTCATTCCTATCACTAAGTAGGTGGTAGATTTTTCAGGAGGTTCTTTCTGTTTGGTGATGATGAAGTAAGAATGACAGGTTTCCTTCTAAATGGGGAGTTTTGTGTGGTATATGAAATCTCCTTGGCCAGCAGTGAAAATACACCAAGGGAGGATCCAGAGGGAAACTGCCATTGTATCTGAGAGCTTTGAAAACTTTAAGGAGAAAAAGCTTGCTTTGGCACATCACACGCCTGAAGACACGGAGATGGATCAGGTCCCTCCAGCTCCAGGAGGCTCATATTCAACAGCAAGCCTGTGCCCTCCCATACATGGGCCATCTTGAGGCATGAGAAGTCTGAAGGGAACTGTGGTTGTGGATATCTCTTTGAGAGTTTTAATGTTGATGAGTATTCAGCATATTTCCAGCTTCACTATGACAGCTCAGGTGTCGTTGTTTCTCAAAACCATCCTTGTGACCCTTGGATGTATTGCTGGATGTCTTGGGAGAGATCTAAGGGTAACACATTGGTCATCTTTCTTTCAACCTTGTATTGCTCCATTGTCCTCTTACCTTCCTTGTATCTAGGGCTCATGTTGGCCACCTCTTTGTTTTGTTTCTGCCTTTTTCTTTCTTCCCTCTTCTCTCCCTAAATCAGCTTTAGCTAGGGTCGGAACTTGGATTCTCACTTCTGAAGAGAATGACTTACACATCCTTTGAGGTCAGAACAGGGCTAAGCCCATTGGAGGCACACAAATTTATTGAATATGTGTGGCTCTCACTCTATCCTTAGCTGCTTGGAAATTGACACACAGTGCATTGATTTTGGCAGAAGGAAAATGGGAATGGGGAAGCATTTAGAGAACTCACAATATAAATGATCATTTTAAATGTATTGCCTTTTGACTGGGCCCTCTGGTATATGGAATATGGTAATTATACTAATACCAGAGTTTGGAATGAGATAAGATACCTAAAACCAGCTTGTTTGCCATTTAGAAGATTTGATTAAAAGGCCCGTGGGGAAGATATTCCACTTATTTCTGCAACCAAAATAATAAACAAACTGTCCCACTTAACTTCTTTCTTTCCATTCTAAGCTTTCACTGCCATACAGTTATATATATATATATATACTATCTGAATTAAAATTTTCCCTGGGGCTAGTCTGCATCTTTCCATTTTGTTCTTTCTAATTTCCTCTACTCATATTTCTCTATCATTTCACGATGCTCCTTAATCTCCTATTCAGATGGGCTGCACCAGAGTGCACACTGACCTCAGAAGGATGGCTGTGTGTGTACATATCTGTGTACACTTGGGGTAGACAGAGCATGAGAAATGGTGAGAATCACCAGAAGACTGCTGAGACACAGAGGTCCTACACTATGGAGTGTTAGGATGAGAAACTGGTTGCAGGCATCTTCATTTAACTGACTGATGTGTTGAGTACCATGGGCCCTGCCTCAGAATTGCGGAAGCCTGTGGAGAAGGTGGTAACAAATTATTTGGCAGGGCCAATTCCTTATTCTCTACTCATTCTCACCTCTTCATCCTATTCTCTTTCTCATCTCTTCCCTGGACTGGATAGCATACTTCCCAAGCAAGAACCAGTGCCCAGAAACAGAAACAGATGAAAAGGTCAAGACTTACCCACTGAGGGAGCTGGAATGACATCAGAGGCTCTCAATCCTGGAATTGAGGCACATCAGGATCACAGACTGCATTGAAAATAAGATTCCTGGGCCCCACCTCTGAAGGTTCTGACTCATTAGGTCTTGGGTGGGGCCCAGGAATGTATATTTGTTAAAGAGCTCCCCCAGATGATTTCTGAAGCACATGCAGGTTTCAGAACTATGCCTTCAAATGTCATCCACTCTAGACAGGATCATTTGCTTTTTTGGGCAGCAGTTTCTCAAAAAGAGCAGCAGCAGTGCTCTCAAAGATTTCTCAAAAACGGCACATTCATGGAGCTTTCTGGGAGACTGAGACCATAAGCAGGAGGTAGGAAAGGGAAACACGGTCATCGGTCATCAGGGTATCTGGTGAGATGCTGGCTTGAGGAGACGCTGAGCCCCCTGGGGAACTGGAGACAGCGCTGTTCTGAGGGTGATCAGAGGGTGGCACCCCCAGCCCCCACCCAGGAGAGCCAGAAGCAGGATTCATCCCCTGTCCTTTCTGCTCAGGGGTCTCGCCTTTTAGGTTTCTGATAACAGTATCAGCTAAAGCTCTGAGTAGGCAATTGTTGAGGACTCTGTGTTATCTCCATTGATGACTTCCCTCAAACCTGCCTATGAAACCGTCTCCATTTCAGGAAAGCCTCTCTAGGTGTCCCTTCCACATCCACCTAAAACAGACCTTTTTCTGGATTCCTTCTTCATCCCATTCTTCCCCCAACTTCCCAGAAAGCAAGAACACAGGAACACAATCGACCCCAGGAAGCAGGTCCAGGTGTCTTCTCTCCTGATCGTCCTGTCCCCACTCCCATCCTACCTTAGCTGTCTTCCTCCGTGTCGCTCTCAGGGAGGAGATAGAGCATGGGTACCAGGGGATCCAATCCTCAGAGTGCTGGCCCGGGTTCTAAAGAGGCCTCAGGATACACAGTTCCAAGTTACAGAGGCCCTGACATCTCCAGAACAGAAAGATGGGAAGACCCACTATAAATGCCAAGAGTCAACCTTTAATGTACTACTTCCTCTTTCTAAAACCTGGTCCTTTTAGTGCCACAAGCCCTATGCTGCCACATAAGATATGCCCGCCTCGCAGACTGGCTGAGTTCCAGTGTTTTCTCCCCTCTCTGTTACAGTCAAGGGAGTTGGCACCTGATTTCTCTGGGGGTCTTTGTACAGTCTACTAAATAAGGGTCTCCCAACCTCATACTCCCGGGACTATGGACGTTGTTTTTAGTCAAAATTTGGGTCCCTGCACACTCCTGCCCTCTACTGGACAGACCGATCTGGGCAATAACCTGTGCCTCAGTGTGGACATCTTTAACTCTGCCCTGCGGGCACCAGGGCAAGCCTCTCTCACAGCCTGGCATGGATGGAGTGGGCAGGTAGAGCCAGCTTTTCCAAAGCCCTGGTAACCTCAAGAGAGCTAAGTTTGGGAGGTCACAGGATGACTCTGGGAGACTCTCAGGCTTTAATCAGATCTGTTTAATGCCCATCTCCAACCCACAACTCATTGTGGAACTTGAGCAAGTAAATTAATATCTCCAAGTCTCCGTTTCTTTACACTTGCCTCCCATGGAATCTCCTGTGTAACAGGCTCAGCCCGGTGACTGGGACATTGAGCGGGGGCTCAAATGATGGCATCCATCCACCTCTCCTTATCCCAGGAGCTGTCTGTGATCTTTTCCTCTTGCTCCCACAGGCCTCAACACCTCCCAAGCACAGAGTGTCCCTGTCATCAACAGTGTGGCCGGCAGCCTGGCAGCCCTGCAGCCCGTCCAGTTCTCCCAGCAGCTGCACAGCCCTCACCAGCAGCCCCTCATGCAGCAGAGCCCAGGCAGCCACATGGCCCAGCAGCCCTTCATGGCAGCTGTGACTCAGCTGCAGAACTCACACAGTAAGGACACGGGCATGTGGAGGGAGGGAGCACTCAGGACCCTCAGTGGCCAACCACTTTCCCTCTCTGGGTCTGAACTTTCTCGGAAGTTTATTGGCTTGGTCACTTTTCCCTGCCTATGATCAACCGACTAAGACAATTTCTCAAGCATAACTCTTGAGTGTTGCTGTACCTTTTCTAGTCCTCTTCTCTACCCCTGAGATTCCCAGGGAAGGGTTTGAAGAGGACAGTGTAGGCCTACAGATGAAGGGGAATTGGAGCCAGACAGCATGTGGAACACACACCGCCAATTTCCCATTCCAACACCTCTGGAAAAGATCGCGTCCATAAACCACCAGCACCTTTTCCCAGTGAACTTCAACTTAGCCTTTGCAATCTAAACTTCCAAGCAGCCATTATCAAATGATCACAATTGGCATCTAATTTGCATCCTGTTTGCCTTCCCTAAAAGAGAAGAATCTTCTAGAGTCCCATGTCCTCCAATTTATACACCCCAAACATCTCTAATCAAGAACCATGAACACAAGTGAAAAATACCAGTGGCATGCCATCCTGGGCATTAGAGTTTCTTCCTCCATGCCACCCCTGCATCTCTGCACACAGACTGTTTCTCATATCCAATTTCTATACCTACCCCAAGCCTACCTTTCGACCACTTATTTCCCATCCAATCCCATCCTCTGTTTCTCTGCCTTTCATCCTGAGTCCCAGGCTTCCAATCCTCTGGCCAGGTCTGGCTATAGCCCCTGACACAGGAGTTTGGGAGGAATCATGGCTTCTCTGCTTCAGAAACCCCAAGGAAGTGTTCAGTATAAAGCACTAGTCTTAGATCAGACAGACCTGGATTTAAATCCTGGCTGTGATACTTACCAGCTGTGTAGCTTAATGCAAGTTACTTAGCCACTCTAAGTCCAATCTCTACATCCATAAAATGGAAATAGTATGCATTTAGAGTCATTATGAATATGAAATAAACATAGGGGTAAACTGCGTTTGGTAAGCATAAAAAATTATAAAGATTATTTATAAAGGGACTCTTAGAAGGCAATGATGGTGAAAGAGGTTTGTGTTTCTTCCCTAGCTGCATCGGATAAGCTGTGGGTTTGGGGGAGAACAGCCAAGTCCAGCCTTCTATCTTCAGGGCTCAATCCCCACTCGGGCCTGTGGAGCTGGTTTCTGAGCACCATCTCACATTCCAATCACATTTTAGTGGCTTCTGAAAATCTGCCACAGCCTGTAGCAGAGTCTGAGACCACATGTGCCCCACTTCCCTTCCTCCCAGAGCCTGGTGATGTGCTCCCCACTTACCCCATCCCTTCACCTGGCCAGGCTTCCTCAGTGGCGAGGCCTGGGTGGGATAGTCAGAGAGTGGTCACCAGCGACCTGTGGACTGCTGAGGCCCAGCAGGCCTGGCCGCCCATGAAGAGAGAGCCCATGGTGCCCTGGACCAGGAAATAACCTGCCTCCCTGCATGAGAAGGGCAAGCCGAGGCAACAGCCAGTGACCTTTGCTCCCGTTCCGTACCGGAGGCCTCCCTGGTAGGCCCTGTGTTCTGAGAGCAGGTGGTCTCTCCCTCACAGCCAAGCATCCACATGCTTTCGGGAGTTGGTTATGTGACTTGGAATTTACATGAATCTTATGGATAACTAATATGAGAAATCCCCACTATAACCACCAGCCCTTTTATCTACCTGAGGAGATGGGAGCTATGGTGTGGGATGGGGGCTCTGTACCTGTGTCTTTGCCTGTGTATGCACCTTGATTCTGTCTTCACTCTGTCTCTCCAGTGTACGCACACAAGCAGGAACCCCCCCAGTATTCCCACACCTCCCGGTTTCCATCTGCAATGGTGGTCACAGATACCAGCAGCATCAGTACACTCACCAACATGTCTTCAAGTAAACAGGTAATGCCAGCAGGATTTGCGGGGGTTGGGGTGTGGGCAGGGTGTGATAAGGCCATGGATGTGCAGAGGTTGTGGCAAGCATGGACTCGGCCAGAAATTAGGTCCTTCTGAGGCTCCCTGTTGTTTGCAAAGGGAATCCTTAAGGTCCCAGGGCAAAAAAAAAAGGGCCACAGGCTGAAAGGGCTTATTGCTCCCCCAGATTCCCCAGGAAGAGCACTAAACAAGGACAGAAGTTTGATAGGTTGCTGGAGACTGGATGACATAGAGCGCTTAGGCATTTAGATTGAGTGTTCCCTAATAGAATGATCAATGGTCCATGGAAAAGGTATTTCCAAGGAGGGCTCAGGAGGACAGATCCCCTGCTGAGGTTCATGCTTTGCAAGAGGGATCCCTGAGGATCCACAAAGTAGTCAGCGGAGAAAGTGAGTAGGAAGTCAGAGGTCCTGAGGCTGATTCCCCTGGACCCAGAATGCCATAAGCTCTGGGAATGACCCAGTTGTGTCAACCCATGGGGACTCCCCAGTAGACAGCCTGGCTTTTCCAGGGGTAAGCATCCACTTGGGGTTTTATCAAGAAATTTAGAATCAACTTCCTGCTGCACTGAAAGTGGGGAATCCAGAGGCTTAGTCACTGTTTCAGTTGATGACTAAGTCCCACCTCTGAATAGAGGTGATGGAATAGTAGACAGGCAGCTGATGGCGAGGCTCATTGCTGCAGCTTGGACAGCTGGACTGCAAGAAGACACCGAGAGTTAGAAAACAGGACAAGATGTCTGAACACAGGTGATGATTCCAGAGTAACACAATGAGACCTTTTAGTAGCTGGGGTCTGTGCAGTGTGGGAACTGTTTGGCCTCTATCGATTACTAGATAAGTAGGTGACAACCTTGAACTTCATGTCAGAAGCTCTCAGAATTTGGTCTTGTTGATGGTCTTTTTTTCATCTGAGCCCTGCAAATCACACTTCATCCACTGCCATGGGCTTCCCAGGAGGTTCCTTCATGGGATCAGGGTTCTCTATCCTTTCCTTTGCCCCGATCTCCTTCCAGCCCTAGAGTGCAGTGGAGCAGGTGGGTTCTATTCCTGGTTCTGCCATTTGCTTGGTGACCTTGACCTCCCTGAGCCTTCATTTCTTCATCTTTAAAGTGAGAGTTGTAACATCTGCTTTTTCTGAGGATTCAGCAAGCTTGCGTAGATTAAGTAACTGGTGTCTTGGGCACTGAAACACACACACGACCAGGGCAGCTGGGCTCTGGAGCTGGGGGTAGAGGGAGAGGTGTGTGGGACCTGCTTTGCCACTCTTCTCTCACCCAATAGAAGATGAAAGGACAACCCCTCACTACCCTGCCCTTCGACTCCCGTGCGAGTTCCCACTCTTTGTAGTGGGCAGGGAAAACATTTATCTGTGCTCACAAATCTCAATCAGGGGGGCAGCCAGGCGCAGCGGCCCTCCTTGGGAATACCTTCCCCTTTGAAAGGTTTATCAATCCATCTGCCGCTTGGTCAGCCCCAGACAGGACCATGATTAATTATTCCTGTCTTTCCCAAGTTGACTTTGATGGTTGCTTGTTGAAACAAGTCGTCTGAATTCAGGAAATGGTCTCTTAATCAAAATACTTTAAGATGCTCCCTGAGACGCTGCACCAGCCCCCCACTGGCTTCTCCTCTCCATTGGACAGAGTGGCCAGCCAACCTTGAAGCTGCATGAGTGGCCTCCCAGAACTGCTGTGACATTGTCTCCATGTCCCCAGACATTTCAGGAGTCTGGCAATAGACTCATTTCTGCGATGATGAGGATGATTATTACACTCAGTAAGGATGAAAAATACTCACGTGGCACGTTACAGTTTATACTTCTCATGAACATTGTCTCATTGTTTTCTTTTTACTGCAACCTCCTAAGTACAAAGAAATAAACTAAAACCCAGAGATGAAGAGTGACCTGCCCAAGGTCACACAGATGATAAATTCTAGTGCTGGACCTTCAGGCTTTGGTCTTTGACTCCACATACTTGCCTTCCACTACCATCTTTAAAATTCTACGGTAACTGCTGCCACTCTTGTTGTCTTTGTGGTCAGGAACAAGAGTAAAAAATAAGTTCACTTGCCATATTCCACTCAGGAAACGTTCTTCCAACAAGTTGAAAGAGAAGGAGGAATGGGAAAGGCACAGTGAAGTAAAATGAGGGTAAAGGTGCTGCCTCCTGACAGCAGAAGGTACCCAAGGTGAAGACAGTTTGTACAAACTCTGTTCCTAAGGCAGAGGGTCAGAAGTGAGTTCTGAAAGAGACCTGATGGCAATTCTGCTTTTTTGGTTTTGTTTTAAGGTCTTATATTCCAACAGGAATTTCAAATTCATTTCTGGCGTGTTCAGATTTATTGCTTATAGCGATGTCTGTTTGCTTCGCTATAAAGAAATATCTGAGGCTGGGTAAAAGAGGTTCAAAGGCTCATGGTTCTGCAGGCTGCACAGGAAGCATGATGCCAGCATCTGCCTCTGCTGAAGGCCTCAGAAGGTTTACAAGCGTGGCGGAAGGTGCAGACAGGGCAGGTGCATCACGTGGTGAGAGTGTGAGCAGGAGGGAGAAGGGAGAGGCCCTGCCCTGGGTTCTTATTTATTTATTTATATTTTTATGTTTTGAGACAGGGTCCCGTTCTGTCACCCAGGCTGGAGTGCAGTGGCGCAATCACAGCTCACTGCAGCTTTAACCTCCTGGGCTCAATCAGTCCTCCCGCCTCAGCCTCCAGAGTAGCTGAGACTACAGGCGCACACCACAATGACAGGCTAAATTTTTGCATTTTTTTTGTTTTGCCATGTTGCCCAGGCTGGTCTCAAACTCCTGCGCTCAAGTGAACTGCCTGCCTTGGCCTCCCAAAGTGCTGGGATTACAGGTGTGAGCCACCATGCCTAGCCCTAGACTCTTTTAAACAGCCAGATCTCACGTGAACTAACTCAAGCATGAATTCCTCACCCATCACCATGATCCATTACCTCCCACTGAGCCCCACCTCCAAGACTGGGAATCACATTTCAACATGAGATTTGGAGGGGACACACATCCAGACCATATCATTCCACCCCTGGCCTCCCAAATCTCATGTCCTTCTCACATTGAGAAATACAGTCATCCCTTCCCACTAGTCCCTGAAAGTCTTAACTCATTACAGCATTAACTCAAAGTCCAGAGTCTCATCTGAGACTCAAGAGCAAGTCCTTCCACCTATGAGCTTGTAAAATAAAAAAACTATATACTTACTTCCAAAATACAATGGTGGTACAGGCATTGGGCAGACGTTCCCATCCCAAAAGAAATAAATTGGCCAAAAGAAAGGGGTAACACCCCATGCAAGTCTGAAACCCAACAGGGCAGGCATTAAATCTTAAAGCTCCAAAATAATCCTTGATTCCATGTCCCACATCCTGGGCACATTGGTGTGCCAGGTGGGCTCCCAAGGCCTTGGGCAGCTGTGTTCCTGTGGCTTTTCCATGCTGAGGTTGCAAGCTGCTAGTGGCTTTACCATTCTGAGGTCTAGAGGGTGGCAGGCCCATTCCCACAGCTCCATTAGGCAGTATCCTGGTAGGGACTCTGTGTGTGGGGCGGGTGGGGCTCCAATCCCACATTTCCCCTCAGCACTGCCCTAGTGGAGGTTCTCTGTGGGGGCTCTGCCCCTGCAGCAAGCTTCTGCCTGGGCACCCAGGCTTTCTGATACAGCCTTTGAAATCTAGGTGGAAGCTGCCAAACCTCCTTCACTCTTGCATTCTGTGCATCTGCAGGCTTAACATCACATGAAACCCACCAAAGCTTACAGACTGCACCCTCTAGAGTGGTGGTCTGAGCTGTACCTGGGTCCCTTTGAGCCAGGGCTGAAGCTAGAGCAGCATGTATGCAGGGAGCAGTGTCCCAAGGCTGTGCAGGGCAGCAGGGCCTTTGGTCTGGCCCCCAAAACCATATTTTCTTCCTAGGCCTCTGGGCCTCTAGTGGGAGGGGCTGCCTAGAAGATGTCTGAAATACTTCAGTGCCTTTTTTCCATTGTCTTGGCTATAGCATGCAGCCCTCTTTAGTCAAGCTAATCTCTCTAGCAAGCTGTTGCTCCATAGGCCACTTGAATTCCTTCTCTACCACAGGGTTAGGCTGCAAATTTTCCAAACTTTTACGCTCTGCTTCCCTTTTTAAATGTAAATTCCAACATTCCAAATGTAAGTCATTCCTTTGCTTCCGTAGCTACTGTGGGTTGTTAGAAGCAGCCAGGCCACATCATGAATGTTTTACCGCTTAGAAATGTCTTCTGTTAGATACCCTAGGCTATCATTCTGAAGTTCAAACTTCCACAGATCCCTAGAATATGGACACAATGCAGCCAAGTTCTCTGCCTGGGCGTAAGGAGGGTGACCTTTGCTCTAGTTCCCAATCAGTTCCTCATTTCCATCTGAGATCTCATCAGCCTGGCCTTCACTCTCCATAGTTCTATCAGGATTTTGGTCACAACCACTTAACAGGTCTCTAAGAAATTCTAAACTTTCCTTCATCTTCCTGTCTTCTTCTGTTCCTCCAAACTCCCAATCTCTGCCTGTTACCCATTGCCAAAGCTGCTTCCACATCTTCAAGTATCTTTTTTTTTTGCGGGGAGGGGGGGCGGCGGGGCGGGGGGACGGAGTTTTGCTCTTGTTGCCCAAGCTGGAGTACAATGGTGTGATCTCAGCTCACTGCAGCCTCCACCTCCCAGGTTCAAGCGATTCTGCCTCAGAGTCCTGAGTAGCTAGGATTACAGGCACAGGCCACCACGCCTGGCTAATTTTTTGTATTTTTAGTAGAAACAGGGATTCACCATGTTGGCCAGCCTGGTCTCGAACTCCTGACCTCAGGTGATCCACCTGCCTCAGCCTCCCAAAGTGCTGGGATTACAGGCGTGAGCCACTGCACCTGGCCATCTTCAAGTATCTTTATAGTAATGCCCCACTCCCAGGACCAGTTTTTTGTGTTAGTCCATTTGCATCACTATAAAGGAATACCTGAGGCTGGGTAACTTAAAAAGAAAATATGTTTAATTGGCTCATGGCTCTGCAGGTTGTGGTGCCAGCATCTGCTTCTGGTGAGGGCCTTAGGAAGCTTACAGTCAGGGCAGAAGGTAAAGGGGGAATAGGCATGTCATATGGTGAGATAAAGAGCAAGAGAGAGAAAGGGAAGATCCCAGACTCTTAAACAACCAGATCTTGTGTGAATTAACTTGAGCGAGAGCTCACTTATCACCAAGGGGATGGCGCTGAGCCATTCATAAGGGATCTGCCCCTGTGATCCAATATCTTCCACCAGGCCTTACCTCCAACACTGGGTATCGTATTTCAACATGAGATTTGGAAGGGACACACATCTAAACCATATCACTAGGTATCAAGGACATACGAGTGAGGGGAGAGAAGGATTTCTTGGTCAAATATGTTGGGGGAACTGCTGGATTACACAAAGTTAAATGCTACTGGGCAGGGCTTCTCAGAGCATTTCACTTGCTGATGTGTGCACTGAACCGGGCAATTAGCGTGCACCCTGCTCGAGTCAAAGGGACACATCCTGAGCAGTGCTATTTTAGAGGTATTGTACAGTGGTAGGAAACGCCAGCAGACCTGAGCTACTTTCAGCTTCATCACCCCCTGGTATGTGACCTTGGGCAGTTAATTCCCTGTTGGGAGACTCAGTTTCTTCATCTATAAATGGGGAAAATCCCACCCCCATCTCACAAAATATTCAATGTGCCTAACAGAATGCCTAGTACATAGTCAAGTATTCAAAGTGGTAGCCCCCTCCCTGTTTTCTCTCCCGTCTGTGATCCTTTAGGAGATAGTTGTCTCCCCTTCCAGTGACTCTTTTTTTTTTTTTTTTTTTTTTTGAGATGGAATCTCACTCTGTCACCCAGGCTGGAGTGCAATGGTGTGGTCTCAGCTCACTGCAACCTCCGCCTACTGGGTACAAGCAATTCTCCCGCCTCAGCCTCCCAAGTAACTGGAACTACAGGCACACGCCACCACACCTGGCTAATTTTTTGTATTTTTAGTAGAGACGGGGTTTCACTATGTTGGCCAGGCTGCTCTCAAATTCCTGACCTCGTGATCTGCCCGCCTCTGCCTCCCAAAGTGCTGGAATTACAGGTGTGAGCCACTGGACCCGGCCTAGTGACTCTTTCAATATCCAATTCAGTGCTTGGTCTACATGCAGTCAAAGGAGGCTGGGAGAAGAAAATGTCTCAGGATTACTACCATCTCTCAAGCACATCCTACCTCTTGGGCCTGGGTTCCGGATCCCTGTTTCCCATTCTCCTGCTGATACACAGACTCCCTGCTCACCTATTTCCCAGGAAAAAAGCAAATAGTTCAGGGCCTGTCAAAGCACCCATACCCTTTGGGCTTAGCCAAATGCCTGGGCTATATTAGATGTTCAGTAAATAACAAAGAATGAATGAACGAACAAATGAATGAATGAATGCAGAACCCGTGTTTTTTGATGCCTCCATTTTCCAAGCAGCACCCCAGATGCTTTTCTAGCTTACATTTCCTGGAGAACCCTCTTACCCATTCTGCAAGGTCGTTATTTTTATACCTGATTTACAAAGCAGAAAACTGAGGTTCAAAGATGGGTATGGATCTGGTCAAGTTCAAACAGATCATAAATTCCAGAGCTGGACTTCCAGACTGGCTTTCTCACTCCAAACTCATTAAACAACGTTCATCTTCCAATATCCACTTTTAAGCACCCATAATAACAACCCAAGGTTATGCAGGTATAAGGCTAAAGCCAGGATTTGTACTTGTATCTGTCTGATCCCAGTACTTCCTGTTGTCAAGGCAGACATGCCCCAAGGGCCTTGGGGATTACAGGTCAGGAACCCCAGGCTGGGACTTCTCGCTGCCAAGAATCCTTCTGCATCTACTGCCATCTGTCCCTTCCAGAGCACATACGTCTCCCTCCTTCTCAACTCTTGGGTGCTGGCAAGTTATCTCTGAGTGGGTTTGTGCATGAGTTCAACAATGCCCCTCTAGTCTGGAAACAAGACCACAGCAACCACTGACCTCAGTTAGAACAAGTGCAGGCAGGTTGTGAGCCAACTCCTGTTTCCACAGTGTTCTCTCCCCGCTGCTTGACTTCCTAGTTTATGGGAAGGTGAAGAGAGGGCCCCCAGAGCAGTAACTAGTCAGGGCACTGACAAGGGGGCAGGTGGGTGGCCTCATCATCTATCCCCTTCGGCTATTCCTCTCCCAGCTTCTTCACTGGGTGAGGAAGCAGAGTGTTCTGATGGTTGGGAGCATCGACCTAGGAGTTAGGCAGATCTGGGCTCAACATTCTACCACTTTCTACCTGTGTGACCTCAGAGAAATGTCTTAGCCTCTTTGAGCCTCTGTTTGCTCACCTGTAAAATGAAGATAATGATACCTCTTTCATGGGATCACTGAAAGGACTAACTGCACGAAGACCTGTAAAATACTTCACTCAGCGCATGTCCCAAAGGAAACACCCAGCCCATGGAAGCTGGGTCACTCTTGGCTTCCCCTGCTAGCACCCCTGAGCGGCTCTGAGTTTGGGAAAAGGGTCTTACGTGGCAAAGGGCATTTATTTCCCCGTGTTGAGGGGGTTGAAAGAAGTGCTCTTACATAGGGGTGAAGAGCACAAGCCTTGCTGTTGTGAGACCCCGGCCAACTTACTTATCACCTCTCCAGGCCACGCTTCCCTCATCTGTAAAACCGGAATTATAATCATGACTTTTAATTAATGGAGCCACAATGAATCTCACATAAGTTCATGGTCATAGAAGTGACTTATCTGTCCTCACTGTCTCCACTTCCTCACCCTCAATTCTCTCTTGAGATCACTGCAGACTGGCCTTTATCCTCACGCCTCACTGTGTCCAGCTCACGATCCCCTCCATGCTGCTGAAACCAATGGTTACTTTTCAACCTCTGTCTCTGACACAGCTGATCTCTCCCTCCTTTTTTCCATGGGAGTTTGGGATACTACCATTCCTGGTTCTTCTACGGCACTGGCCACTTCTCATCTCCTCAGCTGGCAACTCATCTTCCCAATATTTATGTGTTGGAGGGCCCCGGGCCTCATTCTTTGGCCTCTTCTCATCTGTGCTCACTCCTGGGTGATCTCCTCCAGTCCCATGGCTTTAGGTCAAGTGTACACGCCGATGGTTCCTGTAATTCTGTGTACAGTCCGGTCTTCCCTACTGAGTGCTCACTCACAGATCCAGTGCTGCTTCGGCAGGGACAGACGCATGTCTAAAATATCTAATAAGCCTCTTGAATTCAACGTGCCTAAAATAGGAACTCTTCATTTTGCCCTATTTCATCCTATCAAAATTGCTTCCCCCATGGGCTTCTCCATTTCCAAAACTGGTACCAGTTGTTCAAGTGAGAGAGCTGAGAGTATCCCTGATTCTTCTCTCCACATCACATCAGTCTCTCAATAAGTTCTACTAGGGGACCCTCAGAATACATCCTAAATCTGACCTCTTCTCACACTCCCATCAGGACTGCCCTAGTCCCAGCCCAGGCCCCCTTGTCTCTCCCTGATCTCCTTAGGTGGCCCTTGCCTGTCTCCCACTTCCACCCTTGCCCCACTGGGGGCTGTTCGCCAGAGTGATCTCTTACAAAGAGACATCAAGCATGTCAATCCCCTGTCAAAACTCTCCAATAGCTTTCCATCACAACCAAACTAAAACAGAGACATACAGGACCCTATGTGATTATGCCCCTGCCAGTGTCGCCGTTCTCACCTCCTTCCTCCCTCCATCACCCGCTCAGCTTTAGCTGTGCCAGGGCTGAAGAGATCCCACTCCAGGACTCCTGCATTTGTGGTGTCTGCCTGGAGCTCTTTTTTTCTGTGCATTTTTACATGCTTGCCCCTTCACTTCATTCAGCTCAAATGTTACCATTTCAAAGAGGCCTCGCCTGATTCCCATATCTAAGTTAATCTCTTTTTCCTCAAGCTGCCCTAACCTCTATGCTTATTTTTCTATGGAGTGCTCATCTCCACCTAAAGTTGTAGTGTGTGTGTGTGTGTGTGTGTGTGTGTGTGTGTGTGCACGCATTTGTTTACTTGTTTATTATTCAAAGCCTTCACTAGGAGGTAAAGCCTGTGAAGAAGTG
The DNA here is from genome assembly GCF_000001405.40 of Homo sapiens. NCBI lineage: Eukaryota > Metazoa > Chordata > Mammalia > Primates > Hominidae > Homo > Homo sapiens. The sequence goes on along the minus strand of NT_187614.1, from coordinate 1,929,008 downwards.
GGCAGGGTGTTGTTTACAGCTGCATCTCCAGTGTCTAAAAAAGTGCCAAGTACACAGTAGGCACTCAAACGTGTTAAATGAATTCACGATAATCACCTACTTCAAAGGGTCGACGTAAGAACTCGAGGCAGTGATGCTTGTGAAGCCCTTGGTATGGTGCCTGGCACACAGTAGGATGTCAATAAATGTTAGCTCTTACCATTATGTAACAAATCCTCTTAGAATAAGGATGTCCTTCACATTTGCCACAGCTACCACACCTTTCAGACGGAGGGCCCCGCGGTCTCTCAGAGATCTTCTGGGCCAGGCCCCCGTGGGGCTGCGTGTGCTGGGCCTCCAGTTCTAAGGGACCACAGTGCACCCCTTATCAGATGTTTGTGTTTAGACTCTGAAGGAGGCAAATAACTCTAGTTCTTTTGACAACATTTTGGGCTCTGCCACCATTTTATTATGTGAGCAAACATTTGATAGCTGGGAAGCCCATCCCTAATGACAGGCCATAGAATCTCACTGGCGTCTCCTTATCTGCCCTTCTTGTTTGCTCTTCTTTTGAAACCTGCAAGGTCACAAGCCGTTTTCTCTCTCCTCCACCTGAAATCTGAAAATTGGAAAAAGGCTGATAGTGGGAAGTAAAGAGACTTGAGAGTGGGGGTGGGCCAGGGGAGGAAGAGGAGGCAAAGGGTATCAGAGGACCCTGACCAACGTCTCAAGAATGTGGAAGGGTCAGAAGCCTGTCTCCTCACATGCACGCACTGCTCAGCCCCCCTCTTTTTTTTTTTTTTTTTTTTTTTGGTGAGACCAAGTCTTGCTCTGTCGCCCAGGCTGGAGTGCAGTAGCATAATATCGGCTCACCACAACCTCCGCCTCCTGGGTTCAAACGATTCTCTTGCCTCAGCCTCTCAAGTAGCTGGGACTACAGGTGTGCACCACCATGCCCAGCTAATTTTTGTATTTTTAGTAGGGATGTGGTTTCACTATGTTGGCCAGGCTGATCTCGATCTCCCGACCTTGTGATCCACCTGCCTTGGCCTCTCAAAGTGCTGGGATTACAGGCGTGAGGCACTGCGCCAGGCCTTCAGCCCCACTCTTAAGAGTACTGAGGAGCAGCAGGGGCTTGGGCTGAAGAACCCCATGTTAATAATAACAATTGTGCCAAGGACCATGCTCAGGACTCCACAGGTGTTGACTCATCTAATCACACAACAACTCCCATATTATAGGGGAAGAAACTGAGGCACAGAGAGAGTAACTTGTCCAAGAGCACAAAGCTTAGTAGAAGGCTCCTCACCTCCAAGCATGATTGAAAGAGCACATGCTGAGTGGCCACCTAGACAGCTAGTTTGAAGCTGTGGCTCCACACTCTCCTAGTTCTTAAACCATGGACAATTCACTGACTCTCTTTTAGCCTTGTTTTCCTAATCTGTCAAATAGACATAATGGTATCCTCATATAGGGTTATGGTTGGAGCACTGATCAATGCGATAACAGTGGCCTTTAGTGGTATTGGTAGGTGTAAGTGTGTGTGTGTGTGTGTGTGTGTGTGTGTGTGTGTGTGTGTGTTTGGGGGGATCTTGAGAGAATAAGCCACTAAGTCAAAGGCAGAACCTTAGATGCCGGCAAAAGCAAAAGGGAAGGAGGAGACACAGGGAGACAAAAAGAGACTCCCCAGAAGTGAAAAGGAAAGCAGTGACACTCCATGACAGTTCCAATGAATAAGGCCCAGGCACTGGAGGGCAAGGCTGCCCTGAGTTGGGTGAGGTGGCTTCTCTCGAGGGCTTCTCCAGCCATTCTGGGGTCTCCTGCCCTGGCCCACCCACAAGGATGGCATCAGAGGCCTTCAGCCTTTGGATCCTTTCCCTGGTCCTCTGAGTTTCTTATGCTAAAGTAAGAAACCCGTAGAAAGCACTTTGCAATTTGCAAAGCTCCTTCCTGATGAGTAGTTTGAGTGGTCATTTTCTCGTGTGCTTTCTGGCCTTGCTGCCCTAGGTGAGCAGCACTGGCACACCCTGGGAACTTGTTAGAAATGCAGACTCTTAGGTGCACCCCAGGCCTACAAGTCAGAATTAAACCAGAATCCACATTTTCACAGGCTCTCTGGTACTTGTGGGTCCGTTAAAGTTCGAGAAGCATTAGTATAGGAGGCCTCTGCTCTTAGCGGTCTTAGGAAGAGACCCTTGCTTCCACGAGAGGCAAGAGCTCACCATCCAGCTGCCTTTTCAAGTACACTAAGCACTCTATAAATGCCACTGTCACAGAAAGAGGAGCCCAGCTTCAGGATTCAGGTCAGCAAGTTAAGACTACTTCAAGGTCCCCAGCAATTCACTTCTTTCTTCTGAAGTGGCCAGGAAAGCCGGCTCCCGGGTTTTCCTGCAGGAAGTGTGCCTCAGCATGAAAACTGCAGAACTGAGCAGACACGAGGCCCCCAGCCCTCCACCTGCTGCTCTTTGCTGGTTGAGTTGGGCATCATCTCCCTTAGAGAAGCCAAACTAATGGCCCATGACCCTGCCAAATGACACAGCTGAGCACTCTCTCTCCTCTCTCTCTGCAGTGTCCTCTACAAGCCTGGTGATGCCCACACACCACTTACTTCGTGCGCAACAACAAGGACCCTGTTTTCCACACCATCACCCTCTGGGCAGCTGTCATGGAAAAGCCCAGTGACCTGACCGGCACCTGCGAGAGGTCCCTGCTTACCTGACGGACGTCCTGCTGGCACCTCAGACAATCCACTCTCAGGAGGCGCAGCCCGAAGCCCAGTTTCCCTTCTATGCAGTATTGCCACAATGCCTCTCCCACGATGTCAAGGACTCCTGTCTGTCCTGGAGGTGGGAGACAAGGAACCACCGAAGAGGAAGCAAGAAAGCCGTACTGTCTATGTTGTGATCCTTCATCGAACAAACTGATGCGAAAACTTGAATCTGTTACTGAAATGAGGAGAGAAGGACATGTGCTATTGAACTGAGCCAAACACACTGTAAATATCCACAGACTCCCTCCCCTGCCCCCATCCCACATGATCTTGAGATTTCTTTTAAAGAAGTAAATTTGTCCAATGGCTGTAAACTATAAACTACTGTAATTAAGTGCAATTTCCCCTCTGTGTCCTCTCCCCTCTGCCCTGTATATAATACTAAAGTGTCTATTAGTTTTCTTTGTAAAGGTCAGAGTCAAAATTTCAAAAGTGATCTGTCCCCTCTCCCCTCATGGAGAAACATCCTAAGTGGGAAGTGAAGCCCCTTGTCCTCTCCCGCGGGCCTGGACACTTATGGGGACAGCATACCTTGGACTGACTACCAGCTAACTCCAGTCTCCTGACATTAAGACACACCTCTGGATCCCTGGAGGGGCTGAATGTAGTGTGTCAGAGTAACATGCCAGCTTCCTGTGGGCCAGGAGCTCAGCCGTGCACTCCCTAAGAAACCCCAGGGCAGGGAAACTGGCTGTTTGATAGCAGAAGAAAAAGTTGCAGTCTCAGAAAGCCTTCCATTAAAACAATTTATTTTATCACTACCCAGAGTCTCATATTTCTGTCTCTGATACTTTCCCTGCCATGGTTCCACCGAGAACCCCTGGCCCCTGGTCTCCTTGGAATTTTCTGTATACTCCACTGGGATCCTGTAGTGTGTCATCTAGGGGTGTAGAGAGGTGGGTGGCCTTCTCTTGCCGTCATGCTCCCAGTGTCTGTGTAGGCTTTACTGCTGATTGAGGTGAAGAAGAGTTGAATCCCCCAGTAAGACTCCACAAGTCGCTCAGAGGGAATCTGGCCAGAGCAGGAGCTAGCACCCTTTTCTTCCCTGCAACTCACAGGGGTAAAGTCATAGAGTCAATTCTTGGTGGGTGACATGTGATAGAAACAGACAAAAAGTAGGATGAATGAAAACTCTGCGGGTAAATTGTTTAGCCTCATTTAAAGCATTAATTCCAGCCTTTCTTCCTGCCCTCCTTTTCCTTCCCTTACAGCTCTCAGTCACTAAGTGAATGGGCTCTTGTGGACGTCACCTCTTGCCCAAGATTCTCTCTCTGGTGGGGATGCTAAGGAATACAAATAGTCCAAACAGTAAAAAGCCAAAGGCCCAGAGACTCCACCAGCAGGGACTTTACCACAAATAATTCAGTGCTGACTCCAGAAGAAAGGAAGATGGACCTGTCTTCTTTGCTGTTTCCTTTTTTGCCAAACAGCATAGGCCTACTGCCCTGTGGTTCTTCGCTTTTAGGCAGAGCATGTCCCAATGAAAGTGGAAGCAAAGATTGTGCTAACCAGGCCATGAGTGATGGATTTTTTCAAAATCCCATTGTAGTGGGAGATTCAATTCTCAGTGAGCTGGGCAAATTTACTGAGTACCTAGTCTGTGGCCAGAGCAGCAATGGATGGACAAGGAAATACTGACTTTAATTGATTCCTAGCTCCCCCTAACAATGTAATTTGGATTGAAACAGTGAAGAGAAAAGTTCATGACTGGGTTGAGGAGGGCTGAGGACAAGGCCGAGCACTGCATATGGAGAGAGGCCAAGATCCCCTTTCATTAGCTGAGCTGTCCTGTTGGATGGCTCCTGTGAGCTCCGGGAAGAGGAAAGGAACATAGGCCTCAAGCTCCAGCCCCAATTGAAGCCCTATATCTGGACTCGTGTTGTTTCTAGAAAAGCAAGCATCTGCTTTTGATAGATTTTAGATCTTGCATTTAGACCCTGAAAACCCAGAAGGTCATATTTATCTAACAGGTCATCTGGGCAGAGGTGTAGATGGAAGAGAGGGAGGATGGCTGGGTTGGGGACAGTCTCTAGAGAGTTTTCCTAACGAAATCCTATTTGAACGAAGATATGTAGACAGCTGACCCTGGCAACTGAGAGCCCCAAGGATGGTTAGCTTCACCTTTCTAAATCAAACAGGGACCTCCCTCCACTGGCTATACAAGGGCCAAGGGGAATCACACACTCTGAAGATTCATTGGCAAGCTTCAACCCCCACACCTTCCTCCCACCACCTGATGGACCAACAATCTCCAGGGTGTCTTTTCATACCCTGACCCCAGGCTCACAGACAGATGGTTCCATTTTTATCAGAGCCAGCTGTCACTTTCTAGGGTGAGCCTGAGGAAGGCAAATTTCATTTTAACATCCATGGATAGGAAATAAAACCAGTACTGAAAACTCGCCTTAAACTGTATTAAACTTTTCCATGCTAACCAGTTATGGGGTATTCCACCAAAGGCAGAGATAACGCAGTGTTAGCTGCTGAATTCAGGTAGATAAGAAAGAATACAATGCAGACAGTCAGGGAATCTGAGCTCTTGGCCCACAGTTGGGGGCAAGTCTTTGAATTACCTTTGGAGCCAAAATTCCTTGATCAGAATCTCCAACTCCACCATTTAACCTCCCTGGCCCTTAGTGTCCTGCTATGTGAAACAGGAATGATAATGGTAGTACCTACTTTATTAGATTGTTTGAGAAGTAAGAGGGTTAATATATGTTAAACACTTAGAACTGTATATACAATGGGTATTGTGTGTTAGTATCATCTCACCCCAGAGTGCCTTCTCCTGTAGTCTTGTGTAGTCTTCTGGGTTTGGTTGACATTTCCAGATAACTTCATCACCAACTTGACGTTTGGTTAAAAAAAAAACAAAAAAACAAAAAAAACCTGCCAATAATTGGTAACGTTTTTGTTCATCTGTATGGTATATGGCAAATCTCAGTGGTAAACCAAGGCTGAGTCAGGAAGGAGAGGCCTGAGGAGAAGAGAAAGGCTTCACTGGAGAGAGTCTTTGTCCTCCTTAGGAAAAGAAGAAGATAAAATGTGATGATCTTATATGAGTGGGAGGGCCACAGAGAGCACTGGGAAGATGGAACTAAAACTGGCTTTGTGTTCTAAAAAGTGGGTTGGGGATCATGGAGGAATCCAGTGAGCAAGGAAGAGTGAGGGTCAGGAAGAGGTGGGAGCTAACTTCTGTCCAAGGAAAATCAGGGTCAAGGTGTCCCCTTTGACTTAGGAATTAATTCAAACACGCCATCCAAAGCTGCTCTGGAAAATGAGATATGACATATCCATGCCTTAATGCTTCAAACACATCCCAACAGCATCACACAGGCTGAATATTTATGAGAAATTGCAATCAGCTGAACCAAGTGCCTGTTAGGCCCTTCCTCCCCACCCCCCTCCCTCCTCCTCTTCTCCTGGGTGCAGAGGTCATTCTAGCTGGACAAATACTGGATTGTCTGCCGAGATTTATAACATGACTATTTTACAAATGAATCTTTAGAGTTTGCAGGACTTTGCACGTGCCTGGATGAACATTCCTTTTTCCTGGGTGCATGCCTATAGAGAAAACACTTTCTAAGGGAGAACCTGCAAAGCAAATATGAGGGGGACCACATCAAAAGCAGGAAACACCAAAGCAGGCTTCACACGATCTGCATATGTACGTTTACGCCAACAGATCACGCAACACAAAAACAAGATGTTTCTTTCCCCCGTCTTTTATTTTTTCACCAGATACACACTGTTATATTCCCCAAAGAAAGATTTCTTTCCTGTGCCATATTGTCTTGACATCATTAATGAACTGATATATTAGATTATCCCCAATTAATTATGAAGGTTGAAGGTAATAAATGGATAAAGCTAATTTTTTAAAAAGACCAAAAAATACCAGTATAAGGAAAACATGTCTGATTTCCTGAGCCATTACAAGATCTTCTGTGTATATCTTTGCTTTTGTAAATACATAATTCAAAATAATATTTCCCCTTCATTTATTCAAGAAATACCTACTGGCACTTACTGCATGTCAGGTACTATCGTTCTAGACACTGGAGATCTATCAGTAGACCAAATAGATAAAAATCCTTACCTTCATGAACCCTACATTCTAGTCAGGGAGATAACAAATAAATGTGTGAATATATGTATGTGTATGTGTGTGTGTCAGATGATTTTAAAAATCTATGCAAATTGGCCGGGCGCAGTGGCTCATGCCTGTAATCCCAGCACTTTGGGAGGCCGAGGCAGGCAGATCACCTGAGGTCAGGAGTTTGAGACCAGCCTGACCAATATGAGGAAACCCTGTCTCTACTAAAAATACAAAATTAGCCAGGCATGGTGGCACATGCCTGTAATCCCAGCTATTCGGGAGGCTGAGGCAGGAGAAGCGCTTGAACCCGGGAGGCGGAGGTTGTGGTGAGCAGAGATCGTGCCGTTGCACTCCAGCCTGGGCAACAAGAGTGAACTCCGTCTCAAAAAAAAAAAAAAAAAAAATCTATGCAAATTATAGCAGGTAAAGGAGATACTAGGGGTAGCCATTTATTTTTATTTATTTATTTTTAATTTTTTTTTGAGACAGAGTCTCACTCTGTGGCCCAGGCTGGAGTACGGTGACACGATATCGGCACACTGCAACCTCCACCTCCCGGGTTCAAGCAATTCTCCTGCCTCAGCCTCCTGAGTAGCTGGAACTACAAGCACACGCTACCATGCCCGGCTAATTTTTGTATTTTTTAGTAGAGACTAAACATGGGTTTTGCCATGTTGGCCAGGCTGGTCTGGAACTCCTGACCTCAGGTGATCTGCCTACCTTGGCCTCCCTAAGTGCTGGGATTACAGGCATGAGCCACTGTGCCCAGCCTGGTAGCCATTTTAAACAGTATGGACAAGGAAGAAGAGAGTGGCCACTGAGAACGTGACGTCTGAGAGCCCTAAGGCTGCTGAGTCAGCCATATGGACATCTAGGAGGAGAGCATTCCAGGCAGAGGTAATAGCAAGTGCAAAGGCCCTGGGGCAGGAAGAGAAACATATAGCAGAGCCGCTAGAGCAGAGAGAGAGGGATAGTTCTGGTTCACAGAGATAAACAGGTGCAGGGGCACAATGACAAAGGGCCTTGTGACCATTTGTAAGCACTTCGGCCAACTGGTGTAAGAACTTTGGCTTTTACTTTGTGTGAGCTGGGAGCCAGCAGAGAATTTTGAATACAGCAAGGACAAGATACGACTTCTGTTTTAAAAGGATCCCTCTGATTGCTGAGATTTTGGGGAAGGGAGTGCCAACAGTGACAGCAAAGAGATTATCAGGAAGTTGTTGCCATAATCTAAGCATAGGTGATGAGAGCTGATCTGATTCTGTATTTTGAAGGTACAGGATTTGAAGATACCAGGATTTCCTGTTGGTTTAGATGTAGAATGTGAGAAAGAGTGATAAAAAATAATTCCAAGATTTGGGCCCTAAACAAAGTAGGAAATAGAAATTAGTGTTGTTGGCCAGGTGTGGTAGCTCACACCCATAATCCCAGCACTTTGGGAGGCCAAGGCAAGAGGATCTCTTGAACCCTGGAGTTTGTGACCAGCCTGGGCAACATAGCAAGACTTTGTCTCCACTAAAAATTAAGAAAATCCAGGTATGGTGGCGTGCACCTGTGGTCCCAGCTACTCAGAAAGCTAAGGCAAGAGGATTGCTTGAGGAGGTCAAGGCTGCAGTGAGCCAAGATTGCACCACTGCACTCCAGCCTGGGCAACAGAGCGAGACCCTGTCTCAAAAAAAAATAAAATAAAATAAAAAATAAAAATAAAAATAAACCCTGCTGTTGTAGAAAGTGAAAAACAATGTTACACAAACATAGGCTGTATCTTGGTTTTTCTTTAAAGTGGTACCTTAGGAAGCATCTTAGTAGTATGTTATGCTGTAATGTGATATTATCATATCCCTAATATGATGTCAGGCTCTTCAGTAACATGACATTCATTTGGTTGATGTATTAGTCCATTCTCACACTGCTATAAAGACATACCTGAGACTGTATAATTTATAAAGAAAAGAGGTTTAATCAGCTCACGGTTATGTGGGCTATACAGGCTTCTGCTTCTGGGGAGGCCTCAGGAAACTTACTATGATGGTGGAAGTCGAAGTGGAAGCAAGCACGTCTTACATGGCAGGCAGGAGGAGGAGAGAGAAGGGGGACATGCTACACACTTCCTTTTTTTTTTTTGGATGGTAGTTTCGTTTTATTTTATTTTATATATATATATTTTTTTTATCATACTTTAAGTTCTAGGGTACATGTGCACAACGTGCAGTTTTGTTACATATGTATACATGTGCCATGCTGGTGTGCTGCACCCATTAACTCATCATTTACATGAGGTATATCTCCTAATGCTATCCCTCCCCCCTCCCCCACCCCACAACAGGCCCTGGTGTGTGGTGTTCCCCTTCCTGTGTCCAAGTGTTCTCATTATTCAATTCCCACCTATGAGTGAGAACATGCAGTGTTTGGTTTTTTGTCCTTGTGATAGTTTGCTGAGAATGATGGTTTCCAGCTTCATCCATGTCCCTACAAAGGACATGAACTCATCATTTTTTATGACTGCATAGTATTCCTTGGTGTATATGTGCCACATTTTCTTAATCCAGTCTATCATTGTTGGACATTTGGGTTGGTTCCAAGTCTTTGCTATTGTGAATAGTGCCACAATAAACATACATGTGCATGTGTCTTTATAGCAGCATGATTTATAATCCTTTGGGTATATACCCAGTAATGGGATGGCGGGGTCAAATGGTATTTCTAGTTCTAGATCCCTGAGGAATCGCCACACTGACTTCCACAATGGTTGAACTAGTTTACAGTCCCACCAACAGTGTAAAAGTGTTCCTATTTCTCCACACCCTCTCCAGCACCTGTTGCTTCCTGACTTTTTAATGATTGCCATTCTAACTGGTGTGAGATGGTATCTCATTGTGGTTTTGATTTGCATTTCTCTGATGGCCAGTGATGATGAGCATTTTTTCATGTGTCTGTTGGCTGCATAAATGTTTTCTTTTGAGAAGTGTCTGTTCATATCCTTCATCCACTTGTTGATAGGGTTGTTCGTTTTTTTCTTGTAAATTTGTTTGAGTTCATTGTAGATTCTGGATATTAGCCCTTTGTCAGATGAGTAGATTGCAAAAATTTTCCCCCTTTCTGTAGGTTGCCCGTTCACTCTGATGGTAGTTTCTTTTGCTGTGCAGAAGCTCTTTAGTTTAATTAGATCCCAATTGTCAATTTTGGCTTTTGTTGCCATTGCTTTTGGTGTTTTAGACATGAAGTCCTTGCCCATGCCTATGTCCTGAATGGTATTGCCTAGGTTTTCTTCTAGGGTTTTTATGGTTTTAGGTCTAACATGTAAGTCTTTAATCCATCTTGAATTAATTTTTGCATAAGGTGTAAGGAAGGGATCCAGTTTCAGCTTTCTACGTATGGCTAGCCAGTTTTCCCAGCACCGTTTGTTGAATAGGGAATCCTTTCCCCATTTCTTGTTTTTGTCAGGTTTGTCAAAGATCAGATAGTTGTAGATCTGTGGTATTATTTCTGAGGCCTCTGTTCTGTTCCATTGGTCTATATCTCCATTTTGGTACCAGTACCACGCTGTTTTGGTTACTGGGTGCTACACACTTTTGAGTGACCAGATCTCATGAGAACTCTAGCACGAGACAGCACTGGGGGACGGTGCTAAAACCATTAGAAACCACCCCCATGATCCAATCACCTCCCACCGGGCCCCACCTCCAACACTGGGATTTACAATTTGACAGGAGATTTGGGCGGGGACACAGAGCCAAACCACATTAGTCGACAAGTGTTTATTGAGTGCTTACTATACGCTACATACTTCTCTAGGCATGGGAAGAAAAGCAGTTTATAAAAGGTCACTTCCCTATGGGGTTTACATTCAACTGGGAGGGAGCCAACAAGAACTAAACAATATACTAAATATACACTAAATAAACAAAAATACGAGTGTTGATATATACTAGAAAGAAGAACAAAGCAGAGAAACGTGAAAGAGGAGGGTGGGGAAGGAGGTGGATTCATATTTGCATGGGTAACTTTGCTTTCCAAGATAGGATTTCTTTTGGGCACCCTGACCAAAAAGATAACTGAGTGAATATTTCTGAATCACCTGCACTGTCTGCTGAAGACTTTGTTTCCCTAC